>NT_187693.1:0-355600 GCF_000001405.40 Homo sapiens | reverse complement strand
GTATTACAGGCATGAGCCACTGTGCCAGGCCAGTTGATCGACTTTTAAAGAAAGAATATTCACAAATTTAGATTTAGAGAAGTTTATAAGGAGGCCGGGCTCAGTGGCTTACACCTATAATCCCAGCACTTTAAAAGGCTGAGGTGGGCAGATCACGAGGTCAGGAGTCCGAGACCAGCCTGGTCAGCATGGTGAAACCCCGTCTGTACTAAAAATACAAAATTATCTGGGTGTGGTGGTGCATGCCTGTAATCCCAGTTACTCACGAGGCTGAGGCATGAGAATCACTTGAACCCGGGAGGCGGAGGTTGCAGTGAGCCAAGATCATGCCATTGCACTCCAGCCTGGGTGACAGAGTGAGACTTCATCTCAAAAAAAAAAAAAAAAAGAAAGAAAGAAAGACAAGTTTATAGGGGAAGTGGCTTGTCAAAGTTCTCTGAGGCTGTGGGACAGGAAGTCACAGGAGAAGCTCATTCTGGCTGACTTCCCAGCTGGTGTTCTGCACCTCTATCAGTATCTTAGGAACCAAGTTACCACGACACACCTATTAGAGTGGCCAAATTCTAAAACGCAGACAATACCACATACTGGCCTACTGGCGAGGATGTGGAGCAACGGGAACTCTCATTCATTGCTGGTGGGATTGCCAAATGGTACAGCCACTTTGGGAGACAGTGCGGCAATTTCTTCTAAAACTAAATATAGCTTTGCCATGTAATCCAGCAATTGCATTCCTTGATATTTACCGAAGGGAGCTGAAAACATACGGTCATATGGATCTTTACAGTAGCTTTATTCATAATCGCCCAAACTTGGAAGCAACCAAGATGCCCTTCAGTAAGTGAGTGGATTAACTATGTGTCCAGACAATGGAATATTATCCCATGCTAAGAAGACACAAGCTCTCAAGTCATGAAAAGATGTGGAGGAGAGTTCAATGTATATCACTACACGAAATAAGCCCGCCCAAATGGCGTATCCACTGTCTGATTCCAACTATGTGACATTCTGGAAAAGGCAAAACTATAGAAAGAGTGTAAAGTTCATTGGTTGCCAGAATAAAAGGCTTGGACAAGAGGAAATCATCCCAGTGGAAATGGAGAAACGCAGGAACAAATGAAGAGCAACAGAAGAAGCTAAATATTTGGGTAAAGACAGGAATTTTGAATGATGATTTCATCATTAATGAATTAAGAAGACATTGATGCGTGCTCATTCTATATTTGATGACATTGCAAACATTGTTTTGAAAACTATACTTTGCACTAAAATTAAAAACGAGGCTGGGCACAGTAGCTCATGCCTGTAATTCCAGCACTTTGGGAGGCTGAGGCGGGCAGATCACCTGAGGGCAGGAGTTCAAGACCAGCCTGGTCAACATGGCGAAACCCCATCTCTACTAAACATACAAAAATTAGCTGGGTATGGGGTCACACCCTTATAATCCCAGCTACTCAGAAGGCTGAGGCAGGAGGATCGCTGGAGCCTGGGAAGTGGAGGCTGCAGTGAGCTGAGATTGCACCATTGCACTCCAGCCTCGGTGACCCACCTTAAATAAATAAATACAATTTTTAAATGATAGCATATATATATATACACACACATATACATACACACCAAATAGGTACATCGATGAGAGAACACTATATTTACAAAAGTGCAAGGGAAATTTGAATATAAGACTTCAGATGCTGGTTACGGTACCTGAGGTAGGAGGGGGAAACAGGCTGGAGTATACACTACAGAAATAGACATGCTTTATCAATTGTCTGATTTCCCTGGAGCATGTTGACTTCACGTTGATTTTTTTTTACATGTTCTGTTAAAAAAATTTCTTTAAATTGGCCTTTGGAAATTTACCAGCAGTGTGCTGGTAAAGTCTTGACAATCAGCTCTCTGAAAAAAAAAGCAAAAAGAAAAACAAAAAACAACCCCGACGTGTAGCATTTGCCGATTTCTCTGGTGTAAATACTCACAGCATGGCTTTGACATGAGTTTTACATTTGGTAAAAGCAAATTGTGCCTACTTTGAATAGAAGGATTGGGACAGAGATATGGTTCTTGTCAGGCACTAATTAGGGAGTAAGGCTTGTCTAATATTGCCTTGGCTCTCAAGCAAAATAAAAAAAAAAAAGTAACGTTTGGGAATCTGTGTTGCTTCCTCAGCCCCATCCTGGGTAAAATCGGAGACGTATACAGGGCAGGGAGAAGCTGTTTATTTCCGTGCCTGCGGCTGGAGCTTCTTAAGGATTTGAGCTGTGATGCTGGCACCTGGCAGACCACATCCTGTGCGGTTTTCAGTTTTGCTCCGTTCCTGACCCTGGTATAGCAGAAGCTTTTTCACATCTATGACACCCGCTATGTCTTGGTAAACCCTGGAAGGGAAAGGAGGACAAGGTTAAAATACTGTTCCGAGGATCTGGTCTCTCCACAGCGCAGGCTGGAGGTGGCAGCCCGTGGAAAGCCAAGTTCATCCACCATCGGAGCCCAGGCCAGGCTGCCAAGGCTAATATTCAGGACAAAGCCAGGCACAGGTCGGGAATCCTATGAAGATGATCATCGTCCTGAGGTCTTCCTTCCAGGGTTGCATCCGCGACAGAAGATGGAAAGAGAAATGGGTGAGTCCCTGCTACCACCCCACCCTCAGGTTGCTTTTTTGGCTGAACAAGAAGGGTCCTCCCAGGCAGGAAGGGTGGGGCACAGAAACGTGAGCCAATGTGGATGACTTGGGGAGGGCTTTGCAGTTGAATCTCCTGAAAACAGCAAGAAGTACAGACCTCCGGGCATTCTAGACTCAGATTCTGTAGACGCTTCCCTTTGGCCGAGCCAAGCCAGGGTTGCTCAGGAACTGGGGTCCTTGAGATTGGATTAGATTGGACGGAACGACACAGGATTGCAACGTGCTGAACTGTGAGGACCGGGGTTTAGCTTGAGTTCCCCAGTCTGTCCACGAGGTCCAAGCTTGAGATCATTACGGCGACCACATCTCAGGAGGAAGATAGGTCAGCAACGCAGTGACGTGCTGGAATAGTTTTGAAATATTTGAACTATTCTAATGCAAACTCTTCTTTTAATGACATTTCACATTGCATCTTGTGTCATTTTATTTCTGTAGATGTTGTCTTTCCACTTGACATTTAATTGGTGTTTAATTTAAGTTGCAAATATTGTGTATGTATCTGAGTCTAGTGTGAGAATCACTACTCTATGCCTGTGCATCCCACATCAAGTAACGTTTTTGAGTGAGGGAGCTGTGCCATGCTGAATCTGCAGCATGCCTTGGACATAAGCATGTAGCTTGTCTTCTCCAGCTTGGAGGAGAGTCTCAGAGGAAAGGTCTTAGAGGAATGCAAAGGTGGAGGGGTCCTCATAATATGGAACAACGACAGCTCTGTATCACCCTTCTTATGGAAAAACCCAGAATAACTGCCCATGTGTTCTGTGACCTTGGATTGTGGAGGAACAGACGGATGTCGATTCTGCCAGCCACTCCTTCCCCAGTGGGCAGCACATCCTTGCCCCCCAACCTTCCTGGGCACCTGGAGTTCAGATACTAGGGGAATATTAATCAGGGTCCAACCAGGAAAACAGAAACCCTTCTCTGCAGTTAACAGAGAGGGAAGTAAATGCAGGACGGTGCCCCTGCATTGGATCCCAGCACAGGCAAAGAACGTTAGTGGAAAGATGATGAAATCCAAAGAAAGCCTGTCAGTTAATTATTGTACCAGTGTTAATTTTTTTTTTTTTTTGGCGGATGTGCTGGGGTCGTGTAAAGCATGAACATTAGAGGGACCTGGATGAAGGGCATATGGGAACTCTCTGTACCTCTGCAACTCTTTTGCAAGTTTAAATTTATTCCCAGGTAAGAAGTGTGTTTAAAAAATGAATTAGTCGGCCGGGTGCAGTGGCTCACGCCTGTAATCTCAGCACTTTGGGATGCCAAGGTGGGCGGATCACCTGAGGTCGGGAGTTCGAGACCAGCTTGACCAACATGGAGAAACCCCGTCTCTACTAAAAATACAAAATTAGCTGGGCATGGTGGTGCGCACCTGTAATCCCAGCTACTCAGGAGGCCGAGACAGGAGAATCGCTTGAACCCGGGAGCCAAGATTGCACCATTACACTCCAGCCTGGGCAACAAGAGTGAAACTCAGTCTCAAAATAAATATATAAATAAATAAATAAATAAATAAATCAGTCAACAAATACATATCAAAAAGGAACCAGTGGCCACATGGAGGCAAAGGAGCATGAGGAATCTTCTGAGCAGTGAAGAAAATCTTGGATATGTTGGTGGTTTCACAGCTGTCAGAATTCACTGAATTGCACAGATTAAGTGGATGCAGTTTGTGTGCAAAGGATCCTTTGATAAAGCTGAATAAAAATCACTAATGAAGACCTAAAGTGAAAAGAGGCAGGGAGGATAATCTAATGCATAGAAACCATTATGCCAGTAAAAGAAGAGTCAGAAGCAGGAAAGTCATTCTCAGGAGCCACTGTGTTTTGGCCTCATGTTCAATGCTAAGTTTCAAAACAAATGTAGTATTCCTTGCAACCATGAGAAGTTGGTGAGTGATTTGAAATCATTCTTATGATGAGGTGGAAGCTTTTGGAATCTGTACCCCTGCACTTTATCCTTGTCCTCATGATTTACAAAACCATGAAAATAAAGCTCAGTTAATTCATCATCATCAAGGTGAGCTCCAGGTTCAGTATTCAGCTTGAGGCTGGGGACTCCATCTTTCTTTAACTTTTGACTGCATAGCCTTCACTTAGTTTTTATATCTCTTAGGCATTACAAAAAATTAGGCCAGGCGCGGTGGCTCACGCCTGTAATCCCAGCACTTTGGGAGGCCGAGGCGGGTGGATCATGAGGTCAGGAGATCGAGACCATCCTGGCTAACAAGGTGAAACCCCGTCTCTACTAAAAATACAAAAAATTAGCCGGGCGTGGTGGCGGGCGCCTGTAGTCCCAGCTACTGGGGAGGCTGAGGCAGGAGAATGGCGTGAACCCGGGAAGCGGAGCTTGCAGTGAGCCGAGATTGCGCCACTGCAGTCCGCAGTCCGGCCTGGGCGACAGAGCGAGACTCTGTCTCAAAAAAAAAAAAAAAATTAAAAAAAATATATATTTTTTTAGATGGAGTCTGGCTCTGTCACCCAGGCTGGAGTGCAATGGCACGATCTCGGCTCACTGCAGCCTCCGCCTCCCGGGTTCCCACCATTCTCCTGCCTCAGCCTCCTGAGTAGCTGGGACTACAGGCGCCCACCACCACGCCCGGCTAATTTTTTGTATTTTTAGTAGAGACGGGGTTTCACCGTGTTAGCCAGGATGGTCTCGATCTCCTGACCTCATGATCTGCCCACCTCGGCCTCCCAAAATGCTGAGAAGATTACAGGCGTGAGCCATTGCACCCGGCCTAAAAAATCTTTAACATATTATATTAAGCAGTTTTAGTTGGTTTATTGTTATTTTTTAGATGGATTGCTGTCTTATGGACTCACAGAAAATTGGATTAGATTGGAAGGATATACCAGGGACTGTAACATGCAGAACTCTTTGAGGACCAGGGTTTAGCTTGAATTCCCCTGTCTGTCCACGAGATCCAAGTTTGTGATCATTACTGTCACCACGTCTCAGGAGGAAGACTGGTCAGCAAGGCAGTGATCATGCTGGAATGTTTTTGAAACGTTTGGACTATTCTGATGCAAACTCATCTTTTAATGACATTTCACACTACATCTCATGTCACTATATATGTTTTTAAATTTTTAATTTTTGTGTATACATAGTAGGTGTATATATTTATGGGGTAGATGAGATGTTTTGGTACAGCACGTGACTCCCTCTTAGTTATGCAAATTTCTCCAGCAAGTCGTTGCCCAGCAGCCTACTTGAATTCCTCCCCTGAAAACGGACTTTTCTTTTCTACCATGTGGCTAGTCCGCAAATTTTTCGAACTTTTACACTTTGCTTCTCTTTTAAATATAAACTCTACCTTTAGGTAATTTCTTTGCTCCCACATCTGAGCCTAGGTTGGTACAAGAAGCCATGCCACTTGAACACTTTGTTGCTTAGAAATTTCTTCTGACTTGGCCAGGCTTGGTGGTTCACGCCTGTAATCCCAGCACTTTGGGAGGCCGAGGCGGGTGGATCACGAGGTCAGGAGATCGAGACCATCCTGGCTAACACGGTGAAACCCCGACTCTGCTAAAAATACAAAAAATTAGCCGGGCGTGGTGGTGGGTGCCTGTAGTCCCAGCTAATCGGGAGGCTGAGGCAGGAGAATGGCTTGAATCTGGGAGGCAGAGGTTGCAGGGAGCCGAGATCGCACTGCTTCACTCCAGCCTGGGCAACAGAGCGAGACTCCGTTTAAAAAAAAAGAAAAGAAATTTCTTCCGCCAGACACCCTGGCGTGGTATCTCTAGGGCATGGACAGAATGCAGCCACGTTGTTTGCTAAGGCGTAACAAAGGTGGCTTTCGCTCTAGTTCCAAGTAAGATCCTTATTTCCAGCTGAGACCTTGTCAGCCTGGACTTCGCTGTTCACATCACTATCAGCATTTTGGTCACAACCATTTAATCCATCTCTAAGAAGTTTCAAACATTCCCTTCTCTTCCTGTCTTCCTCCGGGCCCTCCAAATAACATGAGGTCTATTCCGTTAACAAATTTCAAGTGAACAAGACGTTATTGCTGACGATGGGTCGTATGTGGTGCAGCAGATCTCTAGGCCTGTTTGTTAATAACTCCCCATTTCCCCCTCCTCCCAGCCCCCGTAACCACCATTCCCTGCTGTGATGTTGTGACTCTGGTGACTTTGCAGATCTCCTGTAAGTGACATCATGCAGTACTTGGTCTCTGCCTCTGCGTCGCTTGGCGTGATGTCCTCAGGTTTCGTCCGTGTTGTCGCCCATGGCAGAATTTTCTTCCTTGTTTAAGGCTGAATAGTATTCCCCTGTGTGTGCACCACATTTTCTATATCAATTATTCTATCAATGGACATTTAGATGGTTTTCACGTCTTAGCTATTGCGAATAGTGCTGCAGTGATCAGGGGAGTTCAGACGGCTCTTTGACATACTGATTTTTTTTTTTTTTTTAGACAGAGTCTTGCTGTTGTTGCCCAGGCTGGAGGGCAATGGTGCAATCTCAGCTCACTGCAACCCCTGCCTTCTGGGTTCAAGCGATTCTCCTGCCTCAACCTTCCAAGTAGCTGTGCCCACCACCACACCCAGCTAATTTTTTGTATTTTTAGTAGAGACAGGGTTTCACTATGTTGGCCAGGCTGGTCTCGAATTTATGGCCTCAGGTGATCCACCCACCTCGGCCTCCCGAAGTGCTGGGATTACAGCTGTGAGCCACTGCGCCTGGCCTGTTTCTTTTAAATACAGACCCAGAAGTGGGATTGCTGGACCATATGGTAGCTCTATTTTTAATTTTTTGAGGAACCTCCCCACTGTTCTCTATAGTGATTGCCCAATTTTTAATTCCTACTGTGGTATGCGAGGGATCCAGTTTCTCCACATCCTCACCAATAGTCTCCTTAAAAAAATAATATGCTTTGTAGGATATTTTTAACGTGTTAAATACCTTGTCGGGATTTTAGCATAGATCACAATATTAAAAACTTGGGGAAGGATTTCTATGGCTCCCATTTGTAATACAAGGAAATGTCAGCTTCTAGTTTTGTAACGTCTTGCCCAAGAGCTGCGACCGTTAACTTGTGGAGTTGGGACGGCGTCCAAGTCAATTGGTTGCCCGACCTTTATTCTGCCTTGTCCCATAGATTTAGAAAGAGGCTGACACATCTGGTAACTAGTTTACGGTCATCTGCCTCTAAGCGACATTTAGGGTAAGCGACATTTTTCAGAAACCAAGGCCCTCCCTCTCGTCTCACTAGTGGGAAGGGTGGAAAGAACAGGACAGAAAGCTCTTCCTCTTGTGTGAGGCAGTTGCTGTGGAAGCCCCATAGGCAGGAGGCCCCCGGGCAGCACATCCTGTCTGCTTGTGTCTGCTGCAGAGTTCTGTCCTTGCATTGGTGCGCCTCAGGCCAGGCTGCACTGCTGGGACCTGGGCCATGTCTCCCCACCCCACCGCCCTCCTGGGCCTAGGTGAGTCCTGGAGGCAGCCGGGAGGCTGGAAAGGGGGTCGGGAGGTCTGGAAAATTCCCTGCTCAAGCCTGACTCTAGTCCAGAAGATTCTGGGGAGGAAAGTGTCCTCCTCCTCCCAAGACTGCCCTGCTGCTCTCCCTGGGGCCTAAGTCTGATCAGAGAAGATCTTGTCCTAAAAACAGGGGCCCGGGTGTGGGGATGAGGTCAGCTTTAAGAAGGGCTGGGGGAGCAGGAGCCTTTTTGGAGGAGGAGACTTTGGGATTTATCTTGAAACCATTTTGCAGCAAGAAGGATTACATGGAGACAGTGATGTCGAGGAGGGTTGGCTTGGTCGTTATGAAATGCTGAATGCCCCCCAGCTCCATCGAGCCCCCTTTTGACAGCAGCCCCGTAAGGAGACTGGGCACTGGGCATTTTTCTCACTGGGGCTTCTCTTCCAGTGCTCTGCCTGGCCCAGACCATCCACACGCAGGAGGGTAAGTCATGCCTTCGTCCCGTCTTCCCAGTCCCCTCTGTCACCCCAAGGGCAGTGCTGGGTGGGAGTGATGTTGATTCTTAGAGGGCCTGGAGAGATCCCTTTAAATATACCCTAGATTGCAAACTCTTCCAAATGTAAAATGCATAACCAACCCTCACCCAGTTCTCTCTCGCATCCTCCACCTGTCTTATTTTGCTTTTCTTATTTTCAAAAATTTTATTTTTAATTGACAAATAATTGCAATTTGCGGGGTACAGTGTGATATTATGACGTATGTACACATTGTGGAAAGATTAAATAAAGCTGATTAACATATCAGCCCCATCACATACTTATTGTGATGAGAATATTTTAAATCTCCTTTTAGCAATTTTGAAATATACAATAAATTATTATGAACTACTGTCATTCTGCTGTGCCATAGATCTGAAAAATTCACTCGTCCTGGCTACTCGAAACTTTGTATCATTTGATCAGTGTCTCTCCCATGCCCCGCACCTGCAGCCTCCAATAACCACCATTCTACTCTGCTTCCGGGTGATCAACTTTTCTTAGATTCCACAGATAAGTGAGAACGCGCAGTAATTGTCTTTCTGTGCCCGGCTTATTTCACTTAGCCTAACGTCCTCTGGTTCATCCATGTTGTTGCGAATGACAGAATGTCCTTCCTTTTTTAGGGCTGAATAATATTCCATTGCATATACACAGCACATTCTCCTCATCCATTCATTTGGTGGTGGGCACTCAGGTTCTTGCCAGGTCTTGGCGGCTGTGAGTAGTGCTGCGGTCACCCTGGGAGTGCAGGGGTCAGCTCCGCACACCGATTTCCACAATGAGAATTCAAACCCAACACAACCAAGGCTGAGCCCGGCACTTTTCCCCAGACGAGCCCACACTTCACTCGGCAGCTTCTTGGCGGGGAACGTGACAGTCACAAAGGGCAGACTCTGAACACTCATCCTCTTCTCCATCCTCCTGGATGCACCATGTCACCCAGTCCTGGTGATTTCACTCTAAATTTTTCTCATCTTTCCCTCTCTCTTCATCGACTTTTCCTGCATCACCCCCAGGTGACAGCCCCTCTCCCCTCCGTGGCTCCCCGAGGCCGGCCTCAGCCTGTCCATGCCACTGCTGCCTGCTCCCTTCCTGACCCCAGGGACTGGCGATTTGCAAAAGCACAACCATGACCATTGTACTTTCCACAGTTTTTAAATTGTATTCAAAAATTTTCATTTAATATCTCATCGTAAGATGAAATCTTTTTTTTTTTTTCTCAGAGCCCTTCCCCTGTTTATCTTCAGGTAGAATCAGACCTGTGCACCTCTCTTTGGTCTGGACATGCCCATTTTCCCAGCCACATCCTGTCCCTGTGACCTGGGGCTCACTCATCTCTACATTCCTCCAGGTTCTTTCGCTTTCTCAAACACTCCATATGCCGCTCAATATGGTGGTTCTTCTCACATGCTGATTTTGAAAAAAAATAATTCATTTTAAAAATGACCAATGAGGCTGGGTGCGGTGGCTCACATCTGTAATCCCAGCACTTTGGGAGGCAGAGGTGGGTGGATCACTTGAGGTCAGAAGTTTGAGACCAGCCTGGACAACATGGGGGAAACCCCGTCTCTACTAAAAATACAAAAATTAGCTGGGCGTGGTGGAGTGCACCTGTAATCCCAGCTACTCAGGAGGCTGAGGCAGGAGAATTGCTTGAACCTTGGAGGCGGAGGTTGCAGTGAGCTGAGATCGCGCCACTGCACTCCATCCTGGGTGACAGAGCAAGACTCTGTCAGTTCACAGCTGCAGATTTGGACAATTCTTTGATCAATACCGGTCCTCCCTTCTGGAAGTCCACCTCCAAACGGCAGGCATCCTGTGTGTGTTTCTCACATTTGTGGAATTAGCAGCCCATGAAAAACGTCTTTAAACAGATTGATAAGTAACTGAGATATGGTTAAAAGAAAGAAAAATGAACAAATGGGTGGGTTTGGGGAGATGCTGGTCAAAGGATAGAAAATTTCGTCTAGACAGGAAGAGTAAGTTCAGGATTGTGCAACACAATGACTACAGTTAATCACAATGTATCATATGCTTGAAAATCACTAAGAGGGCAGATTTTAAATGTTCTCACCACAACAATTAACTACGCAAAGTGAGGTTATATTAATTAGCTTGATTCAGCGATTCCACAGTGTATACCTGTATCAAAACATCATGTTGTACACCTTAAATACATGCAGTTTTAATTTGTCAATAATAAGGAATGAATGAAGACGGGACGAGTGAATTGAAGCCCTGCCAGCTCTCTGCCCCGCTCAGGGATTTTGCTAATTTTGACACAACCTTCCTGTTTCAGGGCGTCAAACCCGCCCTTCCTCCTCCACCCCAAGCCCAGTTGAGATAAATGGGGTTTTTCAAGAGCCTTAATAAGAAGGAAATGCAAATTAGGCTGAGAAGAAAGTAGAAACTATAGAGGAAAACCCAGAGGTGGTGTCTCCACAGAGATCTGCATTAGCAATGGGGACCTGTCACGGGCTGGGCATCTGCTGTGAGCAGATCAGGGCTGGGGGCTTCACCCTCACCCCACCAGACCCTCAAAGGAGCCTGGCAACCCCCATCCCACACTCAGTCCCACCCGGGGACCGGCCAGTGCCCTTCAGGCCCCAGCACAAGCCATCTCCAGAGCCCTCGCTTCTCTGTCCCTTGTCCTTCACCAATGACCCTGTCATCCCCATCCTGTGCCTCCCTCCCACACTCTGTCCCTCTGGAAAGTGGCCCTGGGCTCTGCAGCAGGCATGAAGGGCCCCAGCCTGCTCCGACACTTCCCACGTGACCCTGAGCAAGGCCCAAGTTGTGAGCAAGTCTCAGGGTCCTCACTGTCAACTGGGAAAAAACTCTGCAGTGATGAGAATCACATGCACGTAGAAGGTGCAGGAGGCTTGGGAATGTTCTAAGGTTGGGCTGTGGTCATGGCTGCATAACTCTATAAAATTGCTAAAATCCCTGAATTGTGATGCTAAAATGACGTGTGTGGCATGGTGACTTCCTACAGTGGACGCTGAGATCCTGCTCTGCTTCCCTCCTAGAAGATCTGCCCAGACCCTCCATCTCGGCTGAGCCAGGCACCGTGATCCCCCTGGGGAGCCATGTGACTTTCGTGTGCCGGGGCCCGGTTGGGGTTCAAACATTCCGCCTGGAGAGGGAGAGTAGATCCACATACAATGATACTGAAGATGTGTCTCAAGCTAGTCCATCTGAGTCAGAGGCCAGATTCCGCATTGACTCAGTAAGTGAAGGAAATGCCGGGCCTTATCGCTGCATCTATTATAAGCCCCCTAAATGGTCTGAGCAGAGTGACTACCTGGAGCTGCTGGTGAAAGGTGAGGACGTCACCTGGGCCCTGCCCCAGTCTCAGCTCGACCCTCGAGCTTGTCCCCAGGTCCCTGGACCCTGTCCCAGCTGCTGTCCTCTGTGGCCAACCTTGTCCTCCTCCTGACCGCCAAGCCCTCCCCTTCCCCTCTCCGTCTGCACACACCTCCCCTCTGCCTCATACCCGCTTAGGTCCCTGGAGCCCTGATCTCCTCTGGACGCCACGGATGGCGTGGACACTCAGCTCCAGCATCTGGTGGGCTCAGAGCTGGCTCTGCTTGGCTGGGTGGGGAGTGGGTTCCCAGAGATTAGGGGGCAACCCCCCTACAAGAGGATGAGTGTCTTTTCACACGGGATGGATGGTCCCGCTTATTCCTTTCCACTGAGCCAGAACCTGCCCCAGGCAATGTGCTTCTCCTGGAGTGGTTCATCTCCCACTGGGCAGAACGCAGGGTCCAGGGATGGCCCCTGACCAGGGCGGGACAGTGCTTTGGGAAAACCTTTGGTATGTGACCACATGCACCCCTGTGTGTGCTCAGCCCGAGATGTCCTGGAGTCAAAGTCCACTGGAGAGGCTCCAATCCACCTTCATGTCCCCCCAGGACCTCAAAGGTCCCCTGAGGTCAAGAAGAGCTTGTGGTGGGAGGAGCAGAGGGAGTGACCAGCCCCAGGGAGAATGGGGCAAGCAGCGGGGCTCTCCCCAGCCTCCTGTCCCCTGCCTCGTTTTCTCAGGAGTCTCGAGACATTGTCTGGGATTGCGTGATGGTCATGCGGCCTTTGGATGGGGGCTCAGGGTGGAGGAGGGCAGGTTGGTTGGGACGGGTTCTAAATCCTTCTCCTGCCCCTGTTTACAGAAACCTCTGGAGGCCCGGACTCCCCGGACACAGAGCCCGGCTCCTCAGCTGGTCAGTAGCAGGGCCCTCAGCTGGAGGGGATTA
Source organism: Homo sapiens (assembly GCF_000001405.40). Taxonomy (NCBI): domain Eukaryota; kingdom Metazoa; phylum Chordata; class Mammalia; order Primates; family Hominidae; genus Homo; species Homo sapiens. Next base: position 342,709 of record NT_187693.1, on the reverse strand, counting down.
CAGGGGAATCTGTGCTGCGGATGCTGTTCCGGGTCCAGCCCTCTGCCCTGGGCTTGGAGTCAAGGTCTAGGGAGGCCACGGGAAGGCACCGACACCCACCAAGCTCTGGGAGGTCGCTAATGCTCACAGAGACCATAGCAGCAATGGTACAGTGATTGCAACCTTGTTCCATGCCAGGAACTGTGGAAAGCACTTAATGCAAGCACCACTTAATGGGGGAGGTACTAGTCTGATCCTCTAACTCCTCCTCCTCTCTAATATGCAAAACATAAATTAAAGTTTCGTGCTTAACGGCACAAGGCCATGAAGGGGCAGGGGCCACCCACCCGGGCAGCCCCACCCCAGACTTCCGGGCTCGCCCGAGCTCCACGCTGCCCCCTTGTGGGCGTGGCCTCACCATTCACCCCGCTCTGCACCTGATGGAGGGACTTAGAACTCACCTTCCAACCTGGGACACCCGGAGAGGGACGGGGCTGCTCCTGTTGGCTCTGTGATCTCCGGGGGAGGCCTGAACGGTGGAGTAAGGTCCCTTAAGAGGAGGAGGGCTCCACAGGGAGGGGACGTAGCTGTGAACGGTGACCAGGATGAAGCCATGAGGCTTCCCTTCCATCTGGCTCTGCCCTGGACTCTGTGATGGGATTGAAGCTGCCCCAAGTCCCTGGGTCTCAAGTTGTCCATCTCCCCCTGTGATCTGTGACCAGAAACTCCCAGGGGAGGACACGGGGTCATAAGCCATTCGCGGCCCCTTCCCCACCTGGGTTTCTATCCCCAGAGTACGTCCTTGGACCTAGACCCGGTGACTGCCTGTGAGGCTCGGGCTGTGAGCTCAGGCAGGTGGGACCAGGGGCTGAAGCCACATGGGGAGGTGGGAGGAGCGATGCCGTGCTCCATCCGGACCCCCTCAGAGGCTCCTGGGCTGCTGGGGCACAGCGGGACATGCTCCTGAGTCCCGCAGACCTGGTTCAAGTCCAGTGTCTGGTTTTTATTAGCCTTCTGTCTGCGGGAATATCTTGCCTCTGTTTCTCTCCCTCTCTTCTTCTCCTTCCTTCTCTCTTCTCTCACCTTCATGCAGTGACATATAAAGGTCACGAGGACAGACCCTCCTGCAGCCAGATTGCTGGGTTCATGGTTCAAATCCCGGTGGTTCTGCCACCTCCTGGCTCTATGCCTGACGGTGACTCACCCAAACCTCCTGTGTCCCAAATTCCTCATGTGAAACAGAGGCAATAGAAGAGCTGTCCTGGTAGAATCGTTTAGGGCAGACTTGAGTTCAGGTACACACGGCGCTGACATCAGTGCTGATTAGAAAACCCCAAAGGAGGGATGCTCCTATTAATACTGAGGAAGTATTTTGTCCTCACAGGGACTGTGCCAGGCACTGAAGCCTCCGGATTTGATGCACCAAGAATGAGGAGAAATGGCCTCCCGTCTTGTGAACTTCAATGGGGAGAAATAGTTAGAATGAGCAATAGAAATGCACTGATTCCCATACATGCATATACAGATAAAAATATATGATTTGCAATGTAGAATTTCAGACCTATAATTTAAATTATATTATATATGTTTACATCATAATATATATATATTATATATATATTATATATATAAGGAAGATAATTATATAATAAAACATGTTAGTGTATCACTACATATGACTATAGTGTATATTATATATTATATGAAAGATATATTTACAATATATAGTATAATAAATTTCAAGTGTTATAGTTAATAAATAAATATAGGTATTAATGTAAATATATTATCTATTATGTATACATTATGTATAACTATAATAGAAAAAATATTTTATATTTAATCATAGGTTTATATCAAATATAAATTATACATTATATATTATAGTGAATATATGTAACATATATTATAAGTTATAAATCATATACAATTAACATTATATACATTAAATTATATGTATATGTCAAGATTACATAATTAAAAATATATTTGTTATATATTATACATTTGCATAATACATGATACATATAACTATAAATAATATAAAAACTGTAATATTGCACATATATAATACATATGTAATTTTAAATGGTGGCAAATGTTATGAAGACCAAGCCCAGGAAGTCATGGTGTAGAATAACGGGTGGTGTCCTGGACCTTAGACCGTGGACGAGGCAGGAGGGAAGGACATTCCAAGAGAGAATGTCTGCCTTTCTTGAAGGATATTGAAGATGCTGCCTCAGCCCCGGGGGAGGGGAGGGACCGCTGTTCCTGGAAGAGGGACGCTTGGCTCGGACCCTGGGTTTGGGGGAGCCCCTCAGGACCCCATTTAGCCACCTGGGAATTGGGTAGTGGCGTGCACTGTGCAGAGGAGGGTGAAGGTTGGAGGAGATGACGGGCGGGCCTGCAATGCGCTGCGTAGGGAGCCTGGGCGGTGCCCCACACACTCGCCCGCTAGCTGCAGGGCTTCAGGAAAGAGGAGCACATCGGGACTTGGATTCTTCCCACAGGAGGGCGGGTTACATCCCCGTCAGAGGGTTGCCGCGAGGGCAGATAAAATCAGACATGAGGATTCTTGCCCTCTGGTGGGAACCCAGAAGGAGGTCAGGGAGGGAAGGTCTCCCTTCCTCTTGTTGCGGGTGGTTGGTCTCTGCCTAGATCCGCAGAGGGCAGAAATTAGCGATGTCTACTACAGCTTCACGCCCAGGAAACGCGCTGTATCTGCACCGTCCAGTAGGGATGGCATCAGGCCCGTGGGGTCACTGAGTCCTGGAGGTGCAGACGGTGCAGCCAGCTTCTCATGCCATTCAACTTTGGATAAATTTAAATATCAATAGCTATGTGTGACTCTCATGCTGGACAGTAGATGTAGAAAGTTTCCATCATCACAGAAGACTCTGCTGGTCGGTGCTGGTCTAGAGGGAGCAGTCAGGGTCCTGGGGAGTGAAGGGAGATCCCCACAGTGGATGTGGGAGGACTCAGAGCCTTCTCTGTCCAGCTCAGGACTCTAACTCCTCCTCCTTCTGATTCCTCCCTCCCAGGACCCACGCAGAGGCCGTCGGACAACAGTCACAATGAGCGTGAGTGATGGGGGCCGTGGAGCATGAAGCTGGTGTGTGCCTCTTGGGGAAGGAGAAAGAGGTCAGGCTTTGGGGTTGATCAGATTCCTGCTCTGCCAATGGCAGTCTGTGTCCCTGTGCAGAGGACTCCAGCACTCAGGACCCCGGTGGTGGAAGAAGGGGATAACGATCCCTGTACTGCAGGACTATTATTTACCTAAGATATTTTATATATTAGTAAGTCTATGAAACGCACGTGACGTGTGTGTGGTATACAGTAGGTGCTCAATAAATGCACACTGCTGAAATCCTGTTTCTGTCTTTCTTAGATGCACCTGCTTCCCAAGGCCTGAAAGCTGAGCATCTGTATATTCTCATCGGGGTCTCAGTGGTCTTCCTCTTCTGTCTCCTCCTCCTGGTCCTCTTCTGCCTCCATCGCCAGAATCAGATAAAGCAGGGTAGGTCTCAGGGGCAGGGTGGGGTGACCTGGGAAGCTGTCAGGAGAGGCTAGGAAGAAGGTCTCCTTAATTCACACCCCGACTGTCCTTAGGGCCCCCCAGAAGCAAGGACGAGGAGCAGAAGCCACAGCAGAGGTGAGGCCCCTGGGAATGACTCCTGGACCTCCACCCAGTCCTCGGCCGCCAGGCTGCCCCTGAGGTTCACTTTTATTTTTCCTCTTAGGCCTGACCTGGCTGTTGATGTTCTAGAGAGGACAGCAGGTAAAGGGGGAGGAGGAGGGACAGGCCTGGGATGGGGAAGTGGGGACTTGGTGCCAATCCAGATGCAATGTGGGGGGTGGGGGGAAGAATCTTTGGGAACATTCTAGAAGGTCGTATTATACATTGGGTGCAGGATGTCATCGGAAGCTGGGGGTGGGGGTCTCAGGCAGATTTGCCTTGCGACATCCTCCCCAGAAAACTGACCATGTATTTTCTCCCCAAGACAAGGCCACAGTCAATGGACTTCCTGAGAAGGACAGAGAGACGGACACCTCGGTGAGCCTTCCTACTAGTTATTAAAGTACCCCAAATTTAGCAGCTTAAAAAAATCTCAGTTCCTTGGGTTAGGAATTCAGGAGTGGCTCAGCTGGGCGGTTCCGGCTCACGGCCTGTCCTGAGGTTGCTGTCGAGAGGTCGCCCAGGGCTGTGTGCATCCGAAGGCTCCCGTGGGCTGGAGGATCCACGTCCAAGACGCTCACTTCCCCGGCTGTGGGCAGGAAACCTCTGTTCCTCTCACAGGGGCCTCTCCACACAGCCGGCTTCCCCCAGAGGGAGGGATCCAAGGATGGGTGGCAGGGAGGGGACAGAAGCACCATGTCTTTTGGCTCAGCTTGGAAGTCAGGAGTCTTCCCTTCTGCCTTGTTCATTGTCACGTAAACCAACCCCAATACCCTGTGGGAGGGCTCTTCACACGGATGCAATTTAGGAGAGGGTCCTCAGGGCCCATGGAGATGGCCGCCACAGCCCTCCCTCCCCACAGCCCCTCGCCTCACCCTCCACCAGGCACTCCCTCACCCTGGGTCTCTCCCTCTTAGGCCCTGGCTGCAGGGAGTTCCCAGGAGGTGACGTATGCTCAGCTGGACCACTGGGCCCTCACACAGAGGACAGCCCGGGCTGTGTCCCCACAGTCCACAAAGCCCATGGCCGAGTCCATCACGTATGCAGCCGTTGCCAGACACTGACCCCATACCCACCTGGCCTCTGCACCTGAGGGTAGAAAGTCACTCTAGGAAAAGCCTGAAGCAGCCATTTGGAAGGCTTCCTGTTGGATTCCTCTTCATCTAGAAAGCCAGCCAGGCAGCTGTCCTGGAGACAAGAGCTGGAGACTGGAGGTTTCTAACCAGCATCCAGAAGGTTCGTTAGCCAGGTGGTCCCTTCTACAATCGAGCAGCTCCTTGGACAGACTGTTTCTCAGTTATTTCCAGAGACCCAGCTACAGTTCCCTGGCTGTTTCTAGAGACCCAGCTTTATTCACCTGACTGTTTCCAGAGACCCAGCTAAAGTCACCTGCCTGTTCTAAAGGCCCAGCTACAGCCAATCAGCCGATTTCCTGAGCAGTGATGCCACCTCCAAGCTTGTCCTAGGTGTCTGCTGTGAACCTCCAGTGACCCCAGAGACTTTGCTGTAATTATCTGCCCTGCTGACCCTAAAGACCTTCCTAGAAGTCAAGAGCTAGCCTTGAGACTGTGCTATACACACACAGCTGAGAGCCAAGCCCAGTTCTCTGGGTTGTGCTTTACTCCACGCATCAATAAATAATTTTGAAGGCCTCACATCTGGCAGCCCCAGGCCTGGTCCTGGGTGCATAGGTCTCTCGGACCCACTCTCTGCCTTCACAGTTGTTCAAAGCTGAGTGAGGGAAACAGGACCTACGAAAACGTGTCAGCGTTTTCTTTTTAAAATTTAATTGATCAGGATTGTACGTATTCAAGGTGTAAAATGTGATAATTTGTCGTACACGTACATTGTGCAATGACAGTCACAATCAATTCCTCAGCGCACCCATCACCACGAATACGATACATTAGATATTCTGAACTTGCTCATCTTAGGACTTCACATTGGTGTCAGTGTTTTCTGACAAATCACGTGTATCAGGAATGAATGAGGGAGGTGTGGCTGGGTGAAGGCAGAGAGCCGACCCTACAGGTCCACATCTGCACATACATGCACAGGAATGCATGCTCTCACACACATGCATACACACACGCACACACACAGACATGCACATACACTCACACGCCCCAGGAAATCCAAGGAATCACTGAGCCTGCTGTTGGTTGAGGCATTTCTGAGTATCCACCCTACCTGTAGGGTCAGATGTACTGATTGACACAGAAAATTACCCTATGTACCACTAGGAGGCGGCAGAATCTCATTTGGGTTAATCTGTGTTTGTCTTTAAAAAACAAAAACAGGCCGGGCGCGGTGGCTCACGCCTGTAATCCCAGCACTTTGGGAGGCTGAGGTGGGCGGATCACGAGGTCAGGAGATCGAGACCATCCTGGCTAACACGGTGAAACCCCATCTCTACTAAAAATACAAAAAAATTAGCTGGGCGTGGTGGCGGGCACCTGTAGTCCCAGCTACTCGGGAGGCTGAGGCAGGAGAATGGCGTGAACCCGGGAGGCGGAGCTTGCAGTGAGCCGAGGTGGTGCCACTGCACTCCAGCCTGGGCGACAGAGCGAGACTCCGTCAAAAAAAAAAAGAAAAGAAAAGAAAGATTTTTAAGAATTCAGCAAAAACTCAGCCAGCTCTTTCTATGGGGCAGTTGCTAATTTAGTTCTAGGCAAACGTGGACACATTAAATTCTCCTACAAACCCTCCACAGCGTGCTCTATTATTTTCCTCATTTATAAAAACAGAAACTATGGACCGAGACATGAAGTAACCTGTCCAAGGTCGGCCAAGTCTCAGAGACAGGGGCTTCAGACCCACCTGAGGCTCCTGACTCCACATTATGAACCCCGGGATGGGCTGCAGCTCGGTCTGCTGGGAGGTTTCTGTGCTGGTTCAAAGAGGGTGGTACCTGACTGGCCTACCCAATTTTAATTTGTACTGAGCTTTAATTTTCTATTTGTGCTCAGGTTTAATTTCCTCCTGGGATCTGCTTCCCAGTGCTGTACTCTGTATCTTTGCTTTCTTGTGTGAACATTGTGACCGATTTTCCCTGTTCTTCACGTGGGACACATTCTCCCTGCTCTGTCTGTCTCTGTCCCTGTCTCTCTTTCTGTCTTTCTCTCTCACTGTGTGTCTCTCTGTCTCTCTCTCTCTTTTTTTTTTCTTTGAGATGGAGTTTCGCTCTTGTTGCCCAGGCTGGAGTGCAATGGCGCAATCTTGGCTCACTGCAACCTCTGCCTCCCGGGTTCAAGCGATTCTCCTGCCTCAGCCTCCTGAGCAGCTGGGATTACAGGCATGCACCACCACACACGGCTAATTTTTTGTATTTTTGTTAGAGACGGGGGGCTCTCCATGTTGCTTAGGCTGGTTTTGAACTCCCGACCTCAGGTGATCTGCCCACCTCAGCCTCCCAAAGTCCTGGGATTACAGGCGTGAGCCACTGCGTCCAGCCGTCTTTGTCTCTTTTTCTACATCTCTGTCTTTCTTCTCTGGTTGTTTTTCAACCATCAGCCGGGTGTTTTCCCCCATAACGTCTTGTTTGTTTGACTATGAGGTTGACAGGTGGGTACATGAACTCTATAGCAGAAGGTGGACAGTCTGCACATAGCAGAGGATGGGTGAATTTTTCTACCCCTTGCAGAGCACAGGAGAGCTGAGCAGATGCCAGTGTCTGCTCCAGTGTAAGGAAGTCCAGGAAGTTCAGGTGGTGAGGTCACAGTGGAAAGCAGGACAGATAGAGTTTAGGGGAAATTAAGCAAAAATACCACACTGTTGTTTCTTGACATATTAGTGGAAAGAGGAAGGGCCCAGAGAGAAGACAGAAAATTAGATGCAGGGGCTTGTTTTTTCTCTTGACTTGCCAACCCGCCCAACGCAGGGGCCAGAACTCAGGGTGGTGAGATCTGGGAACATTGCTGTGCGGAGAAGATGTCCCTCCTGCTGCACGGGCCCCCAAGCACCACCTGGGGGAAGAGCCATGTTTAATTCACCTGGCAGTGCAGTGTGGCCAGGCAGAGAGGGAGGGCCTACCCTGTGCTTATGATCCCACCCCAGTTCCCCTGGGGTGTGCCCTGGCGGTGAACACCAGGAGGCTGCAGTGGGGCCCAACGTGAAAGGGAGGAGCAGCCTCACCGGGGCCAGATGGGGCAGCAGCAGATATTCACAGATGTCCCTGTGAGTAACCAGGGCAGAGGCCAGGGGTCTGGCCTTCCCTTTCTTGGAGCCCTGGGCCAGCTGGGCAAGGCGTTGAGAGAAAGATTACCCGGTGACCTTTATCAAAGCAGAGTAAGGAGGGCTTTATTCAGAACCATCACTGTAGGTACCAGGACCCCAGCGGTGGGATTTTGTAGTAGGGGAAAGAAAATGGGCTCGACGTTGAATACAGCATGAACAAGTGAGAATGTTTGTTATACAAACTATAGGGTGGACTTTTTTTTTCTTTTTTTTAACTTTTTTTTTACCTTTTAGTGTAAAACTGAACATAGAAAATAAATTCATGAAGAAGGGATATTTTCTGAGGGTGTCCAGGGCTGCCCAACACCTCTTGTCTACCTTCTCTGTCATAGCCCCATTTAAAACACTCTCTCTGGATGAATACACCAAACCTCACAGTCTTTGCTCTCTTGCTAGGAAGAGGAGCAAGAGCGTGTTTCACTCTTGGCTCCTGCTTACACACCTGCCGTCCAATGGAAACTACTACTTAAGACATTTAAAAATAGTTGTGGTGATAGCATGTTGTGTTTTGGTTGGTGATGCCAGTTAGTCTCTGAAAACTTTCTGTGATGAGTGTAAAATTCTACACCTTAATCTCCTTTCTTGTAGGATCTGGGAAGCAGTATGCACTTGATTGCACCAAAGATTTTACGTTCATAGAAAATTTCTGGCATCTGTGTGAAGAAAGTAAACTATATCTTCCATTTAAACAAATAAAATATCTTTTTGATAAAAGGTGACTATATGTTTAAGTCTTAGGGAGAAGAAAGAATCAAGGAATATAAATGTGTTGATGTCTAAATGCAATTCTGACACTTAACCAGATTTAAAAGTGCTTTGAGAGTCCCCAGAGCTCTGCACCTGCTCTACATCTACTGGGATTTAGAGCTAAAGCTTCCTGAAACCGTTGTTCTGCTTGGTCCTTCAGCAGTGACAACCTGTTCTGTTCCAATTGCTAAGATCTGAGTTGTGAGAGCTGCGGGATGGGAATTTTCCTGTTGCCGTTCCAAGAAGTAAAATGTGCCTCATTTAGTCCTAAATTGTACCTCCATAAAAATCACTTTGGGCCGGGCGCAGTGGCTCACGCCTGTAATCCCAGCACTTTGGCAGGCTGAGGCGGGCGGATCACGAGGTCAGGAGATCGAGACCATCCTGGCTAACACGGTGAAACCCCGTCTATACTAAGAATACAAAAAAATTAGCCGGGCGTGGTGGCAGGTGCCTGTAGTCCCAGCTACTCGGGAGGCTGAGGCAGGAGAATGGCGTGAACCCAGGAAGCGGAGCTTGCAGTGAGCTGAGATCGAGCCACTGCACTCCAGCCTGGGTGTGACAGAGCGAGACTCTGTCTCTAAAAAATAAATAAATAAATAAATAATAAATCACTTTGATAAAGAAAGGACAAGGTCTTTATTTTTTCATGAATTATTGCCGTTATTTAAGGGCATACAGAGCCATCATCACAGCTGGTCTAGGATTCACAGATATTTTCTTGTTGCCTTTATTTACCATCCAGCTCAATTTATTTAGTACACTATATATATTCATTTCTGAAATTGCTTTCTGCTTTTACAGACCCCTCCTCCTTCTCCTATTTGGATTTATTGATTGATCTCCAGAACAAAGTTGCTAAATTTATTACATTTGTTGTGATAAAACATTTTCTTCGCAACAAAAGAAAAAGATTTGTGCACATATACTACGTGAAATGCGTGTTATTTTCTCATTCTTCCACCTTCTCCCCATCCTCTATAACACTGGGGCCAAACTGCTATTGATTATTGTACATTCTTTCGGAAATGTCTTTGATTTTTCTAAAGCATCTTTTTCTTTTAACTAATCTGTACTTTACCAAGATTCTAATTTCCCAAATTTTCATACCAGTTAAATCACATCATAACTTAATAAGTTGTTCATTATTAAAGAAATACAATGTTTTTCAACAATAAAGACAGTCCTATTTTTGATGCATCCTAATTTGAATTCTTTAAAAACCATTTACATTTCAGATCATTATAAAATTTTCGTTAAATTAAACATGACTAAGAAAGCCGGCCAGGCGCGGTGGCTCACGCCTGTAATCCCAGCACTTTGGGAGACTGAGGCGGGCGGATCACGAGGTCAGGAGTTTGAGACCAGCCTGGCCAACATGGTGAAACCCCATCTCTATTTAAAAGACAAAAATTAGCTGGGCGTGGTGTCCTCCCTCCATGCATCCTCAGGATCTGTGTCCTCCCTCCATCCATCCTCAGGATCTGCGTCCTCCCTCCATCCATCCTCAGGATCTGCGTCCTCCCTCCATCCGTCCACCCTCAGGATCTGCGTCCTCCATCCATTCACCCTCAGGATCTGCGTCCTCCCTCCATCCATCCTCAGGATCTGCGTCCTCCCTCCATCCATCCTCAGGATCTGCGTCCTCCCTCCATCCATCCTCAGGATCTGTGTCCTCCCTCCATCCATCCTCAGGATCTGTGTCCTCCCTCCATCCATCCACCCTCAGGATCTGTGTCCTCCATCCATTCACCCTCAGGATCTGTGTCCTCCATCCATTCACCCTCAGGATCTGCGTCCTCCCTCCATCCATCCTCAGGATCTGCGTCCTCCCTCCATCCATCCTCAGGATCTGCGTCCTCCCTCCATCCATCCTCAGGATCTGCGTCCTCCCTCCATCCATCCTCAGGATCTGTGTCCTCCCTCCATCCATCCTCAGGATCTGTGTCCTCCCTCCATCCATCCACCCTCAGGATCTGTGTCCTCCATCCATTCACCCTCAGGATCTGTGTCCTCCATCCATCCATCCTCAGGATCTGTGTCCTCTCTCCATCCACCCTCAGCGCCCTCTTTCAGAAGATCTGCCCAGAGCATTCTGGTCTTCTTGATGGCTTGGTCTCTCGGTGGGAGAAGCTCTTCCTGGCTATGTGTGGTCAGCCATTGTGGTCCTTTTCTGGTCTTTGAATGTTTCTATAACAGCACTTATAATCATTTGCAGTAACATACAGTTGAGCTTTGAACTCCACAGGTTTGAACTGTGCAGGTCCACTTGTATACAGATTTTCTTTCAATCACAGTTACACGAGTGTGCCTGCCTTTCCTGCTTCCCCTCCCACCTGTTTTACCGCATTTTCTTTTTCTTTAGGTTTTATCTTTAAGTTTATGAGTTATATTTAAAAATATTTTTGCATCATATCTATTCAAGAAAATACACTTATATTTCTAAACCAAAACAAGAAACAAGACACAATTATATCCGTCTAATTTTATTTAATCTCTTCTGCATGGTTTCTCTCTCTCACACAAGTATCCACTTTTAAAGGTTTAGGTCAGGCATGGTGGCTCACGCCTGTAATCCCAGCACTTTGGGAGGCCAAGGCGAGCAGATCACCTGAAGTCAGGAGTCCAAGACCAGCCTGGCCAACATGGTGAAACCGTCTCTACTAAAAATTAAAAAAAAAAAAAATTGGCCAGTGTGGTGGTTGTCAGGCCTCTGAGCTGAAGCTCAGCTATTGTAATCCCTGTGACCTGCACATATACACCCAGATGGCCTGAAGGAGCCAAGAAGTCTGGGGCAGCCGAAAAACCACAAAAGAAGTAAAACAGCCAGTTCCTGCCTTAACTGATTAACCAACATTACGACGTTCCACCACTGTGACTTGTCCCTGCCCCACCTTAACCGATCAATCAACTTTGTGACATTCTTCTTCTGGATAATAAGTCTTATGATGTCCCCACCAGGTACCTTGTGACCTCCTCCTCTGCCAACAATAGATGACCACCTTTTACCGTAATTTTCCTCACCTACCCAACTCCTATAAAGCAACCCCTTCCCCATCTCCCTTCGCTGACTCCTTTCTCAGACTCAGTCCACCTGCACCCAGGTGAATTAAAAGCTTTATTGCTCATACAAAGCCTGTTTGCTGGTCTCTTCACATGGACACGCTTGGCAGTGGTGCATGCCTGTAATCCCAGCTACCCAGGAGGCTGAGGCAGGAGAATCGCTTGAACCCAGGAAGTCAAGGTTGCAGTGAGCAGAGATCGTGCCATTGCACTCCAGCCTGGGTGACAGCATGAGACGCTGTCAGGAAAAAAAAAAACAAAAAACAAAACAAAAAAACTTGACGGGAGGGTTAATTACCATCTTCCTACAACGAGGAAAATGGATGGGGCAGGGGAGGATGTCACCTGCTGAAGGTCAACTGACAGTAAGTATGAACCCTCATGCCTTAAACCAAAGCTTGGGAATTTCTTCCAGTGAATGCTTTGGCCCAAAGCATGGAGACAGAATTCACGGTATCAAATGAAGAGTTATGGACAGGGGAAGAAGAGGTTGTAAATGACTTGGAGATTTGATGGAGTTCCCACTTATAAGTGAGAACATGTGGTATTTGGTTTTCTGTTCCTGTGTTTGTTTACTAAGGATAATGACCTCCAGCTCCATTCACATCTCTGCAACAGACATGATCGCGTTCTGGTGCTGCTACTTATAGAATTAAGAAAGTCGGAGGGAAGAAGTGCTTGGGAGAAACAAAACTAGACAGCAGGGCCAGGAGGGAGATAGTGCTTCCTCTGCACTCCGTGAACAGCCTTATAAATATCTCCCTAGCCTGGTTCTTCCCCGGGATCATTCATCCTGGGATGACACCATTCGTTCCTCCAGTAAACTAAGGCAGAGAGTGAAACAGACCCTAGTTGCTCACTCACTTTTGTTTCACATACAGTGAACAAATCCAAGCAGTTGTACCCTTGAGCCCTCCTCACCCACGTCCCCGGGTCCATTCCCACAGTGCAAGCTCACTGGAGACTGAAGACAGCCTGTCTGTGCCACCACATCAGCCTCCTCCTGGTCCTCTTCTCCAAACCCTCACTCCAGGCTGACATCTATTATTCTCATAGCCCCAACCTTATCTGTAGCTGACTCTTCCCTGATCAAAATCCTTCTCCGGGTCTGAATCTTCCTCCAAGTAAGACACAAGTATCTCTGCCTGATGTTCATGTTGTTGATGACCAGGACTAAGTTAACATCCCCAGCGCCAAAAAACATGGCTCCTTCCTACAGAGCAAATTCATTACAGGAAACCACTTCCGCCTTTTTCCCACCCACCACACCCCAGACAGACACCTGGAGATATTAACATATTTCTGCCTTCTCATAGTCAGCTCCCCGAGAAAATTTTTATTTTTTTATGTTTTAATTTTTTAATTATTTATTTATTTATTTGAGACGGAGTCTTGCTCTGTCTACCAGGCTGGAGTGCAGTGGCGCGATCTCGGCTCACTGCAGCCTCCACCTCCAGGGTTCAAGAGATCTGCCATCTCAGCCTCTAGAGTAGCTGGGATTACAGCCCTGCACCATCACGCCCGGCTAATTTTTTTTTATTTTTGGTAGAGACAGGGTTTTCCCATGTTGACCAGGCTGGTCTTGAACTCCTGACCTCAGAGGATGTGCCTGCCTCGGCCTCCCAAAGTGCTGGGATTCCAGGCGTGAGACACCGCACCCGGCCTATTCTTGTTTTCAAAATCTCGCTCATTTCTGAACTTCTGTGCCAGTGACTTCCTAGGCGAGGAAATGCCCGATGTACCTTTTCTTGGACTCCAGTCCACTCCAGACATTTTGTCTCCACCAGTAACTGTGGCCATTGTGTGGAGGAAGGAACAAAAGCAAGAAAGCGATTTTCTGAGCAGGTTTCTATGAGCACCAGGTTCTCACCCTGGTAGGGGCAACTACAGGACCCGAAAGTTAATCTCCCCTGGGTATGACACCCACTGTGCTACTTTCCTCCCCAAGGAAATATAGCTCCCCAGCTGAACCACCACGTGGGTGTGGGGATGTGAAAAAGGGAAATGAAAGAGAAGGCATATTTATGATTTCAACCACACTGGGAACTCATGGAAGCTGCTGTAGACAACTCAAGCATGAGAGGCCAGGCTAAATTTGGAGAAAAAAGAGATACACAACTCCCATTTTTAGAATCCAAGAGGCCTGGAGTTTGTATTATTATTATTTTATTTTTAGCAGCAACACTTATATGGAAAGTACTTGGACACCTTGAGGTCTGCGTGAAAGTTGACTCCAATTGTGATGAGTACGGAAGCTCCTATCTCAGGATTCTCATTTTAGGGAAAATCACTGCTGGTCTGGATTTGTTTTTGTGTGTTTTTTTGGGTTTTTTTTTGTTTGTTTGTTTGTTTTTGAGACGGGGTCTTGCTCTGTCGCCCAGGCTGGAGTGCAGTGGCGCGATCTCGGCTCACTGCAAGCTCTGCCTCCTGGGTTCATGCCATTCTCCTACCTCAGCCTCCCGAGTAGCTGGGACTACAGGCACCAGCCACCACGCCCGGCTAATTTTTTGTATTTTTAGTAGAGACGGGGTTTCCCTGTGTTAGCCAGGATGGTCTCGATCCCCTGACCTTGTGATCCACCCGCCTCGGCCTCCCAAGTTGCTGGGATTACAGGCACGAGACACCGCGCCCAGCCTCTGGTCTGAATTTAACTCCGGACAGCTCTTTCTTTCTTTTTTTTTTTCTTTCTTTCTTTTTTTTTTTTTTGAGACAGAGTCTCGCTCTGTCACCCAGGTTGGAATGCAGTGGCGCGATCTCGGCTCACTGCAAACTCCGCTTCCTGAGCTCAAGCAATTATCTCCCTCAGCCTCCCCAGAAGCTGGGATTACAGGTGCCCGCCACCACGCCTGGCTACTTTTCATATTTTTAGGAGAGACGGGGTTTCACCTTCTTGGCCAGGCTGGTCTTGAACTCCTGACCTCATGATCCACCTGCCTCGGCCTCCCCAAGTGCTGGGATTACAGGCGTGAGCCACCGCACCCGACCACGGACAGCTCTTTCTAACCAGAATCATCACCTGGACTTCTGAGGCTTGAAGAAAAGATGAATCCTCTTCTCACTCACTTGATTAAAAAAAAAAGTTGGGGTCAGGTACGGTGGCTCACGCCTGTAATCACAGCACTTTGGGAGGCCGAGGCGGGCGGATCACGAGGTCAGGAGATCGAGACCATCCTGGCTAACACGGTGAAACCCCGTCTCTACTAAAAATACAAAAATTTAGCCGGGCGTGGTGGTGGGCGCCTGTAGTCCCAGCTACTCGGGAGGCTGAGGCAGGAGAATCGCTTGAACCAGGGAGGCGGAGTTCGCAGTGAGCCGACATCGCGCCGTGGCACTCCAGCCTGGGCGACAGAGCAAGAGTCCATCTTGAAAAAAAAAAAAAAGATGAGTCCATTCGCAGATCTTTCACTTTGAAAATCGAATCTAGAGGTTCTTCAAGTTCTGATGACTCTAATCACACACATATCTCAAAACCCTCATGACCTCCACTTCCTGCATCAACCTGATCCAAGCACCTGTCATTTCTCACCAGATCAATTCGCCCACCAGTGATCTCCATCTGTTGCTTCCTCACGTTCTCCTGAAATTCATTTCCCCCAGTAAAGCCGATTTATCCTCTTCATGTTCATTCATGCAATATAAAAACACAGATACAGCCGGGCGGGGTGGCTCACCCCTGTAATCCCAGCACTTTGGGAGGCCGAGGTGGGCAGATCACCTGAGGTCAGGAGTTCAAGACCAGCCTGGATAACATGGTGAAACCCCATCTCTACTGAAAACAAACAAACAAACAAAAAAATACAGGCCGGGTGCGGGCTCACTCATGCCTGTAATCCCAGCACTTTGGGAAGCCAAAGAGGGTGGATCACCTGAGGTCAGGAGTTTGAGACCAGCCTGGCCAACATAGTGAAACCCCGTCTCTACTAAAAATACAAAAAATTAGCTGGGCGTGGTGGCGGGCACCTGTAATCCCAGCTACTCGGGAGGTGAGGCAGGAGAAGCACTTGAACCTGGGAGGCAGAGGTTGCAGTGAGCCAAGATCGCGCTACACCACTGCACTCCAGCCTGGGCAATAAGAGTCAGACTTCATCTAAAAAAACAAACAAACAACAACAACAACAAAAACAAAACAAAACAAAAAACTCACACACAAATATATTTACCAGTGGGCACACAGGTGATCCTTGTTCCCTCAAAAAAAAGAAACACACACACAAACATATATTTACCAACGGGCATAGAGGTGATCCTTGCTCCCATCTTCTCAATTTC
Organism: Homo sapiens; assembly: GCF_000001405.40. NCBI lineage: Eukaryota > Metazoa > Chordata > Mammalia > Primates > Hominidae > Homo > Homo sapiens. Next base: position 326,739 of record NT_187693.1, on the reverse strand, counting down.
CATCTCCAGAGGCAATCAAGTACCTCTTTATTCTGTTTCCTCTCAGAGACACCCCGTGTATGTACATTTCTCCACACGCCGTGCTCTGAGACTCATGGCTGTATTGCAGATAAGTGTTTTTATTTCTCACTTTATTTCTGTATTGATTTTCAGTTAACAATTGATTGCACATGTCGATGTTCATACGTCTGTTTGCACATCTGGAAATACAGCTCTGTACCACTTTTTCCGTTTCCTCATTCTCATATACATTTTAGACACACTAGGAACATTTCTGCATTTTCTGGTATCAAAATACCGCAATCATCTGCTCCTATGTTGGGCAATATTACCTTTCTGGATCCTCCTCTTGCTCATTGTTCAGTCTTTACCTAACCTGTCACATCCTCAAAAACATTTTTTTTAATGACAAACTGGGTTAAGTGATCTTTGCCCCTAGTACTCACTGCTTTTGTTTGTTTGTTTTTGTTTTGTTTTTTAACAGAGTCTCCCTCTGTCACCCAGCATGGAGTGCAGTGGCAAGATCTCGGCTCACTGCAATCTCTCCCTCCTGGATTCAAGCGATTCTCCTGCCTCAGCTTCCTGAGTAGCTGGGATTACAGGTGCCCACCACCAGACCCAACTAATTTTTGTGTTTTTAGTAGAGATGGGGTTTCGCCATGTTGGCCAGGCTGGCACTGTTTTTTTTTTTTTTTTTTATAAGGGCAACACACATTCAAGACCTCTAGGTGGCTTAAATTTTGTGCATTTATGCCTCTGTGTGTTGTTTTTAAATAATAGTTCATCTCTTTTGTATTTTTGCTTAATTCATCTGACTTTCTCCATTTCTATTACAAATTGAATGAACAATGGGAGGTTTTGTTCACTATAGTGTTTCTTATTCCTGAAAAAGTTACTTGGAATCTATGACTATTCTCTCATTAATTGTAAAACAAAACAGATAAATGGACAGAAGAATAGTGAGATTATTACTTGGGTTATTAGTAGTACTATTAAGTTGAACCAGAGAATGCAGAGAGCTGAGTGAGGTACAAAAAAAGAAAAGGGGGCCGGGCTCAGGCCTGTAATCCCAGCACTTTGGGGGGCCGAGGCAAGCGGATAATGGGGTCAGGAGATCGAGACCATCCTGGCTAACATGAAGTCCCATCTGTACTAAAAATACAGAAAATTAGTCAGGTATGGTGGCACATGCCTGTAGTCCCAGCTACTCAGGAGGCTGAGGCAGCAGAATCGCTTGAACCCGGGAGGCGGAGGTTGCAGTGAGCTGAGATCGCACCACTGCACTCCAGCCTGGGCGACAGAGCAAGACTCCCTGACCAAAAAAAAAATAAGGCCAGGCACAGTGGCTCACACCTGTAATCCCAGCACTTTGGGAGGCAGAGGCGGGTAGATCACAAGGTCAGGAGATCAAGACCATCCTGGCTAACACGGTGAAACCCCGTCTCTACTAAAAATACAAAAAATTAGCCAGGCATGGTGGCGGGCGCCTGTAGTCCCAGCTACTCAGGAGGCTGAGGCAGGAGAATGGCGTGACCCCGGGATGCGGAGCTTGCAGTGAGCTGAGATTGCACCACTGCACTCCAGCCTGGGCAACAGAGCGAGACTCCATCTCAGAAAAAAAAAGAAAGAAAGAAAGAAAAGAAAAGGCAGTCACAGCCTTTGGCTGCTTCATATTCCTGGCCCTGGGACACCAGGAGCCCCACATGCAGATCTATGGATTCCATACTGACAGCTGACGCATTACTAGAGGTCAAAGCGTGAGGCTTAGGTTTAACTAATTTTGGGACTAATCTGAGACCAGGGAATAGCAGAGTTAAGCATTCCAGAGGTTGGAGATTTTTGTCCTCTGTCCCTGAGTTGTTGTAAAACCAAACCCGCAATATCTCTGCAGCTGAGAAGTTGTCTGTGACTTCAACAAGGCCCAGGAACCTGAACATATTTGAGGAAGGGACCATAGGGTTCTAAGCCCAAGCTGGGAGTTGGGGTCAGCAAGGATCTCATACAATTCTCCCATGAGAAGGGAGGAGAGTTGTGAAGGAGCCAGGGCATAGTGGGTTACAGGCCCTGGAGGGGGATACAATGGTGGGTTACACACCCTGAGGGGGATAAAATGGTGGGTTACACACCCTGGTTGGGGGATACAGTGGTGGGTTACATGCCCTGGAGGTGGGGAGGATACAATGGTGGGTTACGTGCCCTGGTCGGGGGATACAATGGTGGGTTATACGCCCTGGTCGGGGGATACAATGGTGGTCTGGCTACTCATGCCCCACCTCATTCTTATTCATAGGTGTCTGATATGGTTCGGTTCTGTGTCTCCACCCAAATCCCACCTTGGATTATAATAATCCCCACATGTCAAGGGCAGGACCAGGTGGAGATTATTGAATCATGGGGGCGGTTTCCCCTGTACTGTTCTCGTGATAATGAGTGAGTTCTCATGAGATCTAATGGTTTTATAAGGGGCTTCCCCCTTCGCTCCACTCTCATTCTCTCTCCTGCCGCCCAATAAGAGGTGCCTTCCACCATGATTGTAAGTTTCATGAGGCCTCCCCAGACATATGGAACTGTGAGTCAATTAAACGTCTTTTCTTATAAATTACCCAGTCTTGGGTAGTTCTTCATAGCAGAGTGAGAACAGACGCATACAGAGTCCCTGATCCTCTCAACCAACCTCCACCAAGTATAGACCCATAGTGAGGAATAACTGGGACTCCCCTTTCCAGAGTGTAGATGTGTAAACACCCATCCAGGGCTTCCGAGGTGAGTGTGGCCAGTCTAGCCCTCAGCAAATGCTCCATTCTGTCTACTGACCACGCCCCTCCAGCCTCTGCCATGGAGAATCTCATCCCAATGACCATGCTGTGTTGATCCCGGTGGCCTCTGGGGGATGCTCGTTCAGGCTCAGCACAGCCAGAGAAGGCCCCAGACGGCTTCCCTCATGAAAACTCAAGTTGAGTGTGGATTTACTGCTTACAGTTTGCAGAACCTTGGAGAATCTGCAGAAAAAAACTGAGATAGGGCGGGAAGAATCTGGAGGAGCGGAGGCATGTTCCGGGTGAACAAGGTGCTGCTGCATTCAAGAGGACTATTATTTTTTTCAGGTACAGGTGTGCAAGAAGGAGTTAATCTCACAGCTGCAAGGGTGATAACGTTGGGAGAGTTTGCTTGTAAAGTTGGTCCTTAGCTGGCATCTAGTTCCTAAACATGGCTCCTGGAATGTTCCCTATGTTCCTAAGAGATAAGCTGGTGTTGTGTGACTGCAGCACTGAATTCTACTGTGTCTTGACTAGGCCATTTCCGCAAACAATGTAGCTCACTGTTGATGAGTTTGTAAAAAAAAAAAAAATGCTGATGAACAGCAGCTTTTCCCTGGTTTCCCTGTGACTGACCATTATGCCTATATGGCCCCCACCTAATAACAACCTTGAACATTGAGTCTTAAGCAGGTTTGCCTGGAACCAACACTTCACATGCATTGCTACATTTTTTATGCTGATGGAATGATTAAGACAAGACATAGATTTTCACAGCTTATGACCAGCATTCTTGATCTTAAATATATTTTGGTAAAGTTTTTTTTTTTCAAAAAGGTAAAAAAAAATTGCTCTTCTAGAAGGATAAAATGGACACAAGTTTTTATTTAGCTTACTATTAACGAGGGAACGGGAAAGATGTTAATACTGAATTCAAAGAAGAATCCGTAGAGCAGACATTTAGGGGCTGGTAATGTTTAAGGGGATTCAAAAATGAGCCTAATTTTTGTTATTTTTAGTATAGAGACGGGGTTTCACCATGTTGGCCAGGCTGGTCTTGAACTCCTGACCTCAGGTGATCTGCCCGCCTGGGCCTCCCAAAGTGCTGGGATTACAGGTGCGAGCCACCGTGCCCGGCCATAGAATTGATTTTTAAGTGTGTTAATTCTACCTACTATTTTCACCACAGCCACATCTGCCTACATAATTTCTAGTTGTCTATCTCTTCTCAAATACACTGCATGCTGTCCATCTACCCCCATGCACATGATCTTACAAAGAACATTTCTCCCAGAGACGACTCAGAAATCAGGCCTGTCCAGAGCGGGTGGTTACAGCTGCTCCTGTCCAGGAGCATCAACTCTTCCAAACTTAGCATCTGCCCAAAGTTGTGGCTGGCAAGGCGGAGTCCAATGTGACCTCCCACTCACGTGTGGGACAGATGTCCAGGTGTGACAATACCACAGACAGCCTGTTTTTCACACACACACAGGGGAGATGGAGCCTCCTCCATGGGGAGGCTCTGAGAGGGAAGGAGGAACCATCAGTCCCTCTCACCTGGAAGGGGCTGAATCAAGAAGGCACCGGGTCTGTTTGCTGCTACATCCTGGCCCTTGGTGAGATGAGGACAGATTAGATAGATGCAGCCAAAGTGAGGGGAGAGCCCATTTCTGTCTGTAATATCTCTAGAGAGCCTGGTGTTCACGCCCAGGACAAGCCCTGGGGAAATGAGAGCCAAGCTCCTGGGGAGGGGCAGTTCCTCTTTCTGCCCCTCATGGCTCCCACAAGGAAGCAGAGAGATGGCAGTGCCCATGTGCAAACACAGAAGAGGGGCAGCCACAGCGTCTCACTTTCACCTGGAGCCCTAGGTTCCTCCCTGTCTGTGAGGACCCTGGACTTCCTTTTCTGTGCCACACAGAGATGGAAACGTCCTTTTTTTTTTTTTTTTTGAGATAGAGTTTTGTTCTTGTTGCCCAGGCTGGAAGGCAATGGCGTGATCTCGGCTCACTGCAACCTCTGCCTCCGGAGTTCAAGTGATTCTCCCGCCTTAGCCTCCCGAGTAGCTGGGATAACAGGCATGTGCCACCACGACCGGCTCATTTTTGTATTTTTAGTAGACACGGGGTTTTGCCATGTTGGCCAGGCTGGTCTCGAACTCCTGACCTCAAGTGATCCACCCACCTTGGCCTCCCAAAGTGCTGGGATGACAGCTGTGAGCCACAGCGCCCGGCCGAAAATGTCCTTCTTAACGACCCCCTTGTGAATCCCCATTTGTGTCTGAAATATCGGCAGAGAGCCTGGTGCTCACCCCCAGGACAAGCCCTGGGAAATGAGAGCCAGGGTCCTGGGGAGGGGCAGTTCCTCTTTCTGTCGGTGTGCTGATGGGACAACCTCGTGATGGGGAGGACCCAGCCTCCGTGTGCCCGCACACCATGTGTCTGTCTGTGTCTACGGGCACCGTGGCCACACCTGCCTGCACAGCCAGGGCCAGGAGGAGGAGATGCCATGACCCTCATTCTCACAAGCCTGCTCTTCTTTGGTGAGATCTTAAGAGGGGGAGGAGAGACCCTAGTCTAGGAGAGAGACCCCAATCCATAGCCATGCCTTAGTCAATTAGGGCATCCCAGGGGCTCAAGGAAAAGAAGAAGACCTGCTCAGGCTTCGGAGGCAAATCTCTCACAGGGAACTCTCTTCCAGGGCTGAGCCTGGGCCCCAGGACCCGGGTGCAGGCAGGTGAGTCTGTCCCCAGCTGTCCTAGGTCCCTCCTCCTCTCTGGGGACAAGGGACCACCCCTGGGCAGCTGGGGGTGAAGACAGCAGTTCTGGGCTGACTGATGGGGATGAGGGGGGTCCTGGGGCTGAGAGCTGGGATCTGAGGGTTGAGGACATCTTGGGACCTAACCTGTAATTTCCTTCCAGAAAACCTACCCAAACCCATCCTGTGGGCCGAGCCAGGTCCCGTGATCACCTGGCATAACCCCGTGACCATCTGGTGTCAGGGCACCCTGGAGGCCCAGGGGTACCGTCTGGATAAAGAGGGAAACTCAATGTCGAGGCACATATTAAAAACACTGGAGTCTGAAAACAAGGTCAAACTCTCCATCCCATCCATGATGTGGGAACATGCAGGGCGATATCACTGTTACTATCAGAGCCCTGCAGGCTGGTCAGAGCCCAGCGACCCCCTGGAGCTGGTGGTGACAGGTGAGAGGACACTCAGGGGTCCCAGCCCCAGGCTCTGCCCTCGGGAAGGGGGTCGGCTCTCAGCTCTCGAGGGGTCTCCCTTCTCACAGCCCAGCCTTGTAGGATAAGGTGGGAGGTGTGAGCCCCATTTAAACACGGCTGCCTTTTTTTCTCTTGAAAGCCTACAGCAGACCCACCCTGTCCGCACTGCCAAGCCCTGTGGTGACCTCAGGAGTGAACGTGACCCTCCGGTGTGCCTCACGGCTGGGACTGGGCAGGTTCACTCTGATTGAGGAAGGAGACCACAGGCTCTCCTGGACCCTGAACTCACACCAACACAACCATGGAAAGTTCCAGGCCCTGTTCCCCATGGGCCCCCTGACCTTCAGCAACAGGGGTACATTCAGATGCTACGGCTATGAAAACAACACCCCATACGTGTGGTCGGAACCCAGTGACCCCCTGCAGCTACTGGTGTCAGGTGAGGAAGCCGTAGCTTTTCCTTATACAAAGTCAGGGCACCAGGTGAGCTGTTGGGAGCCTTACCCTCGGGCTAGCCCACGCAAGAAGAAAAGATGAGGGGAAGATGGGGGCCCTGGGGACACAAATACAGAATGAGAAAAAAACAAGGACGCTGGAAACCCTAGTGAGGAAGGCTACAGAAGGAAGGGGCGCAGGAGGAACCAGCCGCTCCGAGTCCCGACTCATCTTTCCCTCCAGGCGTGTCTAGGAAGCCCTCCCTCCTGACCCTGCAGGGCCCTGTCGTGACCCCCGGAGAGAATCTGACCCTCCAGTGTGGCTCTGATGTCGGCTACATCAGATACACTCTGTACAAGGAGGGGGCCGATGGCCTCCCCCAGCGCCCTGGCCGGCAGCCCCAGGCTGGGCTCTCCCAGGCCAACTTCACCCTGAGCCCTGTGAGCCGCTCCTACGGGGGCCAGTACAGATGCTACGGCGCACACAACGTCTCCTCCGAGTGGTCGGCCCCCAGTGACCCCCTGGACATCCTGATCGCAGGTGAGGAGCCCAGCGGGTTCAGTCAGGGGGACCCAGGCTCTGCACAGGCCCTGCTGGGGGAGCCCAGGTGGTGATGGCCGGGATGAGGGGTGGGGGTCCTAAGGGAGGGAGAGACAGACAGAGACAGGGGATGGGCGGGGAGGGGGAGACTCAGAGAAGACAGAGACAGACTGAGGGTCCCAGGGAGAGGACTGGTGGGGAGGTCTCAGCTCAGAACAAGGTGGGGCAGCCCCTCACCCGTCCTTCTTTTCTCCAGGACAGATCTCTGACAGACCCTCCCTCTCAGTGCAGCCGGGCCCCACGGTGACCTCAGGAGAGAAGGTGACCCTGCTGTGTCAGTCATGGGACCCGATGTTCACTTTCCTTCTGACCAAGGAGGGGGCAGCCCATCCCCCGTTGCGTCTGAGATCAATGTACGGAGCTCATAAGTACCAGGCTGAATTCCCCATGAGTCCTGTGACCTCAGCCCACGCGGGGACCTACAGGTGCTACGGCTCACGCAGCTCCAACCCCTACCTGCTGTCTCACCCCAGTGAGCCCCTGGAGCTCGTGGTCTCAGGTGAGGGCGCTGACCCTGTCCACTCTGAGCTCAAAGGGGTTCTTGGAAATGAAAAAGGAGAGCTTCCAAGAGAGTGTCCGTCTGTCTGTCTCACTTGCTGCCCCACTTCTTCCTCCATCAGCCCCGGCCTTTGTGAGCCCTGAGCCTCTCTCAGCTCAGGCCCTGCCCCCAGGAGAGTTCAGGACACTAAGAAAACAGGACAGTGAAGGGGGAGGGTCCACAGGGGAGGGCCCAGCCCATGGAAGGGTGGAAATACATGGGAACCTCCCACCGAGGGGAAGGTCCAGCCTATGGGAGTGTGGAAATAGATGAGGACTTCCCACCCTGGGCTCCCACCCCTGAAGTCTCAGTAGGGTAAAGAGTGGAGAGGGCTGCAAGCAGGTGGGGGTGAGCCTTGGAGGAGATGAGATTAGACTGAGGGTGGAAGACGGAGGCCCCACCTGCTCCCTTCCTGATGTCTCCATCTCAGAATCAACATCTGGGTGTCCCCAGCCTCTAAGTCCTGACCCCGTGGGAGATGAAAGCGCAGTTACTCTGACCCAGTATAATATTCTAGACTCATCTCAACCTTATCTCCAATATTCAGGAAAGGGGTCTGTTCCTCAGAGGAACAGAGGGGAGAGTGGACAATAAGGGCGTGGTCCACGTGGCTTCCTGGGGCTCTGAGGATGGAGCAGGTGTTCCCTCTGTGGTGGTCAGAGGGGAGGGAGGTGTCCTAGAACCAGGCAGGAAGAAGGGAGCAGCAATGATAGGTGGAGGAGTCAGGTCTGTCCTCCCCTACCTGAGCGGGATTTGGGGTCCGGGGGTCCAGGCCTGACATGGACAAGGGGAAGATGCTGGGGCTGATGTTTATATCAGCCATAAAAAATTGGAAATTTCACGTTTATATTTCCAAATTGTAAGCCCATCTTTCTCATCTCAAATATGAATATATACGTAGTTACATATATACTTTAAAAACAAATATCTAAAGCCACGTATACATATGTATCTATAATCATTGTATTCATCTGTTCTCACACTGCTGTAAAGAACTACCTGAGGCCGGGCACGATGGCTCACGCCTGTAATCCCAGCACTTTGGGAGGCCGAGGTGGGCCGATCACCTGAGGTCAGGAATGAAAGACCAGCCTGGCCAACATGGCGAAACCCTATCTCTACTAAAAATACAAAAATTAGCTGGGCATGGTGGCGGGTACCTGAATCCCAACTGCCTTGGAGGCTGAGGCAGGAGAATCGCTGGAACCCAGAGGCAGAGGCTGCAGTGAGCTGAGATCGCACCACTGCACTCCAGCCTGGGGGACAGAGCAAGACTCCGTCTCAAAAACAAACAAACAAACAAACAAAAACCTACCTGAGACTGGGTAATTTATAAAGGAAAGAGGTTTAATTAACTCACGGTTCCACAGGCCATACAGGAAGCCTGGCTGGGGAGGCCTCGGGAAACTTACAATCATGGCAGAAGGCGGAGGGAAAGCAGGAACTTCTTCTATGGCTGGAATAGGAGGAAGACAGAGAAGGGGGAGGTGCTACCCACTTTTAAATAACAAGATCTCGTGACAACTCACTATCATGAGAGCAGCCAGGGGGAAGCCAATCACCTCCCACTGGGCCTCTCCTCCAACATTGGGGATTACAATTCAACATGAGATTTGAGAGAGACACAAATGCAAAGCATGTTAATCACATATATTTTATAAACCATGTTAATCACATATATTTTATATGAATATATGTGCTATGTACATATATAGACACAAACATATATTCAAGTATTCAATCCTGTGCTTAATATTTTTCATCAGATTTTTAAATATTTATTTGTTTTTATTTTTTATTATTATTTTATTTTATTTTATTTTTTTTGAGACGGAGTCTCACTCTGTCGCCCAGGCTGGAGTGCAGTGGTGCGATCTCGGCTCACTGCAAGCTCCGCCTCTGGGGTTCACGCCATTCTCCTGCCTCATCCTCTCAAGTAGCTGGGACTACAGGAGCCCACCACCATGCCAGGCTAATTTTTTTTTTTTTTTGTATTTTTAGTAGAGATGGGGTTTCACCGTGTTAGCCAGGATGGTCTCAGTCTCCTGACCTTGTGATCCGCCCGCCTCAGCCTCCCAAAGTGCTGGGATTACAGGCGTGAACCACCGCGCCTGGCCTTTATTTTTTATTTTACTTTAAGTTCGGGTATGTTTTTAAATATTTGCTTTTCACCTTCCAATCTAGGTTCATACTTCAAAAAAGCAGAAATGATGTTTTTCTGTCCCACTTAGTCATTATCATTTAGAAAAGAATACATTTTCATATTTAAGCATATCACATTGTAGGTTTCCTAACTATATGAAGAATTAGTTAACAAGACATTAAATGGATGATGAAACCACAGGGGAGCTGTCTGAGGCGCACACAGTGGGGGCCGTTGCAGCCTCCAGCCCTTGCTTGTGCTCCTGACTTCCAAGAGTGACTGAGGACCAACTCCTCATCCACAGAGACTGGGTCCTCATCCACTGAAAAATGGAAATTTCTGTCTCTGGGGGAATTAGTTGTTGTGTTCTTGTTGCACAAGATTGCACATCCAAGACAGCACACAAGAGCTCAATTCTTTCTAGTTGGGGGATCATTCTTCTTACTAATCCTGAGCTCCTGGGCTCAAGTAAACTTTGTTTCAAAGTGACTCAGGCACAAGATCTGAATTCCCAGAGCACAGAGAGGTTGAAAAACCCAATGACGTACCAGGGGAGGCCTGTGAGAGCAGAGAATGTGTTCACTAAGGATCTACATAAAGTCACACCATGAGAGGTGGAGGAATATAAGAATGCATTGCCCAGGGGAGAGGCTCTTCAGCTTCTCACCAACATCCTTATTCTTTGATTCTTAGGAGCAACTGAGACCCTCAATCCAGCACAAAAGAAGTCAGATTCCAAGACTGGTGAGTGAGGAGATTCTCCCAGTTATGGGGCTGGGCACAGAGGGTCAGGTCCTGTCAAGGGGAGGTGGGTACCCTGGGTGGACATCCAGGGGTCTTTGGTAATTGTGATCTGCCCTGACCTCTGTGACCTCTTTGTCCACCATCCCTAGCCCCACACCTCCAGGATTACACAGTGGAGAATCTCATCCGCATGGGTGTGGCTGGCTTGGTCCTGCTGTTCCTCGGGATTCTGTTATTTGAGGCTCAGCACAGCCAGAGAAGCCCCCCAAGGTGCAGCCAGGAGGCAAACAGCAGAAAGGACAATGCACCCTTCAGAGTGGTGGAGCCTTGGGAACAGATCTGATGATCTGAGGAGGTTCTGGAAGACTGGGGCAGCAGTTGGGGAAGTGTCTGCTGAGAATATCAAGGGGAAGAAGCATGGGTCAGGTGCAGGAAGATGTCTGGGTGTCTGTAGAAGATGCTTCCTCCATTAAACTGTGGTGCTTTCCTCCTCATTGTCGACTCTCCTTGACTGCCCCTTCCTTCGTTTTTCTTCCCTATGATGTAAGGCTTCACCCCTATGGTGGGTTTGGGTCCGCCCCTCTGTGACCTCATGCTCTGCTCCACTTTCAGGTAATACACCTTTCTTTATTTCTAACTACTGCATTTTCTAATGTGTATTACTGGGACTATCTCTTCAGCTCATAACATGGAATTTGCTTTTGATAATTAAATCCATGGGCAAAAATCAGATTCGTGTTTGGAAAATCTAAGTTCAAAGTGATGCTGTACCACCTGTCACTCTTCATCTGTAGTTTCTCCAGAGATACAGTCACTAGGAATCAAAAGAGAAGTGTTTGATGGAAAAGCCTGCTGTTGTGCGCATAGACTGGCTTCCTGAACAACAACAAAAAAGTTTTCTAAAAAGCATTTATTTGTGGAATTTGTTGATGACTGTGGTATAAACACTCCCTTCATGGGCACCTTCAAGATTCTCACATGACTGCACCTCCCCCTACCTGCTATCACACCGCAGTCGGAGCTGGTGGTCTTGGGTGAAAGGCCCTGACCCTGTCCTCTCTAAGTTCAAAGACTCAGCTCAGGCCCTGCCCCCAGGAGAGCTCTGGGCAGAGATGGAGTGAAGGGGGCTCTGAGGGAGGCTCAGCCACAGAGGAATTCACCCCTCAGAGGAGAAGAAGCCAACAGGAGTTCTCCCTCTTCTCCTTCACCTGGAGTCCAGAAGGTGCTAGGTGGGAAGAGGGAGGGTCTTGGAGAGGCCACTGGGCAGATGGAGAGGAGAGCTTTGAGTGGAGGTGGGGACTCCAGGATAGCTCCAATTCCTCACTCCCTTTCTGTGCTCCTTCCCAGGACCCTCCAGGGGCCCCAGCCCTCCACCCATAGGCTCCTTCTCCATACCTGGTGAGTCATTGAGGCCTCTGGGCTCAGAGGGAGGGTGGCCTCCCCCAGGGCAGTCCTGAGTCTCCCAGATGATCCCATTCCCCTCAAGGACTCAAGCACGAGCTTCCCTCCAGGGAGCTGAGGCAGAGCCAGAGGAGGGGCCACAGGCTCCCCGGGGCTCTGAGGCTGGGCTGGTGAGGGGCGGGGGTCGAGGCAGAGAGAGATGTTGGGGCGCAGCCTGGGGAGGAGCAGCCGGGCTGACGTGGGGAGCAGGGCAGCCCCAGCCCTCACCTCCCCATCCTGACCCAGCAGGCCCTGAGGACCAGCCCCTCACCCCCACAACGTCAGGCCCCCACAGTGCTAAGTGAGGGGCTTTGAGTGGGAGGTGGGCGGGGTCCAGGGGAGGAAGGGCTGAGTTCTGTCATCGGTTTGAGGCTCCTCTGGAGGTGGTGATGTGGACAGGCCCCTCCTCTGCCTGGGCCTCAGTTTCTCCAAGTGTAAAGGAGAGAGGCCTGCGGGTGGGAAAGTTCCTTTCAGCTCTGACTCCCAGCTGTGACCTCCTGGGAGAGGAGGCCTCCCAGGGAAACTCCCAGACCCGATTCCACAGGGGCCTGTCCTGTCCCACCTGCAGCAGAGACGGTGACCTGGGGCAGGGGAGGGGAGCAGAGGCTCATGTGTCCAGAGAGTCTGGGGTCCTCCTGAGCTCCCCCACCCAGGGAAAACCAGAGCCAGGCCCAGGGAAAAGCAGTTTCCCTTCCTGTGGGTCCACAGCTGTGGGTACCTGGACGGGCAGCAGCAGGCTCTGAGTGACCACATCCGTGTGTCTGTCTGTCCTGGAGGGCCCTGTGGTCTCCTCTCCCACAGCTGGAGCCCCCAGAGCAGGCATCACGGTGTTCGTGCTTCTCTGCCTCAGTCAGTGATGGAGGGAGAAGGGGCTACCAGGTTCTCCACGAGCCTCCCTCTTACTCCAGCCCCTGGGCTCTCAGGTTGGGGGGCACAGTTGTTCTGGGCTGAGGGTGATAAAACAGAGAGGGGTTTTGGACTAAACTAGAGAACCAGGAGTGAAAGAGATCTTGGGACCCAGCCTCTGGTTCCATTTCAGGGCCCTTCCCCAAACCCTCCCCATGGGCTGAGACAGGCTCTGTGATCACCTGGGAGAGGCCTGTGACCCTCTGGTGTCAGGGGAACCTGGAGGCCCAGGAGTACCGATTGGATAAAGAGGGAAGCCCAGGGCCGGTCGCGGTGGCTCATGCCTGTAATCCCAGCACTTTGAGAGGCCAAGGCAGGCAGATCATGAGGTCAAGAGATCGAGACCATCCTGGCCAACATGGTGAAACCCCGTCTCTACTAAAAATACAAAAATTAGCTGGGCGTGGTGGTGTGCACCTGTAGTCCCAGCTACTTGGGAGGCTGAGGTGGGAGAATCACTTGAACCCGGGAGGCGGAGCTTGCAGTGAGCTGAGACTGTGCCACTACACTCCAGCCTGGTGACAGAGCAAGACTCCAACTAAAAAAAAAAGAGGGGGCTGGGCGTGGTGGCTCATGCCTGTAATCCCAGCACTTTGGGAGGCTGAGACGGGCAGATCATGAGGTCAGGAGATCGAGACCATCCTGGCTAACATGGTGAAACCCTGTCTCTACTAAAAATACAAAAAATTAGGTGGGTGTGGTGGTGGGCGCCTGTAGTCCCAGCTACTCGGGAGGCTGTGGCAGGAGAATGGCGTGAACCCAGGAGGCGGAGCTTGCAGTGAGCCCAGATCACGCCGCTGCACTGCAGCCTGGGTGACAGAGCAAGACTCCGTCTCAAAAAAAAAAAGAAAAAAAAAAAAAAAAGAGGGAAGCTCAGTGTCCTGGGACAGACAGAGCCCACTGCAGCCTGGAGACAAGGCCGAGTTCCCCCATCATATCCATGACAAATGAATATGTAGGATGATATTACTGTCACTATTTCAGCCCCAGAGCTCACTGACTCCCTGGAGCTGGTGGTGATAGGTGGGAGGACACCTTGGGGTCCCAGCCCCAGGCTCTGCCCTCAGGAAAGGGGTCTGCTCTCAGGGGTGTCTCTCCCTCACAGCCCAGCCCTAAGGGATAAGGTGGGAGGCTTGAGCCTCAAGGATCACACTACCTCCTTCTCTCCTAGGATTCTACAGAAAATCTACCTTCTCAGCCCCCCTGAGCCTGTTGCAACTTTAGGAGAGGACTCTCCAGCGTGGCTCATGGCTGCAACTGGACAGATTCATTCTGACCGAGGAAGGAGAACTCAGTCTCTCCTGCACCCTAGACTCTCAGCAACACCCTAGTGGACAGTCCCAAGCTCTGTTTCCTGTGGGCCCCAAGACCCTCAGCCACAGATGGATGTTCAGATGTCATGGCAATAACAGGAACACCCTTCAGGTGTGGTCGGAACTCAACGACTCCCTGAAGCTCCTGTTCTCAGGTGAGGAAGTCAGAACACCCTTCAGGTGTGGTCGGACCTCAGCAACTCCCTGAAGCTCCTGTTCTCAGGTGAGGAAGTCCCATCTTTACCCCAAACATTCTTTGAAGCATCAGACAGGTTGCTGTGGATCTTGCTCCCAGGCAAGTCCCAAGCGTGAGGGTGGAATGAGGGGAACGAGGGCTTCTGGGGCCAGAGACACAGAGTATAAGTGATGGTGAGATCTGCAGAGCCAGGAGGACAAGGGATGTATTTGAGGGGAGTCAGCCCCCAAAGTCCTGACTTGTCTTTCCCTCTAGGTGTGTCTAGGACTCCCTGCACGGGACCAAACAGGGGCCCCTCCTAATCTCTGGAGAGAGTCTGACCTTCCAGTGTTGCTCTGATGTTGGCCACCAAGGACTTTTCCTGTCTGAGGAGAGGCGACATGACCACCCTGGCACCATGGCTGGCAGCCCCAGGCTGGGCTCCGTCAGGCTGACGTTTCCTTGGAGTGGCTCCCATGGGAGCCAGGACAGATGCTGTGCTAAACGCAACGTCTTTTCTTTTCTTTTCTTGTTTTGTTTTGTTTTTGTTTTTTTGAGATGGAGTTTCGCTCTTGTTGCCCAGGCTGGAGTGCGTGGTACGATCTCAGCTCACTGCAACCTTCACCTCCTGGGTTCAAGTAATTCTCCTGCCTCAGCCTCTCAAGTACCTGGGATTACAGGCATACACTACCATGCCTGGCTAAATTTTTTTTTTTTTTTTTGTATTTTTAGTAGAGACTGGGTTTTGCCATGTTGGCCAGCCTGGTCTTGAACTCTTGACCTCAGGTGATCCACCCACCTCGGCCTCCCAAAGTGCTGGGATTACAGGCGTGAGTCACCGCACCGAGCCCACAATGTCTTTTCTGATTGTTTGGTCCCCTGAATCCCCTGGATATGCTATTGCAGGTGAGGGGTCCAGCAGGTTCACTCAGGGACCCAGATTCTGCACAGGGCCTGCTGGGGATCTGCAGGCGGTGATGACCAGCATGATGAGTGTATTAGTCTGTTTTCTTGCTGCTGATAAAGACATCCCCAAGACTGGGTGATTTATAAAGAAAAAGAGGTTTAATGGACTCACAGTTCCATGTGGCTGGGGAGACCTCATAAGCATGGTGGAAGGTGAAAGGCACATGGTGGCAGACAAGAAAGAAATGAGAGCCAAGTGAAAGGGGTTTCCCCTTATAAAACCATCAGATCTCGTGAGACTTACTACCAGGAGAACAGTATGGGGGAAACCACCCACCGCCTCCACGATTCAATTATCTCCCACCAGGTTCCTCCCACAACACGTGGGAATTATGGGAGCTACAATTCAAGATGAGATTTGGGTGGGGACACAATCAAACCATGTCAATGGATAAGGTTCTTTAGAGAGGGAAAGAGACAGAGGGGCAAGGTGGATGGGAGGGAGAGGAAGAGACTCAGAGGAAACAGTGAATGACAGAGAGACTGAGGGTCCTAGAGAGAAGCCCTGGGAAGGTCTCTGCTCAGAACAAGGTGGGGGCAGCCCCTCACCCATCCTGCCTCTCTCTAGGACAGCTGCCTGAGGGATATTCCCTGTTGGTGCAGCCGGGCTCCATGGTGGCCTCAGGAAAGAACATGGTCCTGCTACATCAGTGACACTTTTCTTATTTCCAAGAAGGGAGCAGCAGATCCCTACCTTTGTGTCTAATATCAAAGTACCAAGCTCAGCAGTACAGGCTGAATTCTCCATGAATGCTGGGAGGACCTACAGGTGCTATGTCTTATGGAGTACCTCCCCCTACCTGTTTTCACACCCCAGGGACCCCCAGGGTTTGTGGTCTCAGGTAAGGAGATCCTACCCCATGAGCACTGAGGCTGGAATGAGACATGTGTGAACATATGAGAAAATGTGTTTAGAACTTCATGTTCGTAACACAGCTTTGGATCACAAGGTCAGGAGATCGAGACCATCCTGGCCAACATGGTGAAACCCCATCTCTACTAAAATACAAAAAATTAGCCGGGCGTGGTGGTGCACGCCTGTAGTCCCAGCTACTCGGGAGGCTGAGGCAGGGGAATCGCTTGAACCCAGGAGGCGGAGATTGCAGTGAGCCGAGATCGCACCAGTGCACTCCAGCTTGGTGACAGAGTGAGACTCCATCAAAAAAAAAAAGAAAAAAGAAAAATTCCTAAATTGTATATACTTATTGTGTAAAGTATGTAGTTTTGAAATATATATACTTGTCTGTTGGGCAAATCAATCTAATTAACATATACATTACTTTCCATATTTCTAATTTTTGTGTGGTAAGAACCCTTAAAATCTACTTTTATAGTGATTTTTAAGGATATAATACACTGTTATGTCTTCCGAGATGGTGAAAATACCAAAATGGTGTGTAGAGATTCATTCTGCATTCTTGTATCCAAGAAAGAACATGGGAGGTGATATGGTTTGGCTGTGTCCCCACCCAAATCTCATCTTGAATTGTAGCTCCCATAATTCCCACGTGCTGTGGGAGCCGGTGGGAGATAACTGAATCATGGAGGCAGTTTCTCCCATTCTGTTCTTGTGGTCGTGAATAAGTCTCAGAAGAGCTGATGATTTTATAAGGGGTTTCCCCTTTTGCTTGGCTCTCATTTCCTCTGTACCTGCCACCACGTGAGATGTTGCTTTCACCTTCCACCATGATTGTGAGGCCTCTGCAGCCATGTGGAACTGTGAGTCAATTAAATCTCTTTTTCTTATAAATTACCTGGTCTCGGGTATGTCTTTATCAGCAGCCTGAAAATGGACTAATACAGGAGTTGAATATGAAAGTGAAGGAAATCTCAGATACTGCTAAAAAGAAGGCAGGCAGCAGCTCATGCAGCAAGACCTGGCAGAAAACCATGAGTGAACTTCCAGTGCCTGAGAGGGAAGTTATGAGACCACATGATACCCATTCTCAGTGGGGAGCCAGGCAATCCAGGCCACTGGGGAGCTCTTTGACCGACCTAAGCCCTGGATCTGACTTAGGGAACAGCGGGAGGACTGTGAAAAGGAAGGGCCCAGGGAAGTGCTCCATGTGTGCTCCCAGACCTGGATGCTGATAGAAAGAGGCCATTCCTGATCCTAACCCTTAGTGGGCAGTGCAAGAACTTGACATCGGCCCGGCGCGGTGGCTCACGCCTGTAATCCCAGCACTTTGGGAGGCCGAGGCAGGCGGATCACGAGGTCAGGAGATCGAGACCATCCTGACTAACACGGTGAAACCCCGTCTCTACTAAAAATACAAAAAATTAGCTGGGCGTGGTGGCTCATGCTTGTAATCCCAGCACTTTGGGAGGCCGAGGCAGGCGGATCACGAGGTCAGGAGTTCAAGACCATCCTGGCTAACACGGTGAAACCCCGTCTCTACTAAAAATACAAAAAATTAGCCGGGCACGGTGGTGGGTGCCTGTAGTCCCAGCTACTCGGGAGGCTGAGGCAGGAGAATGGCACGAACCTGGGAGGCGAAGCTTGCAGTGAGCTGAGATCACGCCACTGCACTCCAGCCTGGGCGACAGAGCGAGACTCCGTCTCAAAAAAAAAAAAAAGAACTTGACATCAAACATGGGTGAGGGTCACTACTTCGGAGAGTCTTGGGCCAGAGATTGACAATCTGGGCTCAAGTAGAAGACAGGTCCCCATGGACAGAACTGAGAGGCAATTGTGGCATGGGCTCCAGACACCAAGCACTGGCGTTGGACACCTCTCTTTGACAGAACCGCGTGGGAAAAGTTGTAGCCTGAGAGGCATGGATTTTACCCAGGAGGCAAGATCTGTGGCCTGGGGTAGTTGAGTGGTCTGACATCAAACCGCATGTGATTTGACGGTCTGAAATTGCTTCCAGCATTGGGCCACAGGGAGGAGCTCTGCTGGGTTGGGAGCATTAGATTAAAGTGAGTCCCACTGTCATTTTCTAGGCTTGGAACCCAACGTGCCCCTCTGGGGAACTCTGCTGTAACTTTGGCATAATAGTCATTGCCCTACTCAGTGCTTGAGTGTCTCTCCAGGGACCTGAGAACCACACATGTAGCCTCTGTGGGGACGGAGCCTGTGCCTAGCATTGGGCCTGAGTACAGGCTTGCCTGGACCAGCCACACTTACCTTCATTTCCCTGCGTTGGAGGCAGAGTACTGATCAAGACCACTGAGTTTTCCACAACCCAACCCATCACTTAGGATACCTGAATGCTTCCGGTTAACAAAGGTCAAGCATAAAGCCCACTGCCAGCGCTACAACTGGCTCTCACCAGCAATTGCCACCTACTGGCCTGGAGGTCAAACCATACAGCACATTACAACGTCTCCTGAAACAAGTGACAGTGATTGGGGAAGAGACAAGTTTCACACAAACTCTGCCACCACCATTGCCCACGCCACCCCAGCTACACCTCTCCTTTGCAGAACCGCTTGAGGAAAGGCTAAACCTTTCTGCAAAGGAGAGGTGTCTAATTCCAGTGCTCGGGGTCTGGAGCCCATGCCACACTTGCCCCTCAGTTCTGTCTGTGGGGACCTGTCCCCTACTTGAGACCAGATTGCCAAGGAGGAGGCCTTAAGTTAACTTGCCTGCTCTGTCACCTACCTGAGCCTGGGAAGGTTGAGGCTGCAGTGATCCAAGATCGTGCCACTGCACTCCACCCTGGGTGACAAAGTGAGACCCTGTCTCAAAAAACAAAAACAAAAAAACTGCTCTGACCTTTTCAAAAGTATCAAGGTCAAGAACAAAGATAAACAAAGGCACCACGCAGTGGAGTAAGAGCCTGTCTATTGCCTATTGCTCTCAAGCGCCATCTACTGGATTACAGCCACACTACAACACCAAAAATCACTTTACTAAATTCTACCGCCTGGAAAACCAAGAGCAAGAATTCAGCAAAGACCCTGTACAGAGCCTTAGTCCCCTGAAAACTTCCAGAAATAAAGCCAACAGACTATACTCAATTTATACCCTTGCAATGAAAGGAATAGCAACCCTCCCAGATGAGAAAAAAAATCAGGGAAATAACTCCTATTATCTCCAAACCAGTCCACGAGCTCCCCAGAAATTGTTCTTAATCAGTATGAATTGTCTGAAATGACAAACGTAGAATTTGGAATCTGGATGGCAAGGAAGGTCATTCAAATCAAGAGCAAAGTTGAAATTCAATCCAAGGAAGCCAAGCAATCCAGTAAAATGATTAATGACATGAACGATTAAATTTTAAGAAACACCCAAACTGAACTTCTCGAGCTGAAAAATTCATGACACGAATTTCATAATACGATGAGAAGCATTAACAGCAGAATAGACCAAGCTGAGGAAAAGAATTTCAAAGCTTGAAGACTTGTTTGAATCAAATCAGTCAAATATAAGGAAAAAATATTTTTAAAAGTGAACAAAATCTCTGAGAAATATGATATTATCTAAAGACACCAAATGTATGACTTGTCAGCATTCCTGAAAGGGGAAGAGAGAATAAGCAACTTGGAAAATATATTTGAGGATATAGTCCATGAATATTTTCCTAAACTCGCTAGAGAGTTTGACACACAAATCCAAGAAACATAGAGACGCCCAGCCAGATAACGGTCTAGATTTGAGGGTATGGTAAAAAAGATGCTTAGAAAATGTCAGAAGTGAGACACAATGGCTCATTTGCTTGTGTCTTGCATTCTCCACCTTGCAATTCTGTACTGATGGCTGTACTATCAGCAGGATCCACTCGTTATTATATTCACTATCAACCTTCAGCCTAAGGGTTTTGGCAGCCATTGATGTTTATTGCTTGTATACTCAACGCACAGGTTATCCAAGCTTTGCAGGGTTAACTATTATTATGCAAAAACTCTACAGCTATTCTTAGGCAAAAACATTACTATAGCTATTACTATACTTATTATTATGTAGAAACATTCTACAGAAAAGAATGTTTCCTGTGTAACACTTCAGATAAACA
This sequence comes from Homo sapiens, assembly GCF_000001405.40. Classification (NCBI taxonomy): domain Eukaryota; kingdom Metazoa; phylum Chordata; class Mammalia; order Primates; family Hominidae; genus Homo; species Homo sapiens. The sequence goes on along the minus strand of NT_187693.1, from coordinate 306,538 downwards.
AAAGAGATCTTGCTTCTTGCCTTCATTTCCACGTTTTTGATGTGGAGATTTTGTTCTTTTCCCATTCCTCATATTTGAGGGGTTTTTTGTTTTTTAATTTTGTTTTTAACAGTAGTAAACTGATAGGCTTTGAACATATTCATTAGTTTTAATACACTACCTATATTATTTGATTCTATAAATATTCCACATTTTGCCATTGGGAACTTTTCATGATAGACTTTATGTTCAGGTAACATGAATCTGATGGTATGTGGTGATGTCTTTGCTTTCTTGCATGATAAGAAGTTCTGACTTCATCTCCTGTATTTTCTCTCCGAATGTGGAGTCAGCTATTTCTCTAGGATGAAATTTAGAATTTTTGACCATACATATTTTAAGAATTAAACATTTTTGAGGGTGTATTCACTTATGTTTTACTATATATAGTCAAAATTATATAATAATATTAACTATATGTCACTACATAATATATAATTTGATTTAAAAGTATACATTTATTATATAATATGATAAATAATATATGCATTATAAAATATATGGTCAAGTAATTTTGCTTACATTCTAGTACAAATAATTCTTCCTTGTTTAGTAATGCCCTAATTTGATAGGAACTCAATTCTATTTCCTTTTTTAAGGTATTATCTTTAGATTTATAAGTTATATTTAAAAATATTTTATAGTATAGACATTCAGGAATATGTTTATATATGTATATATATATTTTTTTAAACGGAGTCTTGCTCGTCGCCCAGGCTAGAATGCTGTGGGTGGCAAGCCACCCAGGTGCCGAGGCAAGAGACAGAGGACACGAGCTGTTCCAGTATAATAAAATATAAAACAAGAATAGTTATACCAGATATAGATCTTAGTTATGATTATATATGAATATCATTAATCATTTGTTTGTAGCAGTTACCCTTTATCCCAATATTATAATAATCCTCCCTCTGTAATCATAACCTAGGAAAAGCCAGGCCATACAGAGATAGGAGCTGAGGGGACACAGTGAGAAGTGACCAGAAGACAAGAGTGCGAACCCTCTGTCATGCCCGGACAGGGCCACCAGAGGGCTCCTTGGTCTAGCGGTGACGCCAGCGTCTGGGAAGACGTCCGTTGCCAAGCGGACCGTGGTCTAGCGGTAGCGTAAGTGGCAAGGAACAACACCCGCTACTTAGCAGACTGGGGAAGGGAGTCTCCCTTTCCCTGGGGGAGTTTAGAGAAGACTCTGCTCCTCCACCTCTTGTGGAGGGCCTGACATCAGTCAGGCTCGCCCGCAGTTATCCGGAGGCCTAACCGTCTCCCTGTGATGCTGTGCTTCGGTGGTCACGCTCCTAGTCCGCCTTCATGTTCCATCCTGTACACCTGGCTCTGCCTTCTAGATAGCAGTAGTAAATTAGTGAAAGTACTAATAGTCCCTGATATGCAGAAATAATGGCGTAAGCTGTCTTTCTCTCTGTCTCCTCTCCCTCTCTGCCTCGGCTGCCAGGCAGGGAAGGGCCCCCTGTCCAGTGGACACGTGACCCACGTGACCTTACCTATCATTGGAGGTGACTCACACTCTTTACCCTGCCCCTTCTGCCTTGTATCCAATAAATAACAGCGCAGCCCAACATTCGGGGCCACTACCGGTCTCCGCGCATTGGTGGTAGTGGTCCCCCGGGCGCAGCTGCCTTTTCTTTTATCTCTTTGTCTTGTGTCTTTATTTCTACACTCTATCGTCACCACACACAGGGAGAGACCCACCGACCCTGTGGGGCTGGTCCCTACAAATGCAGTGGCACAGTCTCAGCTCACTGCAATCTCCACCTCCCAGGTTCAAGCAATTCTCCTGTCAGAGCCTCCCGAGTAGCTGGGATGACAGGAGTGTGCCACCATGCCCAGCTAATCTTTTTATTTTCAGTAGAGGTGGGGTTTCACCATGTTGGCCAGGCTGGTCTTGAACTCCTGATCTTGCGATTCGCCCACCTCAGCCTCCCAAAGGTATGTTTATATTTCTATACCAAAACAAGAAACAAGACACAATGATGTCAGTCTAGCTTTATTCTGTCTCCTCTGCACTGTTTTCTCTCTCTCTCTCAACTACCCACTTTTAAAGGTATTGATTAATCTTTCATTTTAAAAAATAGATTACAAAATACACACACAATGACATAACACTATACCATTTTTCTCTGGTTCTGAGTAAAATAAAGTTAACTGTTGATAACGTCCTGAATCTTTCTTTTTCTTTTCTCCCTGCCACCCCAACTACACAACTACACGTCTTGGAAGGTCAGCCTTCAAGATAACTCATTCATCTCACCCACAGCTGCCCAGGACTCCACTGTGGGGAGGCCCAGGAATTTATTGAGTCTTTCTTTGATTGAAATTAAGTGGGTTCAAGTCATTGTAGTTTTACAAATCATAATTTTGGAATAAATAGCTTTGTAATTGTACAAGTTTGTTCTTAATGTTTGTATTCACCTGGAATAATGAGTTTCGTGAGAAAAAGGCATTTTCTGGGTGTCAGGCCTCTGAGCCCAAGCTAAGCCATCATATCCCCTGTGACCTGCACGTACACATCCAGATGGCTGGTTCCTGCCTTAACTGATGACATTCCACCACAAAAGAAGTGAAAATGGCTTGTTCCTGCCTTAACTGATGACATTATCTTGTGAAATTCCTTCTCCTGGCTCATCCTGGCTCAAAAGCTCCTCTACGGAGCACCTTGTGACCCCCACACCTGCCCACCAGAGAACAACCCCTCTTTTTCCTTTACCTACCCAAATCCTATAAAATGGCCCCACCCCTATCTCCCTTCGATGACTCTCTTTTTGGACTCAGCCCACCTGCACCCAGGTGATTAAAAGCTTTACTGCTCACACAAAGCCTGTTTAGTGGTCTCTTCACACGGAAGCGCATGAAACCGGGTACAGTGAAAACACTCAATTGTATTTTTCAGTCTACAGATTCCTCTGATGAAAATAGAATCAAACTCCAACATCTCCTCTAAATGGAGATGGTTTCTGTTAACTTAAATTGGAGTATTACCTTTCTCATTCAGACCGCTGCTGGAATCCTTGGAAATTCTCTACTCCTTTACTTTTATAGCTTTACTTTTGTCCCCACACAAATAGTGAGACCCAGAGACCTGATTCTCAGCCAGCTGGTCTTAGCCAACAACCCGGTTCTTTTCTCTAAAGGGATCCCTCAGACAGTGGCGGCTTTTGGATTGAAACCTTTCCTGGATGAGGCTGGATGTAAACTTGTCTTCTACCTACACAGAGTGGCCAGAGGGGTTTCCCTCAGCACCACCTGCCTCTTCAGTGGCTTCCAGGCCATGAAGCTTCACCCCAGTATCTCTGGGAAGATGGAACTCTGAATTAGATCCCCAAAGTTTATAGTTTTCTGCTGTTTCCTCTGTTGGATCTTGAATCTTGTTGTAAATATTTATACTGCAAAGTATATAACTGACCCAATAAAGAGCAAAAACATGAGTATGGAAAAAATGTATAGATACTGCTCCTCACCCTATCCAGGAAGATCGCTGTATGTAATAGTTGCAGTCATTTACTGCTGCACAGATGGTATATGTGTCTCCCGTATATGTGTCTCCCTCATGATCTGCACCAGCAGCTCCATGGTCCTCGTCCTGCATAGATACAAGCAGAGAGTCCAACATGTTCGCAGCCGCAACCTCTCCCGCAGAACATCTCATGAAACCACAACCACACACACCATCCTCATCCTGGTGAGCATGTTTGTCTCCTCTCATGCTCTAGCTGATATTTTGTCATTGTGCGTAACCCAGATTCAGAATCCAAGCCAATGGCTGAGAAGTACCTCTTTCCTGGCGTCTGCAGGATTCCCGACATTCAGCCCCTTTGTGTTCATTGTCAGTGACGCCCGAGTGTCACGGTTCTACTTTGTGTGCTAGATAAGGAAGAGAAATGCCCCAGGTATGGTCTCTGGGCTATAAATTGCCTCCAGACCATTGCATCCTCTATTTAATCACTTCCTCCACCCCGGTGTTTGAAGGCTCACACATCAGGCCTGTGAAGGTACACCCACACGCTGCCCTGGCCATTCAGAATCCCCAAACCTCCCACTCTGGGGTATGCAAGTGCACAGCAAAGACTCCACTTGGGAGCAATTATGCAACAGCTTGTATTCAAGTAATCTCACATGAAATAACATTAAAATGAAATTAAGTATAATAAAACCCAACATCTGGACAGAGTTTATTTTTGGAAGAAGTTTAATCAAAGGCAGCCATAAGCATGTAAATAAATTCCAACTCATTTACTCATTGTAAATTATTTTTATTTGTAACATTTATTTGTAAAAATTATTTGTAAACTCATTGTAAATTAAAATATTAAATTTACAATGGACATGCAAAAAAAGACTTGTAAATAAATGCATTATGTAGTAATACTAATTTCTTTATTGGGTCTCAAAGGAAACTTTTAACTTAAGACACTTTTATTTTACCAACAAATAACAATATTTCTCTCAGAATTATTCTTTGTAACACCACAACGGCTGTAACCCATCCAACTTCACTCAAAGAAAGTGAAGTAAGTGCTCTAAAGAAAAAAATATCCTGGCCGGGCACGGTGGCTCACACCTGTAATCCCAGCACTTTGGGAGGCCAAAGCAGGTGGATCACCTGAGGTGAGGAATTCGAGACCAGCCTGACCAACAGGGTGAAATCCTGTCTCTACTAAAAATACAAAAATTAACTGGGCGTGGTGGCTCATGCCTGTCATCCAGCTACTTGGGAGACTGAGACAGGAGAATCACTTGAACATGGGTAGCAGAGGTTGCAGTGAGCTGAGGTCAGGCTGTTGCACTCCAGCCTGGGTGACAGAGCGAGACTCCATCTCAAAGTAAAAGAAAAGAAAAAGATGAGAGAAGCTCATACCTTCAGAACTGAAACATAGGGAAAGAGGAAGCAGAAATTAAAGCAAATCGAAATTTCATTGCGTCATACGGTCAGGAAGGCAACGAAACAAAAGTTTGCAGAAGGGCTAAAAGTCACTGTCAGGAACTGCATTAACGTCATTACATTTAGGGTTTTTTGTGGGTTTTCTTTTTAGATTTTAGCAAAAAATTCATGAAGCAACTCTAAAATACTTATACTTCAATATGGTAAATTAAATTTATATTAGGACTTCAAATATAATCTTTTCCTCTCTGTTCTGAGTGTCATGCTTGTGACATTGATAGAAGGTGGACTCTAGGCAATAAAAGAAAAAATTCAATTTTTTACTGATAAATTCAGGTACAATAACCGCCTGTTATTTTATTGTGGACCATTTTTTCTCTTTTTTTTTTTTTTGAGACGAAGCTTCTCTCTGTCGCCTAGGCTGGAATGCAGTGGCACCATCTCGGCTCACTGCAACCTTCACCTCCTGGGTTCAAGTGATTCTCCTGCCTCAGACTCCCCAGTAGCTGGGATTACAGGTGCCCACCATCATGCCCGGCTAATTTTTATATTTTTAATAGAGATGGGGTTTCACCATGTTGGCCAGGCTTGTCTCGAACTCCTGACCGCAGGTGATCTGTCCGCCTTGGCCTCACAAAGTGCTAGGATTACAGGCGTGAGTCACCGCACCTGGCCCATTTTCTCTTCATGATAATTCATGAGTAGCTGGGATTACAGGCACCCACCACCATGCCCAGCTAAGTTTTTGTATTTTCAGTAGAGACGGTGTTTCACCATGTTGGCCAGGCTGGTCTCAAACTCCTGACCTCAGGTGATCCACCCGCTTCGGCCTCCCAAAGTTCTGAGATTACAGGCGTGAGCCACCTCACACGGCTTTATTGTTGTTGTTGTTTTTAATGTTACTCTATTTTTTTAGATTCAGGCGCTACACGCGCAGGTTCCTTACATGGATGCATTGCGTTCTGGTGGGGTTTAGGTGTCTAGTGCTCGCATTACCCATACGGCTCACCAGATATTACGGGGGAGGCAGAGGGGACACTCCCCCATCCCCAAAAGCCTAAATAACATCAAAAATCTTCCACATGGGGCCCAGGTGAAGGTCTCTGCAGGATCCCCCAGCTTGGGTGGGCTCAGCTGTCACCCAGGGGTCCGGTGCGGGGACTGGTAACCCATGGGCCTGTCGGTTGGAGCGGGGGTCTCACCTGCTTGCCCATCGCTGAGCTCCACCACTATCCAAGGAAAGATGAAGGCGCCAAAAGCAAAGCCTTTGGTTAGTGTGACAGCTCTGCAGTATTAGCAGCTGTTTACTGTTACAGCCTGTGTGACCGCTCTTGGAGCCCTGATCACAGACTGCCCCGCCCCGCTGTCTCTCCGACTGTCTCAGCAACCTCTCGCTGTCTAGCCCAGTGCCACCTCTCCGTGTCTTTCACCCATTGCCACCCCTCCGCTGATCACTGTCACCATCTCTGCTGTCTAGCCATCTCGCCTCTCTCCTAATTGTCCCTGCCTCTGCGGAAAGTCTCTCTGCCTCTCACTCGCTGTCTCCGTCATCCCTTCCTGGTAACTAGATGATGCGGGGAAGGGGAGCTCCCAAATCGGGGCATAGCCCAGAAGAGTTCTTGGCTTTGCCTAAGAAAGAATTTAGGCCGGTCGCGGTGGTCCACACCTGTCATCCCAGCACCTTGGAAGGCTGAGGCGGGCAGATCATTTGAGGTCAGGAGTCTGAGACCAACCTGGCCAACACGGTGAAACCCCGTCTCTACTAAAGACTACAAAAATTAGCAGGGTGGGGTGGCGGGTGCCTGTAATTCCAGCTACTTGGGAGCTGACGCAAGAGAATCGCTTGAACTCCGGAGGCAGAGATTGCAGCGAGCCGAGATGGCGCCATTGCACTTCAACCTGGGTGACAGACTAAAACTCTATCTCAAAAACAAAAAAAAAAGGAATTTAAGGGTGAGCTGGTGTTACACAACCCCTTAAGGGTTACGGCAACCTCTAGTCAAGTGGCCGAGCACAGCAGCAGCAGAGGTACTGCTCCTAGGGTGGCAGGGCTGCCCCACAGGCGGTGTGCCCAGAATAGCAGCTCAGAAACACACCTGCAGCCACTCTTGTACCTGCTTTTAATTATATGCAAATTAAAGGTCAGGTATGCAGAAATTCCTAGAAAAAGGGCGGTAACTTCCGGTCAGTGGGTCTTTGCCGTGGAAAAGGGCGGTACCTTCCGGGGGTTGCCATGGCAACGGTAAACCGGGATGCCACACTGGTGGGCGTGTCTTAAGAAGAGCTGCTTCCACCCTCTGCCCTGTTTTAGCTAGTTCTCAATCTGGCGTGGTGTCTGAGTCCCCGCCTCCAAAGTCCCACATCCTACCTCAGAACTTCTGAGAAAGCCTTTTCCCCTTCCGCCCTGGCCTTTCCCATCCGAATAAGAAGGAGCTGCCTGGAAGTGACCCCCAAAGCCCTTTCATTTCTGACCTTCTGGGGCATCTGGGTTGCGGCTCATCCTAGACCTGCTGCCGTCCCCCAGCCCTCCCTTGGCCTGGTCAGCTCCTACCAATAACTGTGTGTTGCAAGGGTTAGAAAGCCAGGAGAGGCAGCTGCAGGTACATGTAATTGTAATTGTATCCATCAATGTTGGGGTCTGAGATTCGTGAGATGAAGCCACAGTATTAGGAGAAAGCAAAGATTTGTAAAAACCCCACTGTTTAGAATCTCCCCTCTCTCACACATCACACACTGTTTCAGATTTTCTACTAAAAGCAACACCCAGCACAGCTGTGCATGACTCCCAGGCCCCTACCCTGTCCTGCAGGATATGTGATGAGCAGAGGAAGGAGAGCAGGCTGGATCAGGAGGATTTGGGGTCCAGCCAGACTCAGACATGGGGAAGACGCTGGGGCTGATGGAGGAGGAAGAGAGGCAAGCAAGTTGGAGAGAGGACAGATGGACGCTCCCTTGGGAGCTCTTATTTCTCATTTCCAAGAGCCCCTGAGGATGAAGCCCCTCACCCACACCTGCGGGGTCCCTGGGTCCTCTTATGACAGGAGAGGAGGCTGCTCGGGCCTCGGTGGGATCTGACTGGGATGAGGCTGGAGTCCGCCCCAGACCTGCTCCTTTAGAGAGAAGCACCCCACTTGTGGGTGCACCTCACACCGCCCCTCCTGTGCTCACCTGAAGGCCTCTGTGCTCAGGGAACCCCTGAGAGTAAGGAGGGGCCACGCACCTGCTCCCTGGATGAGTTAGGGAGTTATTCACAGCGCGGCTTGTGTGTCATTCATTTCTACCCTGCCTTTTCTGTGCACACTTGTCTATTGTTACTCTCTGTTCTTCTGAAACATTTAAAGCAATACATGAATATATAAACTTATCATTTTAATTTGGGACATGATTTCATTTATATATTTGCTTTAGAAAATAGTTTCTTATTTATGTTAAGTTTTCCTATCCTAAACTTTTAAAATTGAGGTTTATTGATGAACTTAAGAAGTGTCTTGAAATTTTATTTATAAGAATTTTATATATTTATTTCAATTTAAACAATTATTCAATCACTTGAATAATCTGTAAATGAGGTCTTTGATTCCTTATAAATAAAAGCTAGGTATACATGATACAGTAATTGGTTTGAGTTCATTTACTTTATTTTATACCAACTTACTACAGAATTTCTTAATTCCAATTATTTTCAATTGATCCCCTCTAATTTACTAATAAAATGTACATAACTCACACAAAAGTTGAAATTTCACTTTATTTCTAAATTGCATTCCAATTGCTGTCTCCCAGGCTGGAGTGCAGTGGCGTGATCTCGGCTCACTGCAAGCTCCACCTCCCAGGTTCACGCCATTCTCCTGCCTCAGCCTCCCGAGTAGCTGGGACTACAGGTGCCCGCCACCACGCCTGGCTAATTTTTTGTGTTTTCAGTAGAGACAGGGTTTCACCATGTTAGCCAGGATGGTCTCGATCTCCTGACCTTGTGATCCACCCGCCTCAGCCTCCCAAAGTGCTGGAATTACAGGCGTGAGCCACCGCGCCGGGCGGATTATTCTCTAGTTCTTTTAGTTGTGATGTTAGGTTGTTAATTTGAGATCACCCATCACCACACCTGGCTAATTCTTTTGTATTTTTAGCAGAGACGGGGTTTCACCATGTTGGCCAAGCTGGTCTTGAACTCCTGACCTCGTAATCCACCTGCCTCAGCCTCCCAAAGTGCTGGGATTAGAGGCGTGAGCCACTGCAACTGGCCTATATGTCTATTTTTATACCAGTGTCATGCTCTTTTGGTTACTATAGCCTTGTAAACTTTGAGTCAGTTAATGTGATGTCTCTAGCTTTGCTCTTTTTGCTTAGGATTGCTATGGCTGTTTGGGCTCTTTTTTTGGCTCAATATAACTTTTAAGGTTTCTTTTTCTAAGTCTGTGAAAAATGAAGGTATTTTTGTAAGGACTGCATTAAATCTGTAGATTGCTTTGGGCAATGTGGTCATTTTAATCATAGTAATTATTCTGATTTATGAGAATGGGATGTTTTTCCATCTGTTTGTGTCTTCTACAATTTCTTTCATCACTGGTTTGAAGTTTTCCTTGTAGAAATCTTTCACCTCCTTGGTTAAATATATTCCCAGGTGTTTTATTTTTGTGCACCCACTGTCCATGGGATTGCCTCCTTGACTTGGTTCTCAGCTTCGTCATTATTGGAGTACAGAAATGCTACTGATTTCTGTACTTTGATTCTATATCCTGAAACTTTACTGCATTTCTTTATCAAATCTAAGAGTGTTTTGGCTGAGTCTTTAGGGTTTTTGAGGTATAAGATAATATCATCAGCGAACAGAAATAATTTCACTTTTTTTTTTTCCAATTTAGATGTGTTTTATTTCTTTGTCTTGCCTGATTGCTCTGGCAAGGACCTCCAGTACTACGTTGAAGAGTGGTGACAGTGCACATCTTTGTCATGCTCCAGTTCTTAGGGGGAATGCTTTCTATTTTTCCCTGTTTGCGATATTGGCTGGGATTTCGTCACCTATCGCCTTTAGTATTTTGAGGTATGTCCCTCTGTACCTTGTTTGTTGGGAATTTTTATCATGAAGGGATGCAGGATTTTATCAAATGCTTTTTCTGCACCTCTGTGACATAATCATAGAGACTGAAACCAGAATCCTCTCATGTCCCAACCCCTCATGTCTTAATCTAGTCTAGACATTAACCGTGATTGAGCCTCTCCCATGACCCAAGCACGGCTGACCCCCACATCCGCTGTGATGAGTGAGGTTCATGACAACAGGCTCCACACAGGGAAACTGAGGCTCAGAGATGAGACATTACTGCCCAAGATCACACAAGCCGTAGATAATAATCGGGAATTACATAGAAATCAACTCCCCACCAGCCGGGCGCAGTGGCTCACGCCTGTAATCCCAGCACTTTGGGAGGCCGAGGTAGGCGGATCATGAGGTCAGGAGATCGAGACCATCCTGGCTAACATGGTGAAACCCTGTCTCTAATAAAAATACAAAAAAATTAGCCGGGCGTGGTGGCGGACGCCTGTAGTCCCAGCTACTCGGGAGGCTGAGGCAGGAGAATGGTATGAACCCGGGAGGTGGAGCTTGCAGTGAGCCGAGATAGCGCCATTGCACTCCAGCCTGGGCGACAGAGCGAGACTCGGTCTCAAAAAAAAAAAAAAGGAAAGAAAGAAAGAAAGAAAGAAAGAAATCAACTCCCCACTCAGCAAACCAGAGCCCAAACCTAAGTAATGTACCCACAAAAATTAAAAAATAAATAGATACATAAGAATGAAAATTTTAAAACAAAGCCTAAGTAATTACTCCAAAAATGTTGAACATGGATTGAGGTATAGAGGGAAGCCCAAAGAAACAGAAGGCACAGTGGAGGCAGAAAAGATTCAGAGGTTTGTTACTGGAGGTGGGGTGGAGGTGGACGCTGTTGCAAAAAAAAAAAAAAAAAAAAATTAAGGGAAGTACAAGAAAGAGAGTACTATTGGTTAGAAAGAAAACACTCCAGGGCCACTAAAGGGTCATGATTTCCTCCCCTATTTCCCTGCATTTCTCCTCTGTGCTCATTGCCACATGCAGCTCAGCCTGGGCTACACAGCCAGGTGTCAGATGTGTCTCTGCTGATCTGAGTCTGCCTGTGGCATGGACCTGCATCTTCCCTGAAGCATCTCCAGGGCTGAAAAATCACTGACCATGGTAAGGACCCCGCAACGCTGAGCTCATGGACGGGCTGAAGGAGGGAGGGAGACCCCATGGGGAGGCTCTGAGAGGGAGGAGGTCACCCTCGCCTGAAAGGGGCTGACTCGGGAAGGCACCGGGTCTATTTGCTGCTGTGTCCCGGCTCTCAGTGAGATAAAGATAAATCAGGCAGACAGTGGCCCGGGGAAGGGAGACCCCACTTCTGTCTGAAATGTCTGCAGAGAGCCTGGTGCCTGTAGTCTCAACTACTTCACTTCAGCCCTGGGGAAATGAGAGCCAGGCTCCTGGGGAGAGCAGTTCCCCTTTCTGTGGGCTGAGAATGAGAAAATCCTATGACAAGAAGGACCCAGCCTCCGAGCTGCCACACCCTGTGTGTCTCTCTGTCCTGCCAGGCACCATGGTCTCATCCATCTGCACAGCTGCAGCCAGTGGGAGGAGACGCCGTGAGCCCTGCCCTCATGGTTCTGCTCTGCCTCGGTGAGATTGGAAGCCTCAGGGAAGGGGCACCCTAGTCTGGGAGGGACCCCACCCCATAACGAGGCCCTTGTCTATCAGGAAACTCCAGGGTTTTAGGAGGTTCCCAGGCAGGGGAGGACCTGCTCAGGCTTCAGAGGCAAATCTCTCACAGGGAACTCTCTTCCAGGGCTGAGTCTGGGCCCCAGGACCCACGTGCAGGCAGGTGAGTCTGTCCCCAGCTGTCCCAGGTCCCTCCTCCTCAATGGGGACAAAGGGCCACCCATGGGCAGCTGGAGGTGAAGACCGCAGTTCTGGGTGATTGATGGGGACGTCTGGAGGGTCCTGGGGCTGAGAGCTGGGATCTGAGGGGTGGGGAGGTCTTGGAGCCCAGACTCTGATTTCCTTCCAGGGAACCTCTCCAAAGCCACCCTCTGGGCTGAGCCAGGCTCTGTGATCAGCCGGGGGAACTCTGTGACCATCCGGTGTCAGGGGACCCTGGAGGCCCAGGAATACCGTCTGGTTAAAGAGGGAAGCCCAGAACCCTGGGACACACAGAACCCACTGGAGCCCAAGAACAAGGCCAGATTCTCCATCCCATCCATGACAGAGCACCATGCAGGGAGATACCGCTGTTACTACTACAGCCCTGCAGGCTGGTCAGAGCCCAGCGACCCCCTGGAGCTGGTGGTGACAGGTGAGAGGACACTCTGGGGTCCCAGCTCCAGGCTCTGCCCTCAGGAAGGGGGTCGGCTCTCAGGGGTGTCTCCCTTTCACAGCCCAGCCCTGGGGATGATGTGGGAGGTGGGAGCCCCATTTAACACGGTGCCTCCTTCTCTCCTAGGATTCTACAACAAACCCACCCTCTCAGCCCTGCCCAGTCCTGTGGTGACCTCAGGAGAGAACGTGACCCTCCAGTGTGGCTCACGGCTGAGATTCGACAGGTTCATTCTGACTGAGGAAGGAGACCACAAGCTCTCCTGGACCTTGGACTCACAGCTGACCCCCAGTGGGCAGTTCCAGGCCCTGTTCCCTGTGGGCCCTGTGACCCCCAGCCACAGGTGGATGCTCAGATGCTATGGCTCTCGCAGGCATATCCTGCAGGTATGGTCAGAACCCAGTGACCTCCTGGAGATTCCGGTCTCAGGTGAGGAAGCCACAGTCTTCTCTAGTACAATTCAGGGAAGCCAGACAGGTTGTGGAGAGCTTTACAGGCAGGGCAGCCCCTGCTAAGAAAGACAAAAAGGGGAAGGAGAACACAGAAATCCTAGGGACACAAATTCAGGGTGAGGAAAACAAAGCAAGGGCTGGGCACAGTGGCTCACACGTGTAATCTCAGCACTTTGGGAGGCCGAGGCAGGTGGATCACCTGATGTCAGGAGTTCAAGACCAGCCTGGCCAACATGGTGAAACCCCATTTCTACTAAAAATACAAAAATTAGCTGGGCGTGGCGGCACACACCTGTAATCCCAGCTACTTGGGAGGCTGAGGCAGGAGAATCGCTCGAACCCGGGAGGCGGAGGTTGCAGTGAGCCGAGACTGTGTCATTGCACTCCAGCCTGGGTGACAGAGCGAGACTCTGTCTCAAAAAAAAAAAAAAGAAAAAGAAAAACAGAGCAAGGGAGACTCCAGAAGGAGGTTTATAGGAGGAACCAGCCCCTGCAGTCCCGGCTCCTTTATCCTTCCAGGTGTGTCTAGAAAGCCCTCCCTCCTGACCCCGCAGGGCCCTGTTGTGGTCCCTGGAGAGAACCTGACCCTCCAGTATCACTCTGATGTTGGCTATGACAGGTTTGCTCTCTACAAGGAGGACAGACGTGACCTCCTCCACTGGCCGGCAGCCCCAGGCTGGGCTCTCCCAGGCTGACTTCCCCCTGAGCTTGGAAGTGACCCCCAAAGCCCCCTCATTTCTGACCTTGTGGGGCATCTGAGATGTGGCTCATCCTAGACCTAGAAAAGCAGCTCCCATCACTCACCCTAAGACCTGGTCTGCTCTTGCCAATAGCTATGCCTTGCAAGGGTTAGAAAGCCAAGAGGGGCAGCTGCAGGTACATGTAATCATATCCATCAGTGCTGGGGTCTGAGGTTCGTGAGACGAAGCCACAATATTATGAGAAAGCAAAGATGTGTAAAAACCCCACTGTTTAGAATCTCCTCTCTCTCACATGTCACACGAAGCGTTTCAGATTTTCTACTAAAAACCATGCAGCTTTACAAGACTCCCAGGCCCCTACCCTATCCTGCGGGATGAGTGATGAGTAGAGGAAGGAGAACAGACCTGGTCAGCAGGATTTGGGGTCCAGGCCTGACTTGGAACATGGGGAAGATGCTGGGGCTGATGGAGGAGGAAGAGAGGCAGGCGAGTTGGAGAGAGGACAGACGGATGCTCCCTTGGCAGCTCTCACTTCTCATTTCCAAGAGCCCCTGAGGATGGAGCCCCTCACCCACACCTGCGGGGTCCCTGAGCCCACTCAGGACAGGGGAGGAGGCTGCTCAGGCCTCGGTGGGATCTGACGGTGATGAGGCTGGAGTCCACGCCAGACCTGCTCCTTTAGAGAGAAGCGCCCCAGCTGTGGGTACCACTCACACCGCCCCTCCTGTGCTCACCTGGAGGCCTCTGTGCTCAGGGCACCCCTGAGACAAAGGAGGGGCCGCGCACCTGCTCCCTGGAGGAAGTTAGGAACTTATTCACAGCACGTCTTGTCTGCTGTTCATTGCTGCTCTGCATTTTCTGGGCATACTTGTTTATTTTTTCTCTCTTCTTCTGAATCTTTTAAAACAATATTTGAATATTTAAATTTGTCTCTTTAAGATATATGGATTTATGATTTAAAAACAAGTAATTCCACTCCCATTGTCCTGGGGGCATAATTCAATATTTACATTTGCTGTATAAAATTAGTTGTTAATAGCAAGTATTTCTATTATTAATATATAAAATTGAAGTTTATTAATGAAGTTAATAAGTGTTTTCAAGTTCCGTTCATAAGAATGTGTACATTTAGTCTAATTTAAAAAATTCTTCAACTACTTTAATTATTCTTAAGTGAAGTATTTGATTCATGTATATTTCTTTTGTTTGTTTGTTTGTTTTTGTTTTTGAGATGGAGTCTTGCTCTGTCGCCCAGCCTGGAGTGCAGTGGCGCGATCTCGGCTCACTGCAAGCTCCACCTCCTGGGTTCACGCCATTGTCCTGCCTCAGCCTCCCGAGTAGCTGGGACTACAGGCACCCACCACCATGCCGGGCTAATTTTTTTGTATTTTTAGTAGAGATGGGGTTTCACTGTGTTAGCCAGGATGGTCTCGATCTCCTGACCTCGTGATCCACCCACCTAGGCCTCCCAAAGTGCTGGGATTACAGGCGTGAGCCACCATGCCCAGCCTGATTCATTTATATTTCTAAGTAAGATATACACATGAGAAAGCTTTTAGTTTGAGTATATTCATTTAATTTCATTTTAGCTTGCTATAACATTTTTCCCTTTCAATTATCTTTCAACTGATCTCCCCAAATTTACTGATAAAATTTATATTAACTATAAGAAAATTGAAATTTTATTTTTTATTTCTAAACCGCATATCAATTTTTGTCACTTCAAGTATTAATATGCATGTAACTGCATCTTAAATAAATATCTAAAGTTTTACATATATACATATTTATGTATGGTTATATAAGTTACATCTGAATATAAGTGTAGGTATATCTGCATATATTTTTTATACGTATATCTACATGCTTAATGTATTTGACATGGAGGGCTTTTACATGTTTGTTATTGGTCTTCTCACCTAGACTCACACTTTATAAAAGCAGAAATTTTTGTTTGTTTGTTTGAGATGGAGTCTCTTGCCCTGTTGCCCAAGCTGGAGTGCAATGGCATGACCTGGGCTCACTGCAACCTCTGCCTCCCAGGTTCAAGCGATTCTCCTGTCTCAGCCTCCCAAGTAGCTGGGATTACAGGCAGGTGCCACCATGCCCGGCTCATTTTTTTATTTTTAGTAGAGACGGGGTTTCACCATGTTGGCCAGGCTGGTCTCGAACTCCTAACCTCGTGATCTGCCCGCCTTGGCCTCCCAAAGTGCTGGGATTACAGGCATGAGCCACCACGCCTGGCCCTAAAAGCAGAAATTGTTTTATGAGCCTCTGTAACACCATATATATATATATATATATATATATATATATATATATATATATACACACACACACACACACACACACACACACACATTTATATACATACGTATATATATATGACTGACTATATGAATAGTTAGCTGACTAGAGACTTATTGTATGATGAAACACCAGGTGAGGTGGTTGAGGTGGCGTCAAGGGGAGGCAGCTGTTTGTGATTCTGACATTCAGGAGCCCCTGAGGACCAACCCGTCATCCATGGAGCCTGGGTCCTCAGCTGGTGGATCCGTGAAACTCTCATCTCTGGGGGAATTGGCTTATGTGCTCCTGTGTCCCAGGCTGCACAGAGAGCACAAAGGGCTCAGTGACTTCTGGGGGCCACTTTCCTTGCAGATCCTGAGCTTTCACGGTGCAGGAAAGCTCTTTCCCAAATGACTCAGGAGCAAAGTTTAAATTCAAAGAACAAAGGAAAGCTGAAATAATTCAGTGAGGAGACTGGAGGGAACCCTGCTCCAGCAGAGGGAGGGTTTATGGAGGAACTCCATAAAAGTCATGTTGAGAGGCACAGGGAACTAGGAGAATGCAGAGCTCAGGGGAGAGGCTGGGCTCAGATTGCTTCAAGAACTTCTCCTTCCCCTTCCCCTGTTTTGATTTTCAGGAGCAGCTGATAACCTCAGTCCGTCACAAAACAAGTCTGACTCTGGGACTGGTGAGTGAGGAGATGCTCTCAGTTATGGAACTGGCACAGAGGGTCAGGTCCTGTCAAGATGATATGGGTGCCCTGGGGAGACATCCAGGGGTCCTGGGTGATACTGATCTGCCCTGACCTCTGTGACCTCTTTGTCCACCATCCCCAGCCTCACACCTTCAGGATTACGCAGTAGAGAATCTCATCCGCATGGGCATGGCCGGCTTGATCCTGGTGGTCCTTGGGATTCTGATATTTCAGGATTGGCACAGCCAGAGAAGCCCCCAAGCTGCAGCTGGAAGGTGAACAGAAGAGAGAACAATGCACCATTGAATGCTGGAGCCTTGGAAGCGAATCTGATGGTCCTAGGAGGTTCGGGAAGACCATCTGAGGCCTATGCCATCTGGACTGTCTGCTGGCAATTTCTTTTTTTCTTTCTTTTCTTTTCTTTCTTTTTTTTTTTTTTTTTTTTTTTTTTGAGATGGAGTCTTGCTCTGTCACCAGGCTGGAATGCAGTGGCGCAATCTGGGCTCACTGCAACCTCCGCCTCTCGGGTTCAAGTGATTCTCCTGCCTCAGCCTCTGGCAATTTCTAGAGGGAGGAATGGGTGTTTGAGTGCAGAGACACTGGTCTGGGGTGATCCATGGAGGACCATTAAAATGTGACACCTTTCCTTTCTATTAATGTTGACTTCCCTTGGTTGGATTCCCTTCTCTTCCCAGCCCGAGACATGAGGCTACATCCCACATGGCAGGCAGCGTTGGGTCCACATCTCTGCACACCTGCATGCTCTGGTCCTTGGCGTGTCACACAGTCCACTTCAATTCTCATTATCACACTCCCTGTGTGCTTTACTGAGCCTCCATCTCTTCAGTTCAGAGTTCCACACCTGAACCAGTAACTAAATCCATGGGAGAAGATCAGATGCCCTCCAGGAAAAGATAAATCCAAAATGGCGTCCTAACCTCCTGTCTGTAGCCTTCAAGCCCCATTCGCTCTTTTTTTTTTTTTGAGACGGAGTCTCGCTTTGTCACCCAGGCTGGAGTGTAGTGGCACTATGTCGGCTCACTGCAACCTCCACCTCCCGAGTTCAAGCAATTCTTCTTCCTCAGCCTCCCAAGTAGCTGGGACTACAGGCGCATGCCACCATGCCAAGCTAATTTTTGTATTTTTAGTAGTGACAGGGTTTCACCATGTTGGCCAGGATAGTCTCGATCTCCTGACCTCGTGATCTGCCCGCCACAGCCTCCCAAAGTGCTGGGATTAAAGGTGTGAGCCACCGCACCTGGCCTGTAGTGACTGGGTTTCACCATGTTGGCCAGGATAGTCTCGATCTCCTGACCTCGTGATCTGCCCACCTCGGCCTCCCAAAGTGCTGGGATTACAGGGGTGAGCCACTGCGCCTGGCCTAGCCCCCTGTCTTGATTATATGCTCAGGGTCCTGGGACCAGGGTCATCCCTGGGTTGAGGGTCCAGGGAGAGGGTCCTAGAGTAGAGGATGCGATGAGGCAGTGGTCCAAGGAGAGCAACTTAGAAAAGGAGAGTGAGAGGCCTGGAGATTACAAAGACCCACACCAAGAGTCTAACAGGAGCTGAGAGAGAGGAGGCCAGTCCCTCAGTTCGGGGTCCAGGACATGTGGGAAGGGGCTGCTTTGTACACACTGCAACCTTCATATTTCCTAGAAATGTACAAGAAACCCTCCATTTGTCTGAGCCAGGGCCCTTAGTGTCCTCGGGAGAGAACTTGACCTTGCAGTGCTACTCAGAGATCTGGTTGGGTACCTTCTGTCTGTCCAAGGACCGGTCACTTGTGCCTCCCCAAAACCATCGATTGAAAGACATGGCCTTACTCTCTCAGGCCAAGTTTACTCCAAGCCCTCTGACTTCAGCCCACAGGGGGACCTACTAGTGCTGTGGTCCACATAGTTCCTCCTTACCCCTATTGTCACACCCCAGTGACCCCTAAAGATTTTGGTCTCAGTACAGGAGCTCCAAGCACCACATCCGTTAAGATTCTAAACCTTAGCATGCATCCCTGTGCTAGGAGAGCCCCGGCCTGGGATAGAAGGAAGGAAAAACAGCAGGGACCAGTCATAGGGCAATCCCATCTCAGAAAGGGATGAAGAAATTCATGAAAGTGGGGGTCATTCTCACTCTCCATGCCTTACCCTACTCGGGGGTCACAGAAGGTGCTGGGTGAGTGGAATGAGAAGATTTGAAAAGGTAGGGGGCCAACCTTTGAGCAAAAGAGATGAAGCTGAGGAACAGAGCAAGAGGCACCACAACCCCACCTACTCCTTCTGTCCCTGCCCCAAACAGTCTGTGGGATCTGCAGCTCCTCACCCTCATGGACTCACTTCATGTTGGCTGAGCAACAAGGTCCTCACAGACTACAGGAGTCACAGTCTCCGGCAGCTCTGGGCTGAGTTTCTCAGCTTATTCTTCTGCCCTTGAAGTCTTTACAGAAGAGGTTGTTTCCAGAGAGCCTGGGAAGGAAGGTAGAGATGAAGGGAGGGAGCCTTATTTTCCAAGCAGCATTGAGGTATTTTGTTCCTGCTGGGTGGTCAGTATGAGGTGAAATGTGTAAAGAAAAAGATGAGCATAAGGATAGGAAAAATAGACACTGTGGATTACTAGAGGGTGGAAGAGGGTTAAAAACTACTTATTGGGTATTATGCTCACTAGTTGGGGGATGTGATCCGTACTCCAAACCTCAGCATCAAGCAATATTCCCATGTAAGAAATTTGTACTTGTACTCCCTGTGTCTGAAATAAAAGTTGGAAGGAAGGAAGAGAAAGAAAGAAAGAAAGAAAGAAAGAAGGGAAGAAGGAGAGAAAGAAAGAGAAAGAAAGAAAGAAAAGAAGAGGAGAGAGAGAAAAGAAAGAAAAAGAGAGAAAGAGAGAAAAGAAAGAAAGAAAGAAAGAAAGAAAGAAAGAAAGAAAGAAAGAAAGAAAGAAAGAAAGAAAGAAAGAAAGAAAGAAAGAAAACGAACAAGAGGTCCAGCTGAAGTGGAGAGAGGAGTGGACCCTATTCCTTGCCCCTGTCCATGGTGCTGATTCCTAGGGATTGCAAAGATGCCCCAGGCACCTGTGGAATCAGGTCCGCAATCAGAAGAGCAGACTAAAAGGTCCCTCTTATTCTGTAGGACAAGTGGGTGGGTAAGCTCTTATTGTGAAGGACAAGTGGGTGGGTAATTCACAGAAAGTCATAGCTTGAAGTGGAGATGGCTCAGCCACTCTAAGATAGACGCCTTTAGCAAACTCTATCTAAATCTGGGATAGTACTCTTCCATCCATCAAAGGCAGAATGCCATCCTTGTTTCCAAAAGGTATCTCAGTTCTAAACTTCTGTACCAGTAACTTCCTGGGAAAGAACGTATCAGAATTCACTTTTTCTGTGACTCCTGTCTACTCTGGACATATTTTATCTCTACCATTAACTGTTTTCATCCTGTGGAGGTAGGAATAAAAGCAAGATAGCAGTTTTCTGATTAGATTTCCATAATCATCAGGTTGTCACCCTGGCAGGAGAAACCACAACACTGAGTACTTGAAAGATAACCTCTCCTGGGTTTGAAACTTCCTGTACAGTGGCGTGATCTCTGCTCACTGCAACTTCCGCCTCCCAGGCTCAAGCAATTCTCCTGCCTCAGCCTCTTGAGTAGCTGGGATTACAGGCATGCACCACCATTTCCGGCTAATTTTGTATTTTTAGTAGAGACAGGGTTTCACCATGTTGGTCAGGCTGGTCTTGAACTCCTGACCTCAAGTGATCCACCCACCTCGACCTCCCAAAGTGCTGGGATTACAGGTGTGAGCCACTGCACCCGGCCACATATCTCCTTATTCTAGTTATTCTCAGAGAGTATTCTGTATATGTATATTTCTCTCCATCCAATGATTTGAGATTCATGGTTTTATTGTAGATAGGTTTTTTTCTCATTTTATGTCTTTATTGATTTTTACTTAATTTATTGCACATCTGTGAATACAGATCTATGTTACTTCACAGCACTTATTAAATTTCCTCATAATCAAATAAGTCTTGTCCACACTAGGAAACTTTCTGCATATTTGTTGAATACTTCAATCAGCTGATCCTATATTGAATAATATTATTTTTCTGGATCTTCATATAATGACCACTTTCTCATTTTTTCATTTTTCCAAACCTGTCACATCCTCAAAGACATTTTCCATGACAAAGTGGGTTAAGTGATTCTTGCCCACCTGTATTCTCTAATAGTCCTTGTATTAGGTTGACACACATTCGAGATCTCTAGGTAGCTTAATTTTTTTGTCCATGTATCCATCTGCACATGTTGTTTTCTAATTTATCTCCTTAAAATTTTTTGCTTTTTTCTCATGAGTTTCTACATTGAATTAACAATGGGAGATTTTGTTCACTGTAGTATTTCTTGCTCCTGGAAAAGAGGCTTGGATGCGGCCCGGCATGGTGGCTCACACCTGTAATCCTAGTACTTTGGGAGGCCGAGGTGGGTGGATCACCTGAGGTCAAGAGTTCGAGACCAGCCTGACCAACATAGAGAAACACTGTCTCTACTAAAAATACAAAATTAGCCAGGTGTCGTTGTGCATGCCTGTAATCCCAGCTACTCAGGAGGCTGAGGGAGGAGAATCGCTTGAATTGGAGGCAGAGGTTGCGGTGAGCCGAGATTGCACCATTGCACTCCAGCCTGGACAACAAGAGCAAAACTCTGTCTCAAAAAAAAAAAAAAGGCTTGGATTCTAAAATCATTCTCTCATTCGTCGCAAAACAGGACAGATGAGTGGACCCAATCATTAAAAGTGAGGCAGTGATTATTACTTTTAATAGTAGTAGTATTAAGCTACACTGGACCACAGAGATAATTAGATGAGGCAGAACAATAGAAAAGGCAGTGACAGCCTTTAGCTCTGTTGTACCCTGGACTCTGGTACAATCTAGAGTCCCACATACGCATCTCTGAATTCTGTATTGACAGATGAAGAGTTACTAGAGGTATTTACCTTAAGTGGTTAAGCACGGGTTTACCTAATATGGGAACAAATTGAAGATGAGAAAGGAGCACAGTTAAGTATTCCTGTATCTTTGAATTCCTTTTTTCTGTCACTGAGTTGTGGTTGCAAATCTAAACTCTTAATATCCCCCAAACCGAGAGGTTGGTGGTGACCTCAATGAGGCCCAAGAACTTGAACAAATTTGAGGAAGGAAATCATACAGTGCTCCATCTGAGGTGGAAGTTGAGGTTAGCAAGGATGGTTACACAATTCTCCATGAGAAGGGAAGAGAGGTCCAGGCGCGGTGGCCCCAGCACTTTGGGAGTCCAAGGCAGGTGGATCATCTGAGGTCAGGAGTTCGAGACCAGCTTGACCAACAAGGTGAAACACTGTCTCTACTAAAAATACAAAAATTAGCCAGGCATGGTGGCAGGCCCCTGTAGTCCCAACTACTCTGGAGGCTGAGACAGAAGAATTGCTTGAACCTGGGAGGCAGATGTTGCAGTGAGCTGAGATTGCACCACTGCACTCCAGCCTGGGCAATGGAGCAAGACTCCATCTCAAAAAAAAAAAAAAAGAGGGAAGAGAGTTGTTATGAAGGAGCCAAGACAGGGGAGCAGGAGTAGAATGGCCCCAGCTGCTCTAATCCTCCCATGCTCTTATTCGTAGGAGTCCTTGATCCTCTCAACCAGCATCCACCAAGTATAGTTTCAAAGTCAGGAGTAACTACGACTTCCCTTTCAGGAGTGTGAATGTGTAAACACCCATCCAGGCTCCCAATGTGGGTGCAGCCTGTCTAGCCCCCAGTGAATGCCCTGTTCTGTCTACTGACCATGCCCCTTCAGACTATGCAATGGAGAATCTCATTCCAATGACCATGCTGGCTTGATCCTGGCGGTCTCTAGGGGATGATCTTTCAGGCTCAGCACAGCCAGAGAAGGCCCCCAAAGGCCGCCAACATGGAAAGTCAAGATGATTTTGGATTGACTCTTCAGTTTGGAGAACTTTGAAAAATCTGCATCAGAAAAGCTGTGCTGGCCCTAGAAGAATCTGGGAGAGCTGGAGGCACGTGCTGTGTGAACGCTGTGCTGAAGGATTGAAGATGACTACTATTTCTTTTAGGTGAAGGATATGCAAGAAGAAGTTAACCTAACAGTGATGAGGATGCTAACTTTAGAAGGACTTGTTTGTGAGCTTGATTCTTGGTTGGCATCTAGGAACTTGCTTCTAGCATGTCCCCTGTGTTACTAAGAGACAACGTGAGGTTGTGTGCCTGCGGCACTGAATTCTGCTGTTATGTCTTCACTAGGCTGTTTCTGTAAACAGTGTAATTCATGGCGAACACCCGGTTTCCTCTGGTTTCTCTGTAGCTGCTCATTATGCCTATGTGGTCCCCACCTAATAACAATCTTGAACATTGAGTCTCAAGCAGATTTGCCTGGGGCCAACACTGCACATGTGTTGCTGCATTTTATGCTGGTGGAATGAACAAGTTAAGACACAGGTTTGCACAACTTATAACCAACATCATTTTTCTTTTATTTTCTTTCTTATTTCCATAGGTTTTTGGGGAACGTGGTGTTTGGTTACTTGCAGAAGTTCTTTAGTGATGATTTCTGAGATTTTTGTGCACCCATCACCCTAGTAGTATACATTAAACCCGATTTATAGTCTTTTATCCCTCACCTCCTCCCTCCCTTTCCCCCGAGTCCCCAAAGTCCATTGTAGCATTCTTATGCCTTTGCATCCTCATAGCTTAGCTCCCACTTAGGAATGAGAACATAAAATATTTGGTTTTTCATTCCTGAATTTCTTCACTTAGAATAATAGTCTCCAATTTCATCCAGGTCACTATGAATGCCATTATTTTGTTCCCTCTTATGGCTGAGTAGTATTCCACAGTGTATATATATTTGTGTGTGTGCGTGTATACATATATATATGTATATATGTGTGTGTATATATGTATATATGCGTATATATGTGTGTATATGTATATATATGTGTATATGTATAGATGTATATATGTGTGTGTGTATGTGTGTATATATATATGACAATTGCTTTATCCGCTTGTATAATCAACATTATTTTTCTCAAATGTATTTTGGCAAATAAAATATTTTCCAAAAAGTGAAAAAAAAGTTACTCTTATATAACGATGGCCTAAGATACCACCTACTGATGAAAGTGAGGTGGCAATTTTGGATTAACGGGCATCACAGGCAACTACATAGATCCTCTCAGCAAACATACATGAGGAAAACCAAAACCAACCAGACAGCCAGAACCGGAATTAAAAACTAGTCCTTCGACTGGGCGTGGTTGCTCACGCCTGTAATCCTAGCACTTTGGGAGGGCGAGGCGGGCGGATTGCCTGAGCTCAGGAGTTCAAGACCAACCTGGGCAACATGGAGAAACCCCATCTCTACTAAAATACAAAAGAAATTAGCCAGGTGCGGTGGCATGCCCCTGTAGTCCCAGCTACTCAGGAAGCTGAGGCAGGAGAATTGCTTGAACCTGGGAGAAAGAGGTTGCAGTGAGCCAAGATCGTGCCACTGCACTCCAGCCTGGGTGACAGAGCAAGACTCCATCTCAAAAAAATAAATAAATAAATAACTAGTCCTTCATTGAAAGACCATGGACAAATGTCCAAAAGAAACAAGAGCAAACAGGGAATTATGACCACCTCAAATGGACAAAGCATGGAGCTAGGAACTGAGCCTAAAAAGATGGTGCTGTGTGAGCTCTTGGATGAAGAATTCAAAATAGCAGTTATGCAAAAACAACAACAACAAAAAAAACTAGGCAAACTCCATGATAACAAATAAAACCAATTTAGAAATGTATCAGATAAATTTGGCAAAGAAATTGAAATAGTTTCAAGAATTTAAACAGAAATACTAACGCTGAGAAACACATTGGCTGAACTGAAAATTTTATTACAAGCTCTCAAAAGCAGAATGGATCAAGCATCTACTCTTCCAAACATAGCATCCTCTCAGAAGTGTGCCTGATAAGAAAGGGTCCAACATGGGCTGGGCGCGTTGGCTCACGCCTGTAATCCCAGCACTTTGAGAGTCCAAGGCAGGCGGATCACCTGAGGTCGGGAGTTCAAGACCAGCCTTACCAACGTGGAGAAACCCCGTCTCTATAAAAAATACAAAAATTAGCTGGGTGTGGTGGCATGCGCCTGTAATCCCAATTACTTGGGAGGCTGAGGCAGGAGAATCACTTGAACCCAGGAGATGGTGGTTGCAGTGAGCCAAGATTGTGCCACTGCACTCCAGCCTGGGCAACAGAGTGAGACTCTGTCAAAAAAAAAAAAAAGGAAAGAAGAAAGAAAGAAAGAAAGAAAGAAAGGGGGGGGAGTGAGGGAGGGAGGGAGAGAAGGGAGGGAGGGAGGGAGGAAGGAAGGAAGGAAGGAAGGAAGGAAGGAAGGAAGGAAGGAAGAAGGAAGGAAGGATTTCTACTCATGACTGTGATAATCTGTGTATTTAAGCAATATTATATGTACAATTTCTTAGTGCTCAGGGTAGATGAGGATTCTTGGGTGGGAGCGTCAATTGTCCAACACCCTGATTTTCTCAAATTTACAACCCTATGTCTTACTCTGTCCTGGGAATTAACCATCATTGAGCTCCTTCGAAGTCCCAGTCACCGCCGACCCCCACGACCCCTCTGATGAGTGGGGTGTGTAACAACTTGCTCCACACAAGGAAACTGAGGCTCAGAGAAGGGGTTGTGAAGGCTCAAGGTCACATGGGCAGCAGATAATGAGCAATCATTAAGTAAAAATCAGCTCCCCATCCCAACAGGTGAGTTCCCCTCAGGGAAACAAAGGACACTGAAGACTCAGGAGTGGATCACAAGTCTGTTTCCAAGGAGACGAAGGTGGATACTGCTGCTAAGAGAAAGGGAAAGTCCATGGAGGGCACGGGTTGATAGAGCAAACTGGCAGTGTTGGATACAGGTCGTGTTCTCTACCCATATTTCCTGTGTTTCTCCATTGCGCTCATTGCCACAGTGCAGCTCAACTTGAACTACACAGCCTGATGTCAGATGCGTCTCTGCTGACCTGAGTCTGCCCTGCACCATGGACCTGCATTTTCCCTGAAGCATCTCCACGACGGATGAGATGACTGGCCATGGTAAGGACCCCACAACCCCGTGCTGATAGACAGGATGAAGGAGTAAAGGAGACCCCATGTGGAGGCTCTGAGAGGGGAAGAGAAGCCCTCAGTTACCCTCACCTGGAAGAGGCTCACTCAGGGAGGCCCTGGGCCCATTTTTCTACTACATCCTAGCCCTCAATAAGATGAGGAAAGATCCTGCAGCCAGTAGCCAAGGATCAGGGGGAGCCCATTTCTGTCTGAAATGTCTTCAGGAAACCTGGTGCTCACTCCCACCTCAGCCCTGGGGAAATGAGAGCCAGGCTTCTGCAGTTCCCCTTCCTGTGGGGCTGCTGATGGGACAACCCCATGACAGGGAGAACCCAGCCTTTGAGTGTGTCTGTCTGTCCTCCTGGACACCATGGTTTCATCCATCTGTACAGCTGGGGCCAGTGGGAGGAGATGCCGTGACTCCCACCCTCACAACCCTACTCTGACTTGGTGAGATTTCAAGAGGAGAAGGGGCACCCTAGTCTTGAAGGGACTTAACTCCAGAGCCAAGCCCTGGTCTATCAGGAAATCTCAGGGGTCAGGATGCTCCCAGGCAGGGGAGGACCTGCTCAGGCTTCAGGGGCAAATCTCTCACAGGGAACTCTCTTCCAGGGCTGAGTCTGAGCTTCAGGACCCATGTGCAGGCAGGTGAGTCTGTCCCCAGCAGTCCCAGGTCGCTCCTGCTCACTGGGGACAACGGGCCACCCCCAGCCACCTGGGGATGGAGAACAGCATCTCTGAGCTGACTGATGGGGACATCTGGGCGGGTCTTGGGACTGACAGCTGGGATTTGAGGAATGCATTAGTATCTTGGGACCCAACCTGTGATTTCATTTCAAGGCTCCTCACTAAACCCACCACCTGGACTGAGCCAGACTGTGTGATCCCTGGGAGGAGGCCTGTGACCACCTGGTGTCAGGGTACCCTGGAGCCCCAAGAGCACCAGCTGGATAAAGAGGGAAGCTCAGTGTCACAGAACATTAAGGAAACCACTGGGGCCTGGGAACAAGACCAGGACCCATATCTCACACAAGCCAGAGCACAATGCAGAGAACTGTCACTGTTATTATCAAAGTGCCACAGGCCGGTCAGGGCACAGTGACCCCCCTGGTGCTGGTGGTGACAGGTGAGAGGACACTCAAGGCGCCCAGCCGCAGGCTCTGTCCTCAGGAAGGGGGTCACTTGCGCCCTGACTTTACTGTCTTTTAGGGATGTCCCATAAAGGGGCAGAAGTGCTGAAGCTCTCAACCTCTGGGTGGCGTCTGCATATCGTGCAGAACCATCTGCAAACCAGGCTTGAGTCTTCACTTTCTCTGTCAACGGAGCATAGAGAAATCCCCATGAGATTATAGGTGCAGGCTGGAAGGCAGAAGGTTGTGTAGCAGGGACAGGAACCATGGGCATTTGGCCCCCTGCTTTGTGTAAATTGCTCACACTTTCAGGGCCTGAGTGGACATGATCTTATTATACAGCTTGCATCGGCTAACACACACTTCACATTTCATGGTACCTTGGTGACCTGTGCCCAAGCATCCAGTCTCTCCTAAGGCTCAATAATGGAAAAAAATATAATATTTTCCTTTTTTTTTTTTTTTGAGATGGAGTCTCACCCTTCTTGCACAGGCTAGAGTGCAGTGGCATGATCTCGGCTCACTGCAATCTCCGTCTCCTGGGTTCAAGCGACTCTCCTGCCTCAGCCTCCCAAGTAGCTGGGATTACAGGCAGGTGCCACCATGCCCGGCTAATTTTTTTATTTTTAGTGGAGACAGGGTTTCACCATGTTGGCCGGGCTGGTCTCGAACTCCTGACCTCAGGTGATCTGCCCACCTTGGTCTCCCAAAGTGCTGGGATTACAGGCATGAGCCACTGTGCCCGGCAAAAAAAAATATATGTTTTTCAAAAGGAGACTAGCTATCTGTGAATGATGATAGGATTTTGCTCCACAATCCTAAGTGTCTAAGCCCCAATTCACCTATAGGAAGGAGCTTGTCAAAACCTCCAAACAGCATCTCGATCTGCCACTGACACTTCAAGCACCATCTGTTCCACTGGATCATATGGCCCAGGTGGCAGAAGAGCTTGTGCAGGACCTGGATCTGTTGCAGAGCCTTCCCCTATTCCACACCCCACTCAAAACTTTTTTTTTTTTTTTGAGATGGAGTCTCACAGTGTTGTCCAGGCTGGAAT
This sequence comes from Homo sapiens, assembly GCF_000001405.40. Classification (NCBI taxonomy): domain Eukaryota; kingdom Metazoa; phylum Chordata; class Mammalia; order Primates; family Hominidae; genus Homo; species Homo sapiens. The sequence goes on along the minus strand of NT_187693.1, from coordinate 278,766 downwards.
GCAATGGGACAATCTCGGTTCACTGCAACCTCTGCCTCCCAGGTTCAAGCAGTTCTCCTGCCTCAGCCTCCTGAGTAGCTGGGATTACAGGCGCCCGCTACCATGCCTGGCTAATTTTTTGTATTTTTAGTAGAGACGGAGTTTTGCCATGTTGGTCAGACTGGTCTCAAACTCCTGACCTCATGATCCGCCCACCTCGGCCTCCCAAAGTGCTGGGATTACAGGCATGAGCCACTGCACCCGGCCTCCTTTTGAGTCACTTAGTAAATGGGCTAATGGAGCACACCCACATGAGAAATATGTTGCTTTCAAAATCCAAGAGGTAGGGCCAGGCACGGTGGCTCACGCCTGTAATCCTAGCACTTTGGGAGGCCGAGGTGGGCGGATCATGCAGTCAGGAGTTCGAGACCAGCCTGACCAACATGGTGAAACCTTGTCTCTACTAAAAATACAAAAATTAGCTGGGCGTGAGGGCGGGCACCTGTAATCCCAGCTACTAGAGAGGCTGAGGCAGGAGAATCGCTTGAAATCGGTTGCAGTGAGCCCAGATTGTGCCACTGCACTCCAGCCTGGGCAAAAAAAGCAAAATTCTGTCTCAGGAAAAAAAAAAAAAAAACCCAAGAGGCTTACTAGGTACCATGGTTCTTTTGGTTGTAGGAAGGGCCAGATGCAACAACTTACCTTTTGCTTTAGAAGTTACATCTCAACATTTTCCATATCAGTGGACTCAGAAATTGTGTTGAGGCGGAAGGCTCCAATATTTTTGTGGAATTTATTTCTCACCCTCTGTCATGCAAATGTGTTACTAATAAATTTGGAATAGGTGCTACTTCTTGCTTTCCTGGTCCAAATAGCATAATTTCTTTTTTTAACTTTATTTTATTTTTATTTTTGATATCTAATTTAATTTAATTTTATGTTCTGGGATACATGTGCAGGACCTGCAGGTTTGTTACATAAGTAAACAAACGTGTGCTGTGGTGGTTTGTTGCACCCATCAGCCCATCACCTAGGTATTAAACCCGGCACCCATTAGTTATTTATCCTGAGGCTCTTCCTCCCTTTTCCCCCCAACAGGCCCAAGTGTGTGTTGTTTCCATTCCTGTGTCCATGTGTTCTCATTGTTCAGCTCCCACTTATGAATGAGAACATGCAGTGTTTGGTTTTTGGTTCCTGTGTTTGTTTGCTGAGGATAATGGCTTCCAGCTCCATCCATGTCCCTGCAAAGGACATGATCTCATTCCTTTTTATGGCTGCATAGTATTCCATGGTGTATATGTACCACAGTATCTTTATCCAGTCTGTCATTGATGGGCATTCCAACCAGCATAATTTTATCAATGTAATGATTCAGTCTAACATTTTATGAAAGGAGATGATAATGATGATTATGGTGAGAACTAAACTATGGGATAGAACTAAACAGTTGGTATGTGCCTGAGGTAGGACAGTGAATGTATATTGCTGGCTGTGCCTGCTCAAGGAAAATGGTTTCTGGTGGTCTTTATTAGCAGTGCTGGATAAGAAAGCATGGTGGCTCACGCATGTAATCCCAGCACTTTGGGAGGCCAAGGCAGGAGGATCACTTGAGGTTAGGAGTTCGAGACCAGCCTGGTCAACATGATGAAACCCCACCTCTACTAAAAATACAAAAATTAGCCTGGCATGATGGTGGGTGCCTGTAATCCCAGCTACTTGGGAGGCTGAGATAGGAGAATTGCTTGAACCAGGGAGGCGGAGGTTGCAGTGAACCGAGATCACGCCATTGCACTCCAGCCTGGGCGACAGAGCGAGACTCCGTCTCAAAAAAAAAAAAAAAAAAAAATAGAAGAAGAAGAAGGAGAAGGAGAAGGTGAAGGAGAGGGAGAGGGAGAGGGAGAGGGAGAAGGAGAAGGAGAAGAAGGAGGAGGAGGAGGGTGTGGAGGAGGAGGAGGAGGAGGAGGGTGCCACTGCACTCCAGCCTGGGCAACAGAGTGAGACTGCATCTCAAAAAAAAAAAAAAAAAGAAAAGAAAGATAGATCTTCTAGACTCTTCCAATTTAGATGAGGCCGTCTTGAATGACAACTCCTCTCTAACATTTTAACCTTCCTAAACATTTGAATCTCTTTCTCCGTAGTAAACCAAGGCAGGTCTGGCATGTTGAGTCTAATCACTTTGGGCCACCTTTGGTGGAAACCTCCACCCTAATGACCCCTTGATGGTCCCAGGCACCTGTGGCGACTCACCTCTGGCCTCTGTTATTTAATGTGGATCCATCTACACTTGGAGACTTCCACGCCTCTTTTTCTGCTCATGATATTGATGTTCTGCATATTTCAGAAATACTTCACGTACATTTCTCCATTAGGGATCCCAGATATGAGATCTTGAGAGAACACATCAATCATCCAACGCTATGATCCTATCATATCCCAAACACTTCATGTGCTGACCTGGTCTGGAAATGAAGCACAGATGAGCCTCTCCCATGTGTCAGGAACCACTGACCCCACAACCACTGTGACCAGTGGGATTTGTGACAACAAGCTGCAAAGGAAGAAACTGAGGCTCAGAGATGGTTCATTACCGCCCGAGGTCACGTAGGCAGTGAATGATAACCAGTCTCTGAATAAATATCAGCTTCCTCCCCCACTCCCCAAATCAAAGCTCAAATATAAGTCATTGTTCCCAAAACGTTGAACAGGGATTAAGGTGCAGAGGGACGGCCAAGGATGCAATGGGCACCGAGGAGGCAGGAAAGACTCAGAGGTTTGTTCCCAGGGACGTCAGGGGTGGACGCTGTAGCCAAAAAAAAAGGGGGGGGAAGTAAAAAAAAAGGGGGGGATTACTATTGATTAGAAAGAAAACCTATAGTCCAGGGCCACAAAGAGGGTCATGACTTCCTCTCTTTATTCCCTGCATTTCTCCTCTGTTCTCACTGCCACACACAGCTCAGCCTGGGCTGCACAGCCAGGTGTCAGGTGCGTCTCTGCTGATCTGAGTCCACCCTGCAGCATGGACCTGCATCTTCCCTGAAGGATCTCCAGGGCTGGAGGGACGACTGCCATGGTAAGGACCCCACAACGCTGAACTGATGGATGGGCTGAAGGAGGGAGGGAGACCTTGAGGGAGGCTGTGAGAGGGAGGAGGTCGCCCTCACCTGAAAGGGGTGACTCAGGAAAGCATTGGTTCTTTTTCCTGCTGCATCCCAGGTCTTAGTGAGATGAAGACAAGGCAGACAGACAGTGGCTGGGGGTCAGGAAAGACCCCATTTCTGTCTGAAATGTCTATAGAGGAGTTGGGCCCACCCCCACCTCAGCCCTACAGGAAAGACAGCCAGGCTCCTGGGAGGGCAGTTCCACTTCCTGTGTGGCTGCAGATGACAAAACCCCATGAGAAGAAGGACCGAGCCTCCAAGTGTCCACACCCTGTGTGTCCTCTGTCCTGCCAGCACCGAGGGCTCATCCATCCACAGAGCAGTGCAGTGGGAGGAGACGCCATGACCCCCATCCTCACGGTCCTGATCTGTCTCGGTGAGATTTGAAGAGGGAGGGAGCTTCTAACCTAGGAGGGACCTCACCCCACAGCCAAACTCTTGTCCCTAAGGAGACCCCAGGGGCTCACAAAGATCCCAGGGAGGGGAGGACCTGCTCAGGCTTCAGGGGCAAATTCCTCATAGGGAACTCTCTTCCAGGGCTGAGCCTGGACCCCAGGACCCACGTGCAGGCAGGTGAGTCTGTCCCTAGCTGTCCCAAGTCCCTCCTCCTCACCGGGGACAAGGGGCCACCCCTGTGCAGCTGGGGATGGGGAATAGCAGTTCTGGGCTGACTGATGGGGGTGTCTGGAGGGTCCTGCAGCTGAGAGCTGAGATCTGTTGGGTGGGAAATGACTTAGAATCTGAACTCTGATTTCCTTCCAGGGCCCCTCCCCAAGCCCACCCTCTGGGCTGAGCCAGGCTCTGTGATCACCCAAGGGAGTCCTGTGACCCTCAGGTGTCAGGGGAGCCTGGAGACGCAGGAGTACCATCTATATAGAGAAAAGAAAACAGCACTCTGGATTACACGGATCCCACAGGAGCTTGTGAAGAAGGGCCAGTTCCCCATCCTATCCATCACCTGGGAACATGCAGGGCGGTATTGCTGTATCTATGGCAGCCACACTGCAGGCCTCTCAGAGAGCAGTGACCCCCTGGAGCTGGTGGTGACAGGTGAGCTGACACTCAGGGATCCCAGCCCCAGGCTCCGCCCTCAGGAAGGGGGTCAGCTCTCAGGGGCTTCTCCCTCTCACAGCCCAGCCCTGGGGATGACGCGGGAGGTCTGAGCCCCATTTAACACGGTGCCTCCTTCTCTCCTAGGAGCCTACAGCAAACCCACCCTCTCAGCTCTGCCCAGCCCTGTGGTGACCTCAGGAGGGAATGTGACCATCCAGTGTGACTCACAGGTGGCATTTGATGGCTTCATTCTGTGTAAGGAAGGAGAAGATGAACACCCACAATGCCTGAACTCCCATTCCCATGCCCGTGGGTCATCCCGGGCCATCTTCTCCGTGGGCCCCGTGAGCCCAAGTCGCAGGTGGTCGTACAGGTGCTATGGTTATGACTCGCGCGCTCCCTATGTGTGGTCTCTACCCAGTGATCTCCTGGGGCTCCTGGTCCCAGGTGAGAAATTCACAGCATTGCCTGGGGTTCCCTGAGTCTCCCTGAGTCTCCAGGCAGGTGGGGAGGAGCCGCGTCTCAGGGCAGCTCCAGGTGGGATGATGTTGGGGCGAGAGGGCTCAGGGCTCCTGGGGCCAGAGACACAGGAAGATCAGCAGTGGTGAGGCCCCGGGGGAGAGGGAAAGTTTGTGGGGAAGCCTGAGGGTCGGCTCCTGGAAACCATGAGCACCTTTTCCCAGGTGTTTCTAAGAAGCCATCACTCTCAGTGCAGCCGGGTCCTGTCGTGGCCCCTGGGGAGAAGCTGACCTTCCAGTGTGGCTCTGATGCCGGCTACGACAGATTTGTTCTGTACAAGGAGTGGGGACGTGACTTCCTCCAGCGCCCTGGCCGGCAGCCCCAGGCTGGGCTCTCCCAGGCCAACTTCACCCTGGGCCCTGTGAGCCGCTCCTACGGGGGCCAGTACACATGCTCCGGTGCATACAACCTCTCCTCCGAGTGGTCGGCCCCCAGCGACCCCCTGGACATCCTGATCACAGGTGAGGAGCCCAGCGGGTTCAGTCAGGGACCCAGGCTCCGCAAAGGCCCTGCTGGGGGAGCCCAGGTGGTGATGGCCGGGATGAGGGGTGGGGGTCCTAAGGGAGGGAGAGACAGACAGTGACAGGGGTGGGCGGGGAGGGGAGACTCAGAGAAAACAGAGACAGAGAGACTGAGGGTCCCAGGGAGAGGCCTGGGGAGGTCTCAGCTCAGAGCAAGGTGGGGCAGCCCCTCACCCATCCTTCTTCTCTCCAGGACAGATCCGTGCCAGACCCTTCCTCTCCGTGCGGCCGGGCCCCACAGTGGCCTCAGGAGAGAACGTGACCCTGCTGTGTCAGTCACAGGGAGGGATGCACACTTTCCTTTTGACCAAGGAGGGGGCAGCTGATTCCCCGCTGCGTCTAAAATCAAAGCGCCAATCTCATAAGTACCAGGCTGAATTCCCCATGAGTCCTGTGACCTCGGCCCACGCGGGGACCTACAGGTGCTACGGCTCACTCAGCTCCAACCCCTACCTGCTGACTCACCCCAGTGACCCCCTGGAGCTCGTGGTCTCAGGTGAGGGCCCTGACCCTGTCCTCTCTGAGCTCAAAGGCTCAGCTCAGGCCCTGCCCCCAGCAGAGCTCTGGGACAATAATGAATGAGGGGAGTGAAGGGGGAGGGTCTGCAGGGGAGGGTCCAGACCATGAGAGGGTGGAAATCGACAGGGACCTCTCACCCCTGGCTCCCACCCCTGAAGTCCCAGTAGAGTAAAGAGCAGGGAGGGCTGGGAGGAGATGGCGGGGCCGGGGGGTGAACCTCAGAGGAGAGGAGATTAGACTGAGAGTGGAAGACAGAGGCCCCACCCGCTCCCCTCCTGATGTCTCCACCTCAGAATCTGAGCCTCTGGGTCCCAACCTCTAAGTCCTGACCCCATGGGTCACAAAAAAAAACAGCCACTCCCAGCTCAAGAGAATTTTCTAGACTCATCTCAATGCTACCTCCAATATTCAGGGTCTGATTTCCAGGGAAGCAGAGGGGAGGGTGGACAGTAAGGGTGTGGTCTGCGTGGCTCCCTGGGGCTCCAGGGATGGGGCAGGTGTTCCCTCCGTAGTGTTCAGAGGGGAGGGAGGTGTCTAAGATTCAGCATTGATGAGTGGAGCAGCGGGGTCTTTCCCCCTCCCTCAGCAGGATTCCCAGGAGCCGTCACCTCTCATTGGAGAGCCAGGGTCAGGGGAGATCACAGTCAGGTACTTGGTCTAGGAGTCAGGTGGGAGGAGCCCGGGGAGGTGGGGCTGGGTCTGTGGTGGTTCAGCCTCTCCTTGGGAGGTGGAACTTCTGAAAGAGACCGTTCCCCTTGCACCCTGGACTCCCCATCTGAATAAGGGGGAGCTGCCTGGATGTGACCGCCCCAAAGCCCCTTCATTTCTGACCTTCTGGGGCATCTGGGATGTGGCTCAATCCTAGACCTGCTCTCATCTCCAGCCATCTCTGGCCCTGTCCTGATTCTCCAAATAACTGAGACTTGTAAGGGTTAAAAAGCCAACAGAGATGGGAGCGGGTGCATGCAGTTTCACTCATCCCTCCTGGAACCTCAGCTTAGTAAGACAAAGCCACAGTATTTTGAAACAACAAAGGTTTACAAAGCCCCACTGTTTTAGAATCTGCTGTCTTTCTTTTTTTTTGTTTTTTTTTGAGACGGAGTCTCGCTCTGTCGCCCAGGCTGGAGTGCAGTGGCACGATCTCGGCTCACTGCAACCTCCGTCTCCCAGGTTCACGCCATTCTCCTGCCTCAGCCTCCCAAGTAGCTGGGACTACAGGCGCCCACCACCACGCCCGGCTAATTTTTTATATTTTTAGTAGAGACAGGGTTTCACTGTGTTAACCATGATGGTCTCGATCTCCTGACCTTGTGATGTGCCCGCCTCAGCCTCCCAAAGTGCTGAGATTATAGGCGTGAGCCACCGCGCCCGGCTGTGTTTGGATGTTTTAAAGCACAGTGGCCTGAGGGAAACTGACTGGGCGGCTCCCTGTGGCATGGGAAACCCGGGGGAGGTCAGCGGGGGCTACAGTGCAGCCCAGCTCTGGGCCTGGGGGGTTCATGTCCAATGTTGTCCAATCACTGGATAATTCTAACATCTAACTAAACCTCTTTTATAGGAAAAAGAGATGCTTTAAAATTGTTAATTTAAATTTAAATCAGAAGAGGGCAATTTGGTAATAAGTTAATATGAAATACAATGAATATACCCAAACCAGTAGCTTTCTCATGGGTACTTATCTTTTGTTTAAAAAATATAAAGGAATCAAATACTTCACTTATAAGTTGTCAAAGGTGTTGAATAATTTGTCATATGAGTTACCTCTGAATATGTCTCTTCTCCTCTGTTTTGATTCTCAGGAGCAGCTGAGACCCTCAGCCCACCACAAAACAAGTCCGACTCCAAGGCTGGTGAGTGAGGAGATGCTTGCCGTGATGACGCTGGGCACAGAGGGTCAGGTCCTGTCAAGAGGAGCTGGGTGTCCTGGGTGGACATTTGAAGAATTATATTCATTCCAACTTGAAGAATTATTCAACACCTTTAACAATGTATATGTGAAGTACTTTATTCTTTCATATTTTAAAAATAAAAGATAATTATCCATGAGAAAGCTACTCGTTTGAGTATATTCATTGTATTTCATGCTAACTCACTACCAAATTACCCCATTCTAATTGCTTTTCTATGGATCTCCTCTAATTTCCTGATGAAATGTATACAAACCATGAGACAATGGAGATTTTACTTATTTCTATATTGCTTGCCAATATTCTCACTTCAAATATCAATATGTATGTAACTACATCTTAAATATCTAAAGTTTTACATCTATACATATTTATGTGTGGTTATATAAGTTACATTTGAATATGTGTGTAAGTATTTCCAAGTTCACTTGATAAATATATCCATATTCTTAATATATTTGATGGCCAGGCGCAGTGACTCATGCCTGTAATCCCAGCACTTTGGGAGGCCAAGGCGGGCAGATCACCTGAGGTCAGGAGTTTGATACCAGCCTGGCCAACATGGTAAAAGCCCATCTCTACTAAAAATACAAAAAAAAATTAGCCAGGCATGGTGGTGCGGCCCTGTAGTCCCAGATACTAGGGAGGCTGAAGCACAAGAATCACTTGAACCCGGGCGGCAGAGGTTGCAATGAACCGAGATAGTGCCACTGCACTCCAACCTGTGCGACAGAGTGAGACTCCATCTCAATAAAAATAAAAATAGGCCGGGCACAGTGGCTCATGCCTACAATCTCAGCACTTTGGGAGGCCGAGGTGGGAGGATCATGAGGTCAGGAGTTCGACACCAGCCTGGCCAACATGGTGAAACCGCCATCTCTACTAAAGATACAAAAAAAGTAGCTGGGCGTGGTGGCGTGCACCTGTAATCCCAGCTACTCGGGATGCTGGGGCAGGAGAATTGCTTGAACCCAGGAGACGGAGCTTGCAGTGAGCCGAGATCACACCACTGCACTCCAGCCTGAGCAACAGAGCAAGACTCTGCCTCAATAAATAAATAAATAAATAATAAAAATAATAAATAAATAAATAAGACATTTGATGTGGTAGGAGTTTACATGTTTGTTACTGGTCTAGATTCACCTAGATTCACACTTTGTAAAAGCAGAAATACTGATTTATGAACCTCTAATAGCACCACTATTTAGCAGACAGATATTTTTGGATGGGGGCCGGGGGGAAGGTATCACATCATTCTAGGTTTTCCTGATTATATGAAGAATTAGTTAATTAGATTAATTGGACAATGAAAACCCAGGTGAAGGGGAGGCAGCCCCAGACTTTCACCGCTTTGTGCTTCTGACATTCGGGAGCCCCTGAGGACCAACCCCTCATCCAGGGAGCCTGGGTCCTCAGCTGGTGGATCCGTGAAACTCTCATCTCCGGGGGAATTGGCTCATGTGCTCCCGTGTCCCAGGCTGCACAGACAGCACACAGGGCTCAGTGACCTCTGTACTGGGGACCACTTTCCTTGCAGATCCTGAGCCCTCAGGGTGAAGGAAAACTCTCCCCCAAATGACTCAAGAGCAACATTTGGATTTGTAGAAAGCAGGAAAGCTGAAATAATTCATTAAGAAGAACGGAACGAACACTGCTACAGAGGAAGAGTTTACTAAGGAACTCCTTAGAACTCATGTCAGGAGACAGGGGAAGATAAGAATGCCGAGCCCATGGGAGAGGCTGGCTCAGGGTACTTCTCCTTTGCTTTGATTCTCAGGAGCAGCTGATACCCTCAGCCCATCACAAAACAATTCAGACCCCAAGACTGGTGCGTGAGGAGATGCTTTCAGTTATGGGGCTGGCACAGAGGGTCAGGTCCTGTGAAGGGGAGGTGGGTGCCCTGGGTGGACATCCAGAGGTCCTGGGTGATGTTGATCTGCCCTGACCTCTGTGGTCTCTTTGCCCACCATCCCCAACCTCACACCCCCAGGATTACACAGTGGAGAATCTCATCCACATGGGCAAGGCTGGCTTGATCCTGGTGGTCCTCAGGATTCTGTTATTTGAGGCTCAGCACAGCCAGAGAAGCCCCTAAGATGCAGCTAGGAGGTGAACAGCAGAGAGGACAATGCATCTCTCAGAGTGGTGGAACCTTGGGAATAGATATGGTGATCCCAGGAGGTTCCGGGAGACAATTTAGGGCCAATGCTATCTGGACTGTCTGCTGATAATTTCTAGAAGGAGGAATCAGTGTTGGATTGCAGAGATATTTTGCAGGGTGATCCATGGAGGACCATTAACATGTGATACCTTTCCTCTCTATTAATGTTGACTTCCCTTGGTTGGATCCCCTTCTTTTCCCACCCCTAGACATGAGGCTACATCCCACATGGCAGGGCTGGATCCACACCTCTGCACATCTGTGTGCTCTGGTCCATGGTGTGTAACACAGTCTTCTTTATTCCTCATTGCCATACTCCCTGGTGTGCTTTATTGAGCCTCCATCTCTTCAGTTCAGAGTTCCAAACGTGCTTCAGTAACTAAATCAATGGGAGAGTATCAGATTTCAACCAGGAAAAGATAAATCCACCCTGATGCCCTGACACCCTCTCCAAACCCTACAAGCCCTTCCCTCCTTCTCAGATGCTACCTGTGTATCTTCTCCTCAGATCACTGTGTAACCATCACTGCCATCCTGTTCCACACATTGTCATCATCCTACACCCATTCAGCAGCCACTCCCCATTCCCTCTTCCCTCCAGCACCTGCTAACCACAAGTGTGCTTTCTGTCTCTACGGATTTGCCTATTCTGTCTGAAAACATTTCAATCTCCTTTGACCTGTGAGCTCCTCACTTCGAGACTTCCTGCCTTTCCAGGCAGAACCAAAGTACACCACGTCAAAAGCAATGATAGGCATTTGCAGTGTGTTGGTGATCCACGAAAGGAAAATCACGGAAGTAGGATAGAAATCCAGCTGCAGACAAGACCTCAGGTCGATGAATCTTGTCAAGCAGTTGAGCTGTTTCTTTCTACTCACCTATGACAGTCAGACAGAAGTATGCAAAATGACTGGGGCTGATTCTTTTCTGAATTGTCCCAAACAGCAAGAGGACTTGAGTCCTAGCATTAAAGAGTTCAACATATCTAGGTCCAAGACGACTGTTGTGTTTGAAGGATGTAAAGCTTTGCTGTATAGGATAGAATGTTTGGAGGGAGGATCCTGAGAAAACATGAAGGACCAAATATTCACAATCTACTCTCTAGAATAAAGAAATGTTATCATTCACCATCTACCCTCTAGAGTAAACAAATCTTATCATTTGCCGTCTACCCTCTAGAGTAAAGAAATCTTATCGTTCGCCAGCTACCCTCTAGAATAAAGACATCTTATCATTCACCATCTACCCTCTAGAATAGAGAAATGTTATCATTCACCATCTACCCTCTAGAATAAAGAAATCATATCATTCACCATCTAACCTCTAGAATAAAGAAATCTTATCGTTTGCCATCTACCCTCTAGAATAAAGAAATGTTATCATTTGCCATCTACCTTCCAGGATAAAGAAATCTTATTAAGGACATTTTCAAAGCCTTAACAGAATATGAATGATTACAATATTATGTTTTACCTATACAGCGTCTTCCAAGTTCTAGTTTGGTTGTGCCAGGCCAAACATTTGAGCCAGATTTCGGCAAGATCAAGCAGGAGACTCTGGCATCTGTCGCTGATTACCTTCCCACCATACCCGGCCACCAGCCTTTCCCATGGACCCCCACATGTGTCTCCAGACTCTCGGGTACGAATCCTGTGAACACACTGACCTCCGCCTTCTGCATGACTGATCAGCAATATGAAATTTGCATAAACACAAATAGAAAATATACTGTCCCCACATTCCCTAAAATAAAACTGGGTCCTCGCCCATGGGCTTTTGCTGGATTATACTAACAAAAGGCAGGTCTTATAACACACATTCCATAGACTCACATCTCAGAGAATGTTGGTTCCACAGGCTCAGGATCCTGAACACACTGCTCCACTCTCAGGGCTCAGAGACATTCTGCATGTGGGTCTTCACCCCATTCGGGAGCCCTAATTCCTTCTTCCTCGGTTTTTCATACAGTGATTTTTCCCAGTCATCTTTAATACCTTCTTTTTTTAAAAAAATAAATAAAGATGAGTCTCACTATTTGCCCTGGCTGGTCTTGAACTCCTGGGCTCAAGTGATCCTCCCCGCTCAGCCTGCAAATCCCTTCATGCCCAGCCCTTACAACTTCATTAAAACACAAAATTTTAGTTTTTATTTCTAAAACTTTTTGGATTATGTTACATTTTGTTGAATATTAATATTTCCAATAGATATTTTACTAGTATACCTTTCTTCACTTACTGATTGTAAATTATCATTTCATTTTAGATGGTACTATTGTGTTTCATGCCTAGGTGTGATTGGGGTACTGGGCTATTTAACTTATCCTTCAGTGGATGAATTACTCTTTTACATACAGGATTAAAAAAAAAGAAAAATTTGGAATAACTTCACCTATTTAGTTAAGTATTCACTCAATTATATATTTTCGAATGAGGATTCATTTATCCTTGCCTTTAGAGAAGACACGTTCTAATTCCACTGTAGCTGAACTCTGAGTACTCACATGTGTACATGCACACTGACTCATACATGTGTGCCCATGTGTGGTTGCATTCATGTGGGCATGTCTGTGTGTGATTTTCAAATACTTGCCTGTTTCTCACTTACATCACTGTGGCATCTCATATTCTACATTTTGGATTCATTGATTCTTTTTTTTTTTTTTTTTTGAGACGGAGTCTTGCTCTGTCGCCCAGGCTGGAGTGCAGTGGCACAATCTGCGCTCACTGCAAGCTCCGCCTCCCAGGTTCACACCATTCTCCTGCCTCAGCCTCCCGAGTAGCTGGGACTATAGGCGCCCACCACCACGCCCAGCTAATTTTTTTGTATTTTTAGTAGAGACGGGGGTTTCACCGTGTTAGCCAGGATGGTCTCGATCTCCTGACCTCGTGATCCGCCCTCCTCGGCCTCCCAAAGTGCTGGGATTACAGGCGTGAGCCACCGCGCCCGGCCGGATTCATTGATCTTCCAACTGGATGATATCATTTAAAATTGCCTTCACTGAGCATGAAAACAGTAATATCTAGTAACTTGCAGCTCAGAAAATGCCTTCTTTTTCCTCCCACTCTCTCTATCAAAATAGATGAAAACATTTCTGTATTAGTTAAAGGGTAAGTATAACACCTGGAAGAGAAAGCACATCTGATGATTTGAGAGATCCACCCTCCAATCCCTCCTCAGCCCTCACGAAGGGGAAGCCCAACCAGACAGCTTCACAGGTCCGTCTTGCCCTGAGCCTTCTTCTGTTTAGGAATTGGTCCCCTGCTGACCCCTTTACCTTTCAGGTATTAACCTGAGTAAGTATAGAATTCCTCACTTGCAGTTAGTCCCCTGAGAGTACTCTCTTAGCATCTCCTTCCCTTATCTTTTTACTATCGGGAAGTCCAGTCCCACTGAGAAGCAATGCTATTGACATGTTGAGTTGAAAATCACAAAACACAAAAATGCATTTTAAATTACATAATTCAGTCTAGCATATGTATTTTTTAATTTACTCCTTTTTCAGTTTATCATGAGAGGTCAAGATTTGCATTTTGGCCAGGCGCGGTGGCCCACCCCTGTAATCCCAGCACTTTGGGAGGCGGAGGCAGGCGGATCAGGTGAGGGCAGGAGTTTGAGACCAGCCTGGCCAACATGGTGAAGCCCCATCTTTACTAAAAATACAAAAATTAGCCGGGTGTGGTGGTGCGTGCTTGTAGTGCCAGCTACTCGGGAGGCTGAGACAGGAGAATCGTTTGAACCCGGGAGGTGGAGGTTGCGGTGAGCTGAGATTGTGCCACTGCACTCCAGCCTGGGCGACAGAGTGAGACTCTGTCTCGAAAAAAAAAAAAAAAAGATTTGCATTTCATGCTTAAATGTATGCACACTAGTGACTTAATTACTTCCTCCCTGAAGACCCCAATGGCACCAGACACAAATGCTCTGTCAGTTTTAATTTTCTCTTTAATGCAGGCGCTTCTCCTTCTGACAAGCTTTCATTTCTCATTTTCTGGACATGACTGTGATAACCGGGGTGTTGATGAAATATTATGAGAAGCATCTCTCAAGGGCAGGAACAAAGGGGCTCTCCTTAGTGGAAACATCAATCTCAGGCCTTGATGGTGGGCGCCAGCATCCCCTCATGCCCCCACCCCTCCTGTCTTCACCTGCTCTGGAAATTACCCATGGCTGAGCCCCCTGCAGTCCCCAGGCTCCAATGACCCAGCTCCCCTGTGATAAATGGGGTTCATCACAGGCTCCAAATGAGGAAACCGAGGCTCAGAAATGGGAGGTTACTGCCCAAGGTCACACAGGCAGGGGGTGACACATGAATATTTAAATAAAGACAAGATTTTCCCTCAAAGCAGAGTGCTAACCCCACGTATTGTCCCAGAACCTTGAACTCAGGAGCACAGGATGGGAACAGGAGTGTTTGAAAGAAGACGGGGGCACCAAGAAGGCAGAGTCAGGTCAATGTTGTTTCCAGGGAGACCGGGGGCGGACGCTGTTGCGATGAGTGAATGAGAAGTTCGTGAAGGGAACGTTTTTGCATAAAGAAAACCCACACTCCAGTTCTGGGAAAAGAGACATGATTCCTTCCCTTGTCTCCCTGTATTTCCCCTTTCTGTTCATCGCCACAATAAAGCTCAACTGGAACTGCACAGCAAGATGTGAGATGAGTCTCTGCTGATGTGAGTCTGCCCCGCAGCCTGAATTTGCATCTTCCCTGAAGCTTCCCCAGGACTGGTGAGAAGACTGGCCATGGTAGGTTCCCCACAAGGGTGTGTTTATGGGTGAGCTGAAGGAGAGAGTGAAACCCCATGAGGAGTCTCTGAGAGGAAGGAAGAACCCTCCGTTGCCTTCACCTGGAAGGGACCAACTCAGGAAGGCACCACGTCCATTTGCAGCTACGTCCCGGCCCTCAATGAGACGAGGACATGTCAGGCAGACAGTGAAAGGAGATCAGGAGAGATGCCATGCGTGTCTGAAATATCAGCAGAAAGCCTGGTGCCTGTCTCAAAGGATGGTTCAATATATGCAAGTCAATAAAGGTGACTCACGACATAAACTAAGAACAAAAAGCATGTGATCATCTCAACCGATGCAGATAAAGCATTCGAGAAAGGCCAAGTCCTGGGAAAACATGAGCCAGCGGGGTCCGGGACAGCTCACCACCCATGGAGATGCTGGTGGGAAAATCCTGTAAGTGGGAGTAAGGAAGGAGACCACTACTACTCCTGCTGCCCTCCTCCCCCCACCTTGCCTAGTTCACAAAACAGGAAGAGAGAAAAAGCCAAAAGTTGGAAAAATACAAAAGTAAGATAAATAGCCAGACAACCTTGGCACCACCACCCGGCCGTAGGAGTTAAAAAAAGTAATAATAATAACATCAACCCCTGACCTAAACTACTGGTGTTATCTGTAAATTCCAGACACTGCATGAAAAAAGCACTGTAAAACTTTTTGTTCTGTTAGCTGATGCATATAGCCCCCCACAGTCATGTTTCCCACGCTTGCTTGATGTATCACGACCCTTTCACGTGGACCCCTTAAAGTTATAAGCCTTTAAAAAGGCCAAGAATTTCTTTTTCGGGGAGTTCGGCTCTTAAGACGCGAGTCTGCCCACGCTCCCAGCTGAATAAAAACCTCTTCCTTCTTTAATCCGGTGTCTGAGGAGTTTTGTCTGCGGCTCGTCCTGCTACAGGAGAGCCCTGCCTCTCTGTGCCATGACTGTCACTCCCATGGCCATGGTCCACTTCACTGAGATTTGACGAGGGGAACGGGAGATTCTAGCATGAGAGGGACCCTGCCCCACAGATAGGCCCTGGTCCAGTAGGAGACCCCAGGGGCTAGGGAGGATCCCATTCTCATTTTCCTGGGAAAATGTTTTCACTTCTCCCCATTCAATTTGATGTTGGCTGTGGGTTTGTCACGCAGGGGGTGTTGGTATTTTGCGGTATGTTTCTTTCATGCCTAGCCTGTTGAGGGATTTTATCACGAAGCGATGTTGGACTTTCTTGAAAGCTTTATCTGCATCTATAGAGATGATCATATGCTTTTTGTTCTTAGTTTATGTCATGAGTCACTTTTATTGACTTGCATATATTGAACCATCCTTTCTTCCCTGGAATCAAGCCAACTTGATCATGATGAATTATGTTTTTGATACACTGTTAGATTCCGTTTGCTAGTATTTTCTTGAGGATTTTTGCATCTGTGTTCCTCAGATTTCTTGGCCTGTAGTTTTATTTTTCTGTTGGATCCTTGTCTGATTTTGCTATCAGGATGATACTGATTTTGTAAAATGAGCTGGCAAAGAATCCCACTTCCTTGATTTTTGGAATACTTTCAGTATGATTGGTACCAGCCCTCCTTCGTACATACAGCTAAGTTCAACTGCGAATCCATCTGTTCCTGGACTTTTTTGCTGGAAGATTTTTAGTACTGATCCTTTTTCATTGGTTGTTATCGGTCTGTTTAGAGTTTCTATTTTTTGCCTGTGCAATCTTGGGAAGTTGTGTGTGTCTAGGAATTCATCTATTTTCTCCAGGTTTTCTAGTTTATGTGCATAAAGGTGTTCATAGTAGTCTCTGATGATCTTTTGTATCTCTGTGGTGTTGGTTGTAATGTCAACTTTATCATTTCTGATTGTGCTTATTTAAATCTCCTTTTTTTGGTTAGTGTAGTCAGCCATCTCTCAATTTTATTTATACTTTCAAAAAACCAACGTTTTCTTTCATTGATTCTTTGTAATGTTTTTGTGTCAGTCTCATTCTTTATCTGTCCTTTCAGAGTTTCCATTGTTTTCAGCATCCATCACTAGCGAGCCAGTGCGATCCTTTGGTGGTGCCACAATATTCAGATTTTTCACGGCGTCAGAATCCTTACACTGATTCCTTCTCATCTGGAGAGGCCTCCACTTACTCTCTTCGAATTTATTTTCGTTTGGATGGGATTTCTTTTGCACATTTTCCCCCAGCCCCGCAGGGAGGGTGACTGTAGAGCATGTTGGGAAGGGTCTTTTGGCTTTTCCCATGGCTTTGGGAGCTTCTGCAGCAGGGTTTGCATTGGGCTGTGCAGCTCAGATTGCAGGCCAGGAGCTGGTGCTTAAGGGTAAGAGCCACGCTCGGCACAAGCAGGTGGATGTGGACCTGGTGTGTTTCCTGTGAGGTGCTGACTCTTGTTTCAGGGGAAGGGCTGGACCGTGGAGTGTCAGGTGCCCTGAGCTTCCTGTTCCACAGGGGCGAGGGAACACCCCTGGGCAGAGCTGGAACCCCCGGCTTGCCCACAGATATCCCAGTGATGAGTGCAGGCACTAGTCCTGATGGACATGGCTGGAGCAGCTCCTAGTGAAATGCCCTGAGGTCTCTGCGGGGGGTGAAGGAGCTACACCGTTTCCAGTCCCATAGGGAGGAACGTTGTCTGTCTCCCTATCACACCCGTGCTCCAGGGCTCATGAGTCTCAGTTCAGACACACACTCTTGTCTCTCCCCAGGCCACAGTGTGGCTGAGGGCAGTGGGAAACACCTGCCTTGCCACTCTCTGCAGGCGTGGTTCCAAGGCAGAGCCTCCTCCCTCAGCCCAGTGCAGACCCTGAGCGGCTGTCTGTTGTCTGACGCGGTAGCTGCTTCATGTAGGTGGGATGTGGGGCTTCTGCCTCTCTGGATGGGAGAGTGGACGTCAGTTGTGGTGGTGTTGCTGGCTGGGTGGGCCCGACCTCAGGCCCTGGGGTGAGTGGTCAGGTGCCAGCAGGTAGGAAAGGGCAGGTAGTTCCCGGATCACAGGCCCCTAGGTGGCCGGCTGGACAGCGTGTGTGAGTCCTGAAGGGGCTGGACTGGGTTTCGGCTGCTCCGGGGTTCAGATGCTGGCTGTGATGGGGAGGGATGGGCTGGTCCCCAGGTCACCGGCAGAACCTTCAGGCGGGGCAGGCAGAAGGCTCAGGTGGTAGAGCCTGCGGCAGATCACAGGCCTGTGGGGACTGGGCTCTCAGAAGGGCTGGGGGCTGCAGCTGAAATGTCCAGGTGGGGGCAGGGTGGCTGTGCTGTGGGCCTGTCACTAGGGAGGGCAGCGCCCCTCGGCTGGGGCACTGGAGACTGGCAGCTGTGAGGCACAGGGCCCGCTCACACTTCCCTCCTGAAGAAGTGTCACTCGGTTTTGCTCTGGGGACACGTGAAAGTGCCAGGCCTCCCCACACCCTCCCTGGGCCTGGGGCAGCAGGGGCAGAGGCAGAGGTGGCAGTGACTGCAAAGGGCTTGTCAGGGGCCTCTGAGCATTGGGCTTTCAGAGGGCACCGAGCCAGGGCCACGGTGTTCGGGTGGGGGCAGGACGGGTGACTGGGGCCCTGCAGCTGGCAAGCCCCATTAGCAGGAAGGAAGCCCCATTTCGCAGGAAGCAACAGAGGTGGGCAGCTGTGTGGTGCTCAGCTTGGCTGCTCCTGTGCCCCAGCTGTCATACTTATTCTGGGGCCCACAGAGGTGCCTGGCCTCCTCCCTCCCTGCTAAGGCAGTGGCAGCTGGACCCAGGCTGCTCAGGGATCAGAAGCCTGTGGGATTCCACGTGGGCTCCAGTGGGGCCTTGGTACAGTCTCCAGGAGCAAACTGTGGGCCTCTGGAGGCCCAGAGGGGACAGGCGCTCTCCTGTGGGCAGGATCCTAAGGGCCCACAGCAGAGGTGTAGATGCCAGGGACCCCTCACTCACTCACCCCTTCCCTGTGTTAGGGAGGCTCTCACTCATTCACCCCTTCCCCGTGTTAGGGATCCTCTCACTCACTCACACCTTCCCCGTGTTAGGGATCCTCTCACTCACTCACCCCTTCCCCGTGTTGGGGAATCTCTCACTCACTCACCCCTTCCCCGTGTTGGTGAATCTCTCACTCACTCACCCCTTCCCCGTGTTAGGAGCCTCTCCTGGCTCCCACCTTTTCTCTTCTCTTCTCTCCATGTCCTCATGTTTCTCAGGTGAACCCCAGCATCCTCTTGGAAGATCCACTTGACCTGTTGGTATTTACTCGCTATTTTGGGTCCTCTTAGTGAGTAGGCAGACTCCAGCCCTTTCCATTCAGCCAACTTGAACCTCAGCCCCCAGTCATTTTCTTGCACTTTTTACTCTTGGGAAATCCAGTCCCAATGTGCTTGTCTTTCATTGGACAATAATTTTCATTTTCTCCAGTAGTTTTAAAATTACTTTGTATCTATTCTAGGTATCTTTTACTCTATCATAGTTAAGACATTGATGTTATTTATGAATTTGTTCACGTTAAACTCATGTTCTTTCTTCATTTCTATAAAAATGTCAACCATTTTCTTTGCAAGTATTTACTGAATAACATACTCCTTATTTCCTTCATTCTGAAAGTGTGATCCAAAGAGAGATATCTGTTTCCTCTTTTCATTCCATTTCTTGTGTGCATTAATTATCTTTTCTATTTTTTTCATTTCTAGTTTTTCTCTGATGACTAATGAAAAATTTTAGTAAATATTCTACACCAATACAATGTTTATCATTTCAGCTGTGTCTTGTTCTGGATGAAATTATTTCTAAATGTGTTAATATAATTTACTATTTTCACATCACAATAGCTTCCTAATTCATTTCTACAATTGCCTGTTTTTTCTCTAACGGACTCTTTGATTTTTATTCCTCTGGGGTGGGTTTTTCTCCCACACACCTGATCTTCCATATAGGGTTTCTCCCCAGGCTGACTCAGGAAGGAAAGCTGATGAGGGCATTGCTGTAGCCGCTCCTGCCCTGCGGTGTCCATGCTCCCAAGCTTAGAATCACCTCTGTGTTATGCCCGGCATGGCGGGGTCCATGTGAGCCTCACACTCCAGGGTCAGAGATGCCCGGTCCAACAATGATAAAGCGCATCTGTGTCATGCACACCCGGGAAGGTGGCTCAGTGCTGAGTGTAGCCCGGGTCACTGAGTCATCCCAGGGTCTGTCCACAAACACAGAAGAGGGGGAGTCACAGTCTCTAAGGTCCCACAGTTTCCTCCACTTTTTTCCTTGTTCTGAGAGTGAGACAAAGGGCCATGACTGTTCTGTGGGTTGGACAGATGCATGTTTCCACCTGCAGGCTGGAACCCAAGCTGAGGTCTTGAGCATCCCCAAGTACTGATAAAGCACTTTAGGTTGTTTCTAGAAAACACTGAAAAATTAACCCTTTTGCTAAAAGTGTAGAAACAAGCCCTCCCCTGAACCAAATTCCTGAAACTCTCAGGTTAAACTTCGTAACCCCATCCCTTCACTGCAGACTCCCAATAGAAAAGTTACAGGTGCAAGGATGAGATGACTTTGGTCAAACTCAGACCCCACAGGGCCAGGAAGGCCTGAAGGAGAGGAGGCCCATGCTTCCACGTCTCAGATAAGAACTGTTTCTAAGGACTTTTAAAAAACCCATAAGAAACTCTTCCATGTCCTTCAGCCCCTTCTGCTTTGACAAGGTTTATCACTAGATGTTCTTTAGGACGTCAGGAATTCAGATAAGATGCTCTCAAGAGAACCATTGACCAGCAACAGCATCTCCTCCAATGGACTGACAGCAACTCTGGCTTTGAACCTGTGGAACCAGGGAACTCTGTTTCCAGGCAGCTCTGTCAGGCTCTCCCTTGTTGCTGATAAGAACTTCCTTTACCTCTCTATGTACAGAGAGCTCTCTCTACGGTGCTTTTCCTCTACTCTCACGTCACAGGAATCATCAACACAGAAAAAGACTTCTAGGACCAGATGTATGGGGTTTTTTTCCCCAGACGCAGTAGCGAACAGCAGCTGGGTGTCCTCTAAGTCAGCTCTGGTGCTGTCTACCCAGAGACAGTCCCGGATCCCACAGATTGAAGGCCCATTCCCCAAAACTGCCCCCAACACCATTCCCAAGTCCAGACCTCCAGAACTTCTGACTGACTGGCTTCAAGTTGGGGATCCCATGCCCCACTCTTCGGTTTGATTAATTTGCTGTAGCAGCTCACAGAACTCAGGAAACACTGACATTTCCTGGTTGAATACAAAGCACACTGCAGAGGACACAGATGAAGAAACTCATAGGAGGAGGCATGGGGGAAGAGGCCCGGGGCTTCCATACCCTCCCTGGGCGTCGCCCTCCAGGAGCCTTAGCATGCTCAGCCACCCAGAAACTCATGAAACCCAGTCCTCTGGGGCTTTTATGAAAGCTTCATGACATCAGCATTTCCTCCCACAAGGAACAGGGTGAGACTGTCTTCTGGGAGGGTCTTAAGATCCACTATCAGAAAGGCAGGGAACATTCGAGTCTTACTTTGGGTTAGGTGAAGGAAGGGCAGGAGGAGGTCAGAGGCCTCCGCTGAGGCCCAGCACAGCCAATGTTATAACAAAAGACTATAACAAGGGCTATGGGAGTTACAAGCCAGGAACTGCGGGTGAAAACCAGCATATATCACAACATCACACTTCCCTCTCTGGACACACTGTGGCTTGCCATGCCATGCACTCCATATTGTAATCCTTGCTTCTCACTCCCAAATAAACTCAAAATCCAGGCAACCCTGGAGCAATGCAGCCTTGAATTCCAGGGGTCTCTTATATGCACACTTTTTCCAAACAAACGGGGATCAAAACTATAGCATTTGTGAGAAACAAGACTTGCGTATATGAACGGCAGACTTTTCCTATATGCAGACCCAGCAGAGACAACGTCAGGGCTGGAGTACGAGCAAGTGTTGGTACATGTAGGGGGTACTGAAACGAATTGCCTGTGTATCCCAAGAAACAACTGTACTGAGAGATCATATTTTCTAGGGGTTTATTTTTGGTTTTGTTTTTATTTTAGGTTAAAGCTTTGGATAGAATACCCAGTGTCTCCTTGTCCATCTGAAGAACATGCTGCTATGTGGAAGCACATCCTTGAGATCCACAAGGAGACACTGGGCAAGAAGACAAGGATGCCCCACTGTGCAGAGGTCCCCCTAATAAATGCTCTATGAACACCCTGGTGTTTAGTGCTTCTTTCCTTGGAATTCCAGCAGGTCTGGACAGTTTGGTGCACTCCCTTGAGGGAATTCCCCTGGGCTGCTTGGGGTCCACTCCAGCCTCAGGTGTAGCTAGAGGACGCAGCCTCCCACCTTGGTCTGGAGCCCTGAGCCCCTCACTGTCATTGCAGATCCCGGGGTTCCTCTCCCGGCTCCACTCAGTGGTGGAAACCTCCACCCTAATGAGCCCTTGATGGTCCCGGGACCCTGTGGCATCTCACCTCTGGCCTCTGTTCTTTCTTGTGAGTCCGTCTACACTTGGGGTTTTCACATGTCTTTTTCTGCTCATGACCTTGATACTCTGGGTATTTCAGAAATGCTACACATACGTTTCTCCATTACGGTCAGATGTGACATCTTGAGTGGACTCATCAATCACCTACAGAATGTGGAGTCCAACAGCAAGATCCTCTCACGTCCCAAAGCCTCAGGTCTTACCCTGGTCTGGAAATCAAGCACAAATGAGCCCCTCCCAATGTCCCAGGCACCACTGACCCCACAACCACTGTGACGAGTGGGATTCATGACAACAATCTGCAAAGGAAGAAACTGAGGCTCAGTGATGGGACATTACAAACCAAGGTCACGTAGGCAGCGGATGATAACCAGTCATCAAATAAATATCAACTCCCTCCCCCACTCCCCAAATCAAAGCTCAAACATAAGTCATTGTTCCCAAAATGTTGACCAGGAATTGAGGTGCAGAGGGACGGCTAAGGACGCAATGGGCACCGAGGAGGCAGGAAAGACTCAGAGGTTTCTTCCCGGGGGGGAGGGAGTGGACGCTGGAGCAAAAACATTTAAAAAGGGGAAGTTAAGAGGGGACTATTTGGTTGAAAGAAAACCCACAATCCAGTGTCAAGAAAGAAGTCAACTTTTCTTCCCCTACTTCCCTGCATTTCTCCTCTGTGCTCACTGCCACACGCAGCTCAACCTGGACGGCACAGCCAGAGGCGAGATGCTTCTCTGCTGATCTGAGTCTGCCTGCAGCATGGACCTGGGTCTTCCCTGAAGCATCTCCAGGGCTGGAGGGACGACTGCCATGGTAAGGACCCCACAACGCTGTGCTGATGGATGGGCTGAAGGAGGGAGGGTGACCATGTGGGAAGCTGTGAGAAGGAAGGGGAAGCCACTGCTACCCTCATCAGGAAGGGCAGACACAAGAAGCACCAGTTCTATTTGCTGCTACATCCCGGCTCTCGGTGAGACGAGGAGAAACCAGACAGACAGTGGCTGGGGGTCAGGAAAGACCCCATTACAGTCTGAAATGTCTGCAGAGGGCCCAGTGCCTGCCCCCACCTCAGCTCTAAAAGAATGAGAGTCAGGCTCCTGGGAGGGCAGTTCCGCTTCTTGTGTGGCTGCAGATGACAACACCCCATGAGAAGGACCCAGCCTCTGAGTGTCCACACAGGGTGGGAAGGAGGGGAGGCTATTTCTCTCTGTGTGTCTCTGTCCCGCCAGCACCGAGGGCTCATCCATCCGCAGAGCAGGGCAGTGGGAGGAGACGCCATGACCCCCATCGTCACAGTCCTGATCTGTCTCGGTGAGATTTGAAGAGAGAGGGGAGCTTCTAACCTAGGAGGGACCTCACCCCACAGCCAAACTCTGGTCCCTAAGGAGACCCCAGGGGCTCACAAAGATCCCAGGGAGGGGAGGACCTGCTCAGGCTTCAGGGGGCAAATCCCTCACAGGGAACTCTCTTCCAGGGCTGAGTCTGGGCCCCAGGACCCACGTGCAGACAGGTGAGTCTGTCCCCAGCTCTCCCAGGTCCCTCCTCCTCACTGGGGACAAGGGGCCACCTCCGTGCAGCTGGGGATGGGGATTAGAAGTTCTGGACTGACTGATGGGGGCATCTGGAGGGTCCTGGGCTGAGAGCTGAGATCTGTTGGGTGGGAAATGACTTCGAATCTGACCTTTGATTTCCTTCCAGGGACCATTCCCAAGCCCACCCTGTGGGCTGAGCCAGACTCTGTGATCACCCAGGGGAGTCCCGTCACCCTCAGTTGTCAGGGGAGCCTTGAAGCCCAGGAGTACCGTCTATATAGGGAGAAAAAATCAGCATCTTGGATTACACGGATACGACCAGAGCTTGTGAAGAACGGCCAGTTCCACATCCCATCCATCACCTGGGAACACACAGGGCGATATGGCTGTCAGTATTACAGCCGCGCTCGGTGGTCTGAGCTCAGTGACCCCCTGGTGCTGGTGATGACAGGTGAGAGGACACTCAGGGATCCCAGCCCCAGGCTCTGCCCTCAGGAAGGAGGCTCTCAGGGGTGTCTCCCTCTCACAGCCCAGCCCTGGGGATGATGTGGGAGGTGGGAGCCCCATTTAACACGGTGCCTCCTTCTCTCCTAGGAGCCTACCCAAAACCCACCCTCTCAGCCCAGCCCAGCCCTGTGGTGACCTCAGGAGGAAGGGTGACCCTCCAGTGTGAGTCACAGGTGGCATTTGGCGGCTTCATTCTGTGTAAGGAAGGAGAAGAAGAACACCCACAATGCCTGAACTCCCAGCCCCATGCCCGTGGGTCGTCCCGCGCCATCTTCTCCGTGGGCCCCGTGAGCCCGAATCGCAGGTGGTCGCACAGGTGCTATGGTTATGACTTGAACTCTCCCTATGTGTGGTCTTCACCCAGTGATCTCCTGGAGCTCCTGGTCCCAGGTGAGAAATTCACAGCATTGTCTGGAGTTCCCTGAGTCTCCCTGAGTCTCCAGGCAGGTGGGGAGCAGCCGTGTCTCAGGGCAGTTCCAGGTGGGATGATGTTGGGGCGAGAGGGCTCAGGGGTCCTGGGGCCAGAGACACAGGAAGATCAGCAGTGGTGAGGCACCGGGGGAGAGGGAGGGTTTGTGGGGAAGCCTGAGGGTCGGCTCCTGGAAACCATGAGCACCTTTTCCCAGGTGTTTCTAAGAAGCCATCACTCTCAGTGCAGCCGGGTCCTGTCGTGGCCCCTGGGGAAAGCCTGACCCTCCAGTGTGTCTCTGATGTCGGCTATGACAGATTTGTTCTGTACAAGGAGGGGGAACGTGACCTTCGCCAGCTCCCTGGCCGGCAGCCCCAGGCTGGGCTCTCCCAGGCCAACTTCACCCTGGGCCCTGTGAGCCGCTCCTACGGGGGCCAGTACAGATGCTACGGTGCACACAACCTCTCCTCTGAGTGCTCGGCCCCCAGCGACCCCCTGGACATCCTGATCACAGGTGAGGAGCCCAGCGGGTTCAGTCAGGGACCCAGACTCTGCACAGGCCCTGCCGGGGGAATCCAATTAGTGATGGCCAGGATGAGGCGGGGGGTGGTCCCCAAGGGAGGGAGAGACAGAGAGAGAGACAGGGGATGGGTGGGGAGGGGAAGACTCAGAGAAAACAGAGACAGAGGCTCCTAGAGAGGCCTGGGGAGGTCTCAGCTCAGAGCAAGGTGGGGCAGCCCCTCACCCATCCTTCTTCTCTCCAGGACAGATCCGTGGCACACCCTTCATCTCAGTGCAGCCAGGCCCCACAGTGGCCTCAGGAGAGAACGTGACCCTGCTGTGTCAGTCATGGCGGCAGTTCCACACTTTCCTTCTGACCAAGGCGGGAGCAGCTGATGCCCCACTCCGTCTAAGATCAATACACGAATATCCTAAGTACCAGGCTGAATTCCCCATGAGTCCTGTGACCTCAGCCCACGCGGGGACCTACAGGTGCTACGGCTCACTCAACTCCGACCCCTACCTGCTGTCTCACCCCAGTGAGCCCCTGGAGCTCGTGGTCTCAGGTGGGGGCCTTGACCCTGTCCTCTCTGAGCTCAAAGGCTCAGCTCAGGCCCTGCCCCCCAGGAGAGCTCTGGGCTGGGATGGAGTGAGCGGGGGTCTGAGCGGGGCTCAGCCAGTGGGAGACTCACCCTCAGAGGGAAGGAGGACAACAGGCCCTCCCAGGCCTGCGCACACTCAGCGGCATCGCCAGCATCATGGACAGGAGAGGCGGGTGGAGGGAGGGGCCTGGGGAGGCCACAGGGCCCATGTAGAGAAATTTGGTTTGAGGTGGAGACTTCAGGAAAGCCCCAGCTCCTCACCCTCCTCTCATTCTTTCACCCAGGACCCTCCATGGGTTCCAGCCCCCCACCCACCGGTCCCATCTCCACACCTGGTGAGTCCCTGAGGCCTCTGGCTCGAAGGGAGCGCAGCGACCCCCAGGGCAGCTTTGAGTGTCCAGGAGGATCCCATTCCCTTCAGGGACTCAATCAAGGGCTTCTGTCCAGGGAGCTGGGCAGAGCCAGAGGAGGGGCCACAGGGTCCCCAGGGCTCTGAGGCTGGGCTGGTGAGGGGTGGGGGATCGAGGCAGAGAGAAGTGTTGGGGCCCAGCCTGGGGGAGGAGCAGCCGGGCTGATGTGGGGAGCAGGGCAGCCCCAGCCCTCACCTCCCCGTCCTGACCCAGCAGGCCCTGAGGACCAGCCCCTCACCCCCACTGGGTCGGATCCCCAAAGTGGTGAGTGAGGGGCTCTGAGTGGGAGGTGGGCGGGGTCCCGGGGAGGCAGGGGTGGGTTCTGTCCTAGGTTCAGGCTCCTCTGGAGGTGGTGATGTAGACAGGCTCCTCCCCTGCCTGGGCCTCAGTTTCTCCAAGTGTAAAGGAGAGAGGCCTGCAGGTGGGAAAGTTCCTTTCAGCTCTCACTCCCAGCTGTGACCTCCTGGGAGAGGAGGCCCCTCAGGGAAGACTCCAAGACTCGATTCCGCGGGGGCCTGTCCCGTCCCACCTGCAGCAGAGACGGTGACCTGGGGCAGGGGAGGGGAGCAGAGTCGTGGTTCAGGACGGTCAGGCTCTTTCCCTGCAGCTCCGGGGCTCGGCTCTGGTGCAGGAACAAGGGCTGCAGGTCAGACTCCCAGGCTCCCTTCCCAGCTCTGCCGCTTCCTGGCTGGGGGCCCGGGGCAGGCGATTCCCCTCTCTGAGCGTCAGTTTTTCATCTGTAGAGTGGGTGGGGTGGATGTTTGTGTGCTGCACGACTGTTGTGGGGGTTGGAGGTGGTGAACAGAAGGTCCAGCAGTCACCTGCACACAGTAGGCGCTCATTTCAATGACATCACCCCCATCCCTGACATCATCGTGCTCAAGGTCTGGGAAGGCACCTGGGGGTTGTGATCGGCATCTTGGTGGCCGTCGTCCTACTGCTCCTCCTCCTCCTCCTCCTCTTCCTCATCCTCCGACATCGACGTCAGGGCAAACACTGGACATCGAGTGAGTAGGGAAGGGGAAACCCTGTGGGCCGACCGAGGGTGGGCTCAGGGCACAGCCAAAGAGAATCCAAACCACTGGGCAAATGCAGCTTTGAGAAACTGTTCCAGCATTTCTCACCAGGTGAATGGAGAAAGCACTTAACGTCAGTCCCATCTACAAATATAAAGTGTCCTCCGGGCTCAGTCCCATCTACAAATGTAAAGTGTCCTTCGGACTCTGTCCATCTCATGAGGCATTTGGAACATGGAGGCAGGAGTGTTTTTAGGTTTCCTTCCTTACCTTCGAGCTGTGTGTGCAGGGCAGGGGGCTCCAATGTTCCCAGGGCTGAGGCTCTGTCCTTCTTCCCCCAGCCCAGAGAAAGGCTGATTTCCAACATCCTGCAGGGGCTGTGGGGCCAGAGCCCACAGACAGAGGCCTGCAGTGGAGGTAATTCTGCCCGAAGACCCCAGACTCCCACCTGCTCGTGGCCCATACACTGCCCCTAAAGCTCCCATTCCTCCCCCAGGTCCAGCCCAGCTGCCGACGCCCAGGAAGAAAACCTCTGTGAGTGAGAGGAAGAGGTGACCAGCCAGGAGGGAGATAGGGGCCCCGAAGTTTCCGTAGCAATGGGGAAAGGGGCACCGGCTGGAAAGGGTCTGGGGCTCAGGGTGAGATCATCTCACCCCACACTGTGGGACCTCAGGGACATTGCAGCCCCTCCCTGCATCTCAGTAGCCCCATCTGGGAGCAGGGCAGGGGCTGGCAGGACTCAGAGGTCCCAGGGAACCTTCCCAAGAGACGAACCCCTTGCTCTGCCCCAGCAGATGCTGCCGTGAAGGACACACAGCCTGAAGATGGGGTGGAGATGGACACTCGGGTGAGACCCCGCCCCTGTCCCAGGCACCAAAGGCCTCCTGGTGCCAGATCTAATCCAGCAGGACTTCTCTGTCCTCCTTCCCCCGGCTCTCAGCATCGTCACGGTGGACCCCTCCTTGTCCAGCACGCTGCCTCCCGCCTGCTGTGACCTCACTCTCTCCTGCTGTCCTGGGACCTCGTGGGCCTCCTCCCGGGTCCCCTTCCTGCTCCTCATCCTCTGTTTGGCCGTCTGGTTGTTAGAGCGCTCCCCAGGCCTCTGGAGGATGAGGAATAAATGAACCACCCCGGTCCCCTGGGCTCCCCTTCATTCATTCAACCAGTGAGTGTTCCCAGGGAGCTCACTGTGGATCGGGCTCCCCATGGGAGCTGCAGACACAGCAGGGAGCAAAGCCGCCCCCGCCTCCTGAGCTCACCTCGTGGTGGGAGACAAAATGCAAATAAATGCGCCATGTCCAGGAGTGCAACGTGCTTAAAGGAACATACACCAGGGAAAGGGCAGAGAGTGTGGGGCAGTGGGGCCAGTCTGAATGGAAGGGGAGGGCTGTCTGCTCAGCTGTCATCTGAGAAGCCTGGACAGAGTGGGGCACACGATCCTCTAATGGACGAGCCCCTGCAGGCAGAGGAAACAGCCGTGCAAAGGCCCCGAGGCAGCAGCGAGCTCTTGCGGGAAGGCCCATGAGGCTGCAGCCAAATGGGCAAGGTCAGAGTGAGGAGCAGAGGCCAGAACCACAGGAAGGGAGCGGCCAGACCCTCCACGGCCTTAGGGCGTCCCTGAGATTCCATCGGGAAAGGGATGTAATCGGATCACCCCGGGAACAGTGAGGAAAATTGACTCCAGGAGGTCAGGGGGACTCAAGGACACCCCCCACCACTGTCTCTCTCCAGCAGAGCCCACATGATGAAGACCCCCAGGCAGTGACATATGCCCCGGTGAAACACTCCAGACCTAGGAGAGAAATGGCCTCTCCTCCCTCCCCACTGTCCGGGGAATTCCTGGACACAAAGGACAGACAGGCAGAAGAGGACAGACAGATGGACACTGAGAGAGTCCTTTCCTCTCCAGGCCCCCAGGCCTCCCCCACCCCCACCACGTTCCTTACCTCTCACTCTCCCCCGCTGCAGGCTGCTGCATCTGAAGCCCCCCAGGATGTGACCTACGCCCAGCTGCACAGCTTGACCCTCAGACGGAAGGCAACTGAGCCTCCTCCATCCCAGGAAAGGGAACCTCCAGCTGAGCCCAGCATCTACGCCACCCTGGCCATCCACTAGCCCGGAGGGTACGCAGACTCCACACTCAGTAGAAGGAGACTCAGGACTGCTGAAGGCACGGGAGCTGCCCCCAGTGGACACCAATGAACCCCAGTCAGCCTGGACCCCTAACAAAGACCATGAGGAGATGCTGGGAACTTTGGGACTCACTTGATTCTGCAGTCGAAATAACTAATATCCCTACATTTTTTAATTAAAGCAACAGACTTCTCAATAATCAATGAGTTAACCGAGAAAACTAAAATCAGAAGTAAGAATGTGCTTTAAACTGAATCACAATATAAATATTACACATCACACAATGAAATTGAAAAAGTACAAACCACAAATGAAAAAAGTAGAAACGAAAAAAAAAAACTAGGAAATGAATGACGTTGGCTTTCGTATAAGGAATTTAGAAAAAGAATAACCAATTATTCCAAATGAAGGTGTAAGAAAGGGAATAAGAAGAAGAAGAGTTGCTCATGAGGAAAAACCAAAACTTGAAAATTCAACAAAGCCAATGAAGCTCATTCTTGAAAATATTAATTACAGTCATAAATCCTAACTACATTGAGCAAGAGAAAGAAAGAGCAGGCACGCATTTCCATATGGGAGTGAGCCAGCAGACAGCCCAGCAGATCCTACACACATTTTCACAAACTAACCCCAGAACAGGCTGCAAACCTATACCAATATACTAGAAAATGCAGATTAAATGGATGAAATATTCAAAACTGGAGTTTACATAATGAACGTAAGAGTAATCAGAGAATCTGACTCATTTTAAATGTGTGTGTATGTGTGTGTATATATATGTGTGTGTGTGTGTGTGTGTGTGTGTGTGAAAAACATTGACTGTAATAAAAATGTTCCCATCGTATCAACTCCAGTTCAGGAAGTTTCACTGGTGATTTCTTACAAATATTGACGCACTAATGAAACACACAAACACACCCAGAGCATCACAAATGTTTCTTGAGAATAGAAAAAGAGGCAATGTGCCCGGGTGCGGTGGCTCACGCCTGTAATCTCAACACCTAGGGAGGCAGAGGCCACAGATTACTTGAGGCCGGGAGTTCAAGACCAGCATGGCCAACAAGGCAAAACCCCATCTCTACTAAAAATACAAAAATTAGCTGGACATGGTGGCGCACGCTGCAATCCCAGCTACTTGGGAGGCAGAGGCAGGAGGATCACTTGAATGAACCCGGGAGGTGGAGGTTGAAGTGAGCAAAAACAAACCCCCTACAATTCAGCCTAGGATATGTTTATTAAATTTACATTTGTCTTTTTGCTTAAGATTGCTTTGGTATTCATCCTCTTTTTGGTTCCATATGAATTTTAGGATTTTTTTCTAATTCTGTGAAAAAAATGATGTTGATATTTTGATGGGAATTGCATTGAACCTAAATATTGCTTTGGGAAGTGTGATCATTTTCACAATATTGATTCTGCCAATCCATGAGCATGGGATATATTTCTATTTTGCTGTGTCATCTACGATTTCTTTCTGCAGCATTTTGTTGTTCTTCTTGTAGAGATCTTTCACCTCCTCAGTTAGGTATATTCTTAGATATTTTTAATTTTTTGCAACTGATGTACAAGGGATTGAGTTTTGCAGCAACCTGGATGAGCTGGAGGCCATTATTCATGACACCACATCCAGCTAATTTTTGTATTTCTTGTAGAGATGAGGTTTTGCCATGTTGCCCAGGCTGGTCTTGAACTCCTGGGCCCAAGTGACCCGCCCGCCTTGACCTCCCAAAGTGCTGGGACTGCAGGCATGAGCCACGGTGCCTGGCCCATCATAGCACTTTTGATCATTAGGATAATTCCTTCTCCTTGTCATTTTTGGACACATGCTTCCCACATGCCTCATCTTCCAGAGAGGGTTTCCACCAGGGCTGTGCTGGGAGTTAAGGCTGGAAAAGGGGAGATGGTTCCACCTGCCAGTGCCACATGAGTCTACTCAGGGCTGTAACCAGCAGGGAGGGTCCAGTGTGAGCCTCAGACTCGCATGTGGGACAGACGCCCATGTGTGACAACGCTGCAGTGAATCTGTTTCACACACATGGAGGAGGCGGCTCAGGGCTGACCATGGACCTGAGTCAATGAGCAGAGATATCCCAGTGCCATCCACAAACACAGGGGAGAAGGAGCCACAACTTCCCACTTTCATCCAAAACCCCGACCCCTCCCTGTCTGTGAGGGCCCTGGGGTTCTCCTCTGTCTCATACAGAGGCAGAAACCTCCCCCTTAGTGACCCCCAGCTTTGCAAGTCACCAGCAGCCCCTCGGCGCTGGCATCTTCTGCTTCTTAAGGTTTCCTGCCTATGACAGGAAGTCTCATTTCTCATTTTCTTCATTGGACCATGGCTACATATTTCAGACACATTATAAGTAGGTTTTCCCAGTGTTAGGAGCAGATGTGGGCTGTTGAGCACATAAGTCACTCACCGTGACTGTGCAGTCCAACACCAGGATCCACTCATGTTTCAACCCCCAAGACTTAACCCGGTCTGGAAATGTACCATGACTGAGGCCCTCCCATGACCCAGGCACCACTGGCCCCCAAAACCACTCAGGAGGGGGGTTCATGACAACAGGCTCCAAATGAGGAAACCGAGGCTCAGAGATGGGACTTACTGCCCAAGGTCATGCACGCAGGGATGAAGGTGAGCAATTCAGAAAAAATTAACTCCCTATCCCACCCCCAAATCAGAGCTCAAGACAAGTACTTGTTCCCAAAACCTTGAAGGCAGACTGAGATGCAGGGGAATGCCCAAGGAAGCGGGGCTGGGGGTGGGAGGGACGCCAAGGAGGCAGGAATGACTCAGAGGTTACTTTTAAGGGAGGGGGACCTGAACACTATTAAAAAAAATAGGAAGAAAAAAAAGAAGGGAAGTCTAAGAAGGAAACTGGAAGAAATAAAACCCATACTCCAAAGACAAAAGAAGAGTCAGCATTTCTTTATTTCTCCTTTTTTCTTCTCATTGCCAATTGCAGCTCAACTTGAATTTCACAGCCCGATGTGAGATGCGTCTCTGCTGATCTGAGCCTGTCCTGCAGCATGGACCTGCAACTTTCCTGAAGCATCTCCAGGGCTGGATGCCATGGTAAGGATCCCGCAATGCTGTGTTGATGGACAGGCTGAAGGAGGGAAGAGGACCCCACAGGGAGGCTCTGAGAAGAAGAACAAGCCCCCAGTCACCCTCACTTGGACAGGACAGACTCAGAAAGGTGCTGGGTCTATCGGCTCCTACGTCCTGACCCTTGATGAGATGAGGACAGATGAGGCAAATCGCAGAAAAGGGTCAGGGAGATACCATTTCTGTATGAAGTATCTGAAGACAGCCTGGTGCCTGCCCCAGTCCCAGCCTTGGGGAAATGAAAGTCAAGCTCCCGGAGAGGGCAGTTCCCCTTCTTTTGGGGCTGATGACGGGACAACCTCGTGATGGAGAACCCAGGTTCCCAGTAGATTTACTCCATCCAGGAACGGTGGCCTCATCCATCTGCACAGCTGGGGGCTGTGGAGGAGACGCCATGACTCCCTCCCACAAACCTCTGATCTGTCTTGATAAAATTGAAAGAGGGAGAGGGGAGACTGTAGCCTGGAAGGAATCCCACCTCACAACTTGGTCCTGATTGAATAGAAGACCCCAGAGGTTCACAGAGATCCCAAGGTGGGGAGGATCTGCCCAGGGTTCAGGAGGCGAATCTCTCTCAGGAAGCTCCGTGACCCCCTCTCTAGTGTCACTCCTGTGCCTCAGTGGGATTTGGAGAGGATGCCTTAGATTAGAGGGTATTGTTCAGTGGGATTTGGAGAGGATGCCTTAGATTAGAGGGTATTGTGTCTTTCAGCAACAAAACCGTACAAAAAAACACCTGGACATTTCACATCAGTGGATAAAGCATATCTTGTGCCAAATCAGGACCAAACTGCGGTGAAATTTCGGGTTCACACTACAGTTAATCGCCTTTGAGGAAAGCATTCCAGGTTGGTGCCTATCTCTGCGATAAACGTCTCCCTTCCTGGCTACAGGTAATGGATTAAAGCGACACTGGCCGAACAGACACTGTCTTCACCCGATGATTATACTGAAAAATGGCCATAAAATTGTTCCCTCCAAATCCAATTCCCTTTGTGACAACTCTCAAAAGAAGATATACGAACGGTCCACAAACATATGAAAAACATGTATGTGTATGTGTGTATATACACACACACAGCACGGAATACTACTCAGCCACAAAAAGGGACAAAATAATGGCATTCGCAGCAACCTAGATGCAGTTGGAGACCATTATTCCAAGTGAAGTAATTCAGAAATGGAAAACCAAACATCATATGGTCTCATAAGTGGGAGCTAAACTATGAGGATGCAAAGGCATAAGAAGGATATAATGGAATCTGGGGACTCACAGGGAACAATGGGAGGGGGATGAGCGATAAAAGACTACACATTGGGTGCAGTGTACACTGCTCGGGTGATGAATGCACCAAAATCTCAAAAATCACCACTAAAGAGCTTATCCACGTAACCAAACACCACCTGTTCCCCAAAAGCTATTGAATTTTTTTTAAAAAAATAATAAATTAAAATAAATGTACTACATTAAAAACAACAACAAAATGGCAAAAATCCAATTGCACATAGCAAAATGTTTTCGTGGTCTCTGCACGCTAGAGCATGTAATTGGTCTTTGTTCCTTTCTACTGTTGAAGAATATTCCATTCTATGCCTATATCACATTTGGTTTATGCATTCACCAATTGATGGACATTTGGGTTGTTTTCACTATTTAGCTATCATGAATAATGACAAAAAAAGGACATATATTTGTTTGGGTTTTTTTATTTTTAAAAGGTTACAATTATTTATTTATTTATTTATTTACTGAGACAAAGTTTCACTCTGTCGCCCAGGCTAGAGTGGAGTTGTGAGATCTTGGCTCACTGCAACCAGTTCAAGCAAATTTTTGTGCCTCAGCCTTCTGAGTAGCTGGGATTACAGTTGTGCACCACCACAGGAGGCTATTTTTTTTAATTTTAGTAGAGACAGGGTTTCGCCGTGTAGGCCAGGCTGGTCTCGAACTCCTAGACTCAAGCCTTCCACTCGCCTCAGCCTCCCAAAGTGCTGGGATTAGAGGCGTGAGCCATCACACCATGCCAAAAGGTTATAATCATTTAAATTCGGGTTGCAACTGTATGCTTACAATTCTCTACATTTAGATTTAAAAACATTTTATTGATGGTCAATCTGGAACATAATTAATGCATCTTAATTAAGTTTCCACTGATGTATATAGAAGGCTAAAGGCTGAAGTTTTATTCACCTCTAGTAGAGTAACCAACCATAAAATCATTAGTTACTTTCAACTTCATAACTAATTGACATTTCCCAAATGAGCTGTCTTTAATCCTGATAGTTCTTTAGTTTTAAAAATATATTTGCCATGGGATGCTGATTTGCAATGGGTGTCATAATGAGAATAACCAAAATTGGGTAAACGTGACAAAATATTGACAAAATGTTTCACACCCTTAAATTACACAACGTCAATAATGAGGAGAAAGCATTGCAAAAGGAGACTACTGCAATGCTACTTATATTCTTGCAATAAAACCAGCAAAGCATCCACATCAAGAGAGTTCTCATCTCACTTCCAACTTTTTCCCCTGAAGAACAATTTGAATCTCTTTGGCACCTAAAGTCTCATAGGTCAATAAAGCTTCTGCTAGATTCTTATGCTCCTCTGCATGACTTTTCAAGATAAGTTTTGCTCATTTTTTTTAAGGTTTGCATCATTCTTCTTTATTTTTGACTTGATTTTCCATTCAACATCACCAACAAGTTTTTAGCGAAATGTAATAATTATATAATTAAACATCTTTCATGGATCACCCTATCCATCTCTACTATATAAATTTAAGATTCTAAATGTTTTAAAAATACTTCTTGATTATGGTTATTAATTGTTCACAAGTCCACTGGTAAATATTACTTATTCCTAGACTGAAACAGAGCTAAACGTCAATACTATATCTAGTTTTCATTTGTATAGATACAGGACTGAGAAAATTTGTTCATCTAAATAAATACTATGGATGGGGTAGGAAGGTGTTTTGTTATAACCATGTCATACAATTATTTGAATTTTGAATAAGTTTTGCTCATTTATATGAGTCCCTTAGAATGGTTCTTATTTCATGTTCAATAGCAGATTGAGTTTCTGGACTTAGTTTCCCTGTGTCACTGTAGGTCATAACTCCAAGCTTTTCGCTAATTCCAAATTTGATAACCATCTGCTTTGCCATTTTAGTGGCATTAGCAAAATCACTGGAAGCACCTGTTGTAATATGGTCAATTCCAAATATAAGCTCCTCTGCCACTCTTGCTCCCATACTAATGTCCATTTGTGCAAGCAGCTGGGCTCTGGTTTCATTCCATCTGTCATCACCAGGTAATGGGGACACAGGTCCAAATGTTGGCCCCTGTGGCATGATTGTAGCTTTGTTGATAGACATTTCATCTTTTGTGTAATATGCAATAATGGCATGACCAGATTCATGATAAGTTGTGATGGATTTGTTTTTGTTATCAATTTCTGTACTTCTTCTGTCAGGCCACATTATAATTTTGTCTTTGGAAAACTTCAGTTCCTTCATGGTAACCACTTCTTTTCCATCAACAGCTACAAAAGGACGTGTATTTGGTGTGATTTTATGCACATGAAATATCCAGAATAGACAAAGCCATAGAAACTGAGAGTAGACTAGTGATTTCTTAAGGCTGAGGGAAGGGAAGAACTAGGACTGACTACTTGGGGGTTCTTTCTGAGGTGATGGAAATGCTGTGGGATGAGGTAGGGATGGTGATTGCACAGCATAGTGAAGACACTAAAATCCATTTATTTGTACACTAAAAAATGGTGCATTTCATATGGTGTGAGTTATGTCACATAACTCAGTAAGTAAATAAATAATTCATATCCCGGCTTCTGCCCAGGGTTTGGGGAGCTGGAAAGAGTTTCACTAGCTGGGTGCGGTGGCTCACACCTGTAATCCCAGCATTTTGGGAGGCTGAGGTGGGTGGATTGCCTAAGGTCAGGAGTTTGAGACGAGCCTGGAAAACATAGTGAAACCCTCTCTCTACTAAAAATACAAAAAAAAAGCTGGGCATGGTGGCACATGCCCGTAATCCCAGCTACTGGGGAGGCTGAGGCAGGAGAATCACTTGAACCCAGGAGGCAGAGGTTGTAGTGAGCCAAGAACACGCCATTGCACTCCAGCCTGGGCAACAAAAGCGAAACTCCATCCCTCCCCCTCCCTCCCCCACTCCAAAAAAAGAGCTTCTCTGCAATCCTAACCATGAGTAAAACTCAGATCAACTCCATAATGTAGATTTCACCTGAGACCATCAGAAATCCGAGCTCTGGGAGCAACTGAGTAACCTGAATTCCAAGGAGGAGTAGGATGCCATGACAGGCTCTACAAAGGCAGAACACATGAGGGTGGGAGACTGCCATACAAGCTGGGAAGGAGGAATCAGATGATATTGTCATGAATTCCTCAAGAGTCAGTGTTTGCTGGCCTCCAAGAGGCAAGGATCTCTGGGAACTTAAGACAGAGAAGCACTTCACACTCACCCATGAGCTCTTTTCCGTGGGTCTCAACTGGGCATTCACAACATAGATTGGAAGTAAGGTGGAGACCCAAAATTTGTGATCAGACATGATTACCTTCCACAGTGTGTGGCCTGAAATCTCACCCCCTGCCCAGATACTTCTCCCATGTGTAGAAAAAGACTGAAGTCATTGAGAGAGGTTCAGAAAAACCAGCCAATCTCAGGCCCCAGGTAAAAACCCATTGTGGATATAAGAAGGTAGATTTAAAAGTCCCTCTATCCCTAGGAGTACTGCAGAAAATTCCTGAAACCATAATCCCAGATATACAAATGTCAGGGAAGGGACAGGAAATTCCTGCCCAAGTCAACCAAAGCTACCAAGTACAATCCAGCTGCCAAGGGGAAGAAGGACACAAACACTGAGCAAGCTCCACCCTCAAGGCCCACTCATATAGAAATTGTCCAAGACTGAGGCTGGGTGAGGACAGGAGAAATTTATACTCCCTACCATGAGCCTATCCCTGAGAAGCAAGCAAGAGCAGTCCACAGCTGGGGGAGGCACCAGGTGGAGTACAGAATTGATGCAGTGGAATCCATCCAGCTGTGGGGTCAGCAGGCCCAATGCAAGCAGGAGGGGCCCGTGAATGGGATAGCCATGGAGCAAGAAAGGAGGACATGCATGAACCCAACACCAGTGACTCCCTCTCACCAAGGACCACGTAGCCACCACTGTAGCTGAAAGTCTCACCTGTGACCAGCAGAGAGGTCTGGATGTGATGCCTGGTAGTAACTTGATGCCATGGAACACATTCCACCCACGAGGGGGCAGCAAACCTTCCTTAGTCTGAAGGATGCTTGTGCTGAAAATGGGTTTGACGGAGCTCCTCGCAGGGGTCTGTGAGCACTCAGAATGTCTGACTTGTTTAAACGAAATAACCCATGACTTATTCTCAGAATGGGAATCCAGATGCCCACAAAATCCGTGGAGGGAATGAGAACATGGCCACGTGATATTCTGGGAATGACCTGAGATATGTACTATGCAGTGGTTTGGTTTTACTGGGACTGAAAGAACATTGAAATGGCCTCTTGAAATTGGATGTATTGAACAGTTTGTGAATGAGACTCTGCAGTTTGGGGGTTCTGTTACAGTAGCTGTAAATAAGCATACAGAAAGCTGTAGATGATATACATACAGATATAGCTATAAAGACAATAAATGGACCAGGTGCGGTGGCTCACGCCTGTAATCCCAGCATTTTGGGAGGCCAGGGCAGGTGGATCACCTGAGTTCAGGAGTTCGAGACCAGCCCGATCAACATGGTGAAACGCCATCTCTATTAAAAATACAAAAATTAGCCAGGCGTGGTGCTGCTCGCCTGTAATCCCAGCTACTTGGGAGGCTGAGGCAGGAGAATCGCCTGAACCCGGGAGGCGGAGGTTGCAGTGAGCCAAGATTGCACCATTGCACTCCAGCCTGGGCAACAAGGGCAAAACTCCGTCAAAAAAATAAAAAATAATAAAAAATAAATAAAACAATAAATCATGGTATGTCTTTTGACAGGTAGAATGCATGGGCTTGGGAGTAAAGTGAGAGTTTAATGAACAGCATCTATCACTAACTTTACAGATGACACACTTGGGAGATGTGCACATCCTGTGACTGCACTTTTAGGTGACCCTGGGTTAGAAGATCTGCCTGGTAAGAAACCACTACCAGGGAACAACACAAAAATTACTCTGTACCTAAAATGATGATGTAGCTGGTTTTCCTTGGGTTTCCTCATTACAGTACATCAGCAGGTAAGGAGAAAGATATCATACTGGCCTGGGTAATTTTCTTTAACGATGAGGAGGAGGATTTGGTGAAGAGAGGGTGGTTGGGCAGCTTAGATAATTCACTGTGGCAGTGATGAATTCTCCATAGCTGGAGGTAACCATGACTGGGGTTGGGGTTTGCACTGTGTCTCCAAAAAGGTATGTTGACATCCTAACCTCCCGTAGCTGTGAATATGAACTTATTTGGAAATAGGATCTTTGCAGGTATAATTAGTTAAGATGTGGTCATGCTGGCTTCGGGCAGGATCTAAATCCAATATTGCTCACATCTTTATAAGACATGAAGAAGACACACAGAGAAGAATAGGATGCCATGTGAAGATGGAGGCAGAGATTAGAATGAGAAGTCTGTAAACCAAGGAATGCCAAGAAATGCCAGCAAGGACCAAAGTCTAAGAAAAAGGCACAAAAGTGGCCGGGCGTGGTGGCTCATGCCTGTAATCCCAGCACTTTGGGAGGCCGAGGCGGGCAGATCATGAGGTCAGGAGATCGAGACCATCCTGGCTAACATGGTGAAACCCCGTCTCTACTAAAAATACAAAAAAATTATCCGGGTGTGGGGGCGGGCACCTGTAGTCCCAGCTACTGGGGAGGCTGAGGCAGGAGAATGGCATGAACCCGGGAGGCGGAGCTTGCAGTGAGCCGAGATCGCGCTACTGCAGTCCAGCCTGGGAGACAGAGCGAGATTCCATCTAAAAAAAAAAAAAAGAAAGAAAGAAAGAAGGAAAAAGCACAGAAGTTTCTTCTTCAGAGCCTCTAGAAAGAAGAAATTATATGAACATTTTGATTTTTTATTTCTGGCCTGCAGAACTCTGAGAGAATAAGTTTATCTTCTTTTTATTCAATACTTTGTGATAATTTGTTATATCAGCCTCCAAGAAACTAACACAATGGGCAACTCCCACAAGAAAGCCTGAAACAGGCACAATAATCAGGTGCTCAGATGCCTCAAGGTTGAAATTTATGTTTATTTCATTGGGCCGATAGTTGAGACAAGTAGAGTTTCTCATGCGAACTCTGGCAGAAGGTAAGCAGAACCTAGAGAGGGTGATAGACAGCAAAGCTGGTAAATATAAAGGATGACCTCGGGGTCAATTACAACAGAGAACACTGTACTTCTCCCCATTCACACCCATATGCTTTGTTTGCCTCATTTGTAGATAAATGTGTCCAGTGTGTTGTTGCTTTGGCAGCACAT
This sequence comes from Homo sapiens, assembly GCF_000001405.40. NCBI lineage: Eukaryota > Metazoa > Chordata > Mammalia > Primates > Hominidae > Homo > Homo sapiens. Next base: position 239,004 of record NT_187693.1, on the reverse strand, counting down.
ATACCAAAATCAGAATGATACAGAGAAGATCAGCATGGCAGCTGCACAAGGATATTAACAAATTTCATGAAGCATTTTATATATATATATTTTTTTTTAATGTGTCCAGCAAAGACCTGGAAGAAGTTATAGTGTGAAAAGACATGAACATGAAGTTCATGGGGCTATGAGCAGGGCAAAGTGTGGACTGCAACAGACAGGACAGACCCTGGTGATGCCCCATCGATGTTGCCTGGATCATGTCTTTTTTTTTTTTTTTTTTTTTTTTTTGAGACAGGCAGAGTTTTGCTCTTGTTGCCCAGGCTAGAGTCCAATTTTTGAGATGGAGTCTCACTCCGTCACCAGGCTGGAGTGCAGTGGCGCAATCTCGGCTCACTGCAACCTCCGTCTGCCGGGTTCAACTGATTCTCCTGCCTCAGCCTCCTGAGTAGCTGGGACTACAGGCGTGCACCACCACACTGGGCTAATTTTTGTATAATAGTGTGAGTTAATACTTAATAAACACTCGTATATATATATATATATATACACACACACATATATATATGGTGTATATACATATATATGTATGTGTATATATACACACATATATATACACACACATATATATACACACATGCATATATATACACACATATATGATTTTATATATATATATGTATACACACACACACACCAGGCTAATTTTTGTATAATAGTGTGTTAATACTTAATAAACACCCATATAGATATGGTGTATATACATATATATGTATGGTATATATATGTAGGGTATATATATACACACATATATACACACACATATATACACACAAACATATATGTACACACATATATATACACACACATATATATACACACATATATGTACACACACATATATTTTTTGATATGTGTACATATATATACACCAGATACGATTATATATATATACACACAAACATATATATACACACATATATATACACAGAAACATATATATACACACATATATACACACAAACATATATATACACACACATATATATACACACACATATATACACACACATATATACATACACATATATATACACACAAACATATATACACACACATATATATACACACATATATACACACACATATATACATACACATATATATACACACATATATACATATATTTTTTGATATGTGTATATATACACACATATATATACCCCAGATATGATTTTATATATATACACACATATATATACACACATATATATAAACAAACATATATATACACACACATATATATACACACAAACATATATACACACACATATATACACACACATATACACACACATATATATACACACAAACATATATGCACACACATATATACACACACATATACACACACATATACACACACATATATACACACACATATATACACACACATATATACACACACATATACATATATATTTTTGATATGTGTATATATACACACATATATATACACCAGATACGATTTTACACACACACACACACACACATATATACGCCATTAGTTGTGTCCCTCTAGAGAACCCTAATACACAGCGTGTCACACTAGCGCAGGCACAGGCCATCACTCTTGTGAACACCCAAGGCACCGTTTCCACTTCAGCTCGGTCCCTGAGGGTCAGGATGCATCTGCCACTGGGAAAGGTGGATCGAGTGGCTCTAGGCAGCTTGGCACGACAGGGTAGTATAGAGCAACAGCTCAGCCTGGGGATGGCAGGCCACCAGGCAAGGCTGGCTCAGCAGTGACAATCCCTCAGCAGTGAAAGGATGCTGCGGCTACGTGTCCCCCAGAGATCCAGAAGTAGATCCCATTCCACAATGGCATAGTGCCAGAGCCGTGATGGCCGTGGACAGTGGGGCACAGTGTCAGTCTTTTCTCCTGGGTGAGTGTAGCTGTGTGGAATCTGGGTAGCTCCGTCAGCTGTGCTTAGTGTCTGTGAAAGGGAATCTCCAATGGTGAGATCTACAGGTGTCCAAAGTGTTGATGGAAGCTGCTAGGTCTTTTTCTCAGCTTTTTCCAGCAAGGAGAAGTCCCTCTTTATTCCAAGCTGATCCTGACTGAAGGATGGGGTGATAGAGGTGCAGTGCTACTTTCATTTATTACGTGGCCATCCTGTGATTTTTAATGAAATGGCTAAAATGGCAGACATAGAATTCAGAATCTGGATGCCAAACTAAGATCACTGAGGTTCAGAAGAAAGTTGAAACCCAATCCAAGGGATATAAGGAACCCAGTAAAATGACACCAGAGGTGGAAGATGAAATAGACATTTTAAGAAAGAAAGAAACTGATTTTATAGAGCTGAAAAACTCATTACAAAAATTGCATAATATAATAAAAAGTAGTAACGGCAAAATAGACCAAGGTGAGAAGAAAATCTCAGAGCTCAAAGACTGCTTCTATGGCCAGGCGTGGTGACTCACGCCTGTAATCCCAGCACTTCGGGAAGCTGAGGCGGGCGGATCAACTGAGGTCAGGAGTTCGAGACCAACCTGACCAACATGGTGAAACCCCATCTCTACTAAAAATACAAAATTTGCCGGACGTGGTGGTGCATGCCTGTAATCCCAGTTACTAGGGAGGCTGAGGCAGGAGAATTGCTTGAACCCATGAGGTGGAGGTTGCAGTGAGTCAAGATTGTGCCATTGCACTCCAGCCTGGGCAACAAGAGCGAAACTCCATCTCAGAAAACAAAAATAAAAACAAAATTAAAAAAGACTGCTTCTGTGAATCAACGCAGTCAGACAAAAATAAAAAAAATAGAATTTAAAAGAATGAACAAAACCTCTGAGAATTATGGGATTATGGAAAGAGACAAAACCTATGACCCATTGGCATCCCTGAGTAAGAAAGGAAGCAAGCAACTTGAGAAACATATTTGAGAATATTATCAATAAAAATTTCCCCAACCGCACTAGAGAGCCAACATTCACATTTAGGAAACTCAGAACACCCCAGTGAGATACTATACAACAAAACCATCCACAAACAACATACTCATCAACTTCTCCAAGATCAACGTGAAAGAAAATTATTCATGGCAGCTAGAGAGAATAGGCCAGTCATCCAAAAGACGTACCTCATCAGGCTAACAGTGAACCTTTCAGCATAACCCTAAAAGTCAGAAGATATTAAAGATATTAGGGTATATTTTCAGCATTCTTTTTTTTTTTTTTTTGAGACAGAGTCTCGCTCTGTCACCCAGGCTGGAGTCACCCAAGCAGCGACTGTGTGCTTGGGGAAGGGAGAAGGCAGGACTGAACTCAATGCTGCCCTGTCACACTGGAAAGCCACACTGGGCTGATTGCAACTGATGCCCGTTCATGGAGAAAGCATTTGATGAGCTCTACCCAAAGGGGAACTGCCCAGAAAATCAGTTGGAACTTGAGATTCAGCAAGTCCCACCTGAGACCTCAGGCTAAAGTGCTCTGGGTTTGTTTTTTTGTTTTGTTTTGGTTTTAGATGGAGTCTCGCTCTGTCATCCCAGGCTGGAGTGCAGTGGTGCAATCTCGGCTCACTGCAACCTCTGCCTCCCAGATTCAAGCGATTCTACTGCCTCAGCCTCCCAAGTAGCTGGGACTACAGGCACGTGCCACCATGCCCAGTTAATTTTTGTATTTTTAGTAGAGATGGGATTTGGCCATATTGGCCAGGCTGGTCTCAAACTCCTGACCTCATGATCTGCCCGCCTCAGCCTCCCAAAGTGCTGAGATTACAGGTGTGAGTGACTGCGCCTGGTCTGGGGTCTTAAACAAGCTTGAAAGAGTCTAGGCCACAAGTACTGTGATTCCTGGGAAAATCCTAGTGCTGTGCTGAGTTTGGAGCCAGTGAATTTAGAGAAATCAGCAAACGTAGCTAAGGGTGTACTTGTTTCATCCCTCCCACTACCCAAGGCAGCACAACTTGTAGCAACAAAAGTGATTCCTTCCTTCTGATTGAAGAGAGGAGAGGGAAGAATAAAGAGGACTTTGTCTTTTATCTTGGATACCCACTCAGCCACAGTAAGATAGGGCAACAGGCAGAGTCCTGAGGTCCCCATCCCAGATGCTAGCTCCTGGACAACATTTTTCCACATACCCTAGGCCAGAAGGGAAATTGCTGCCTTGTGGGGAAGGATTTAGTCCTGGCAGAATTCATCACTTGCTAACTGAAGAGCTCTCAGGCCCTGAATAACCAGCAGCAATATACAGGTACTATGTCGTGGGCCTTAGGTGAGACTCTGAGACTTGCTGGCTTCAAGTGAGACTCAGCACCTTCCCAGCCATGTTGACTGTGGGGTGAGAAAAGTGGAAGAAAAAGTAAAAGGGACTTTGTATTGCACCTTAGGTACCAGCTCAACAACAGGGGATAGAGTGCCAAGTAGGCTCTCAGGTCCTCAATTCAAGGACTTTGCTCTTAGAGATCATTTCTGGACCTGCCCTGGGCCTGGGCAGAGCCCAGTGTCATGACGGATGAATAGCAGGCCAGGAAGCCTTCACCACAAGCTGACTGAAGATCCCTTAGGGCTTAAGAGAACACTGGCAGTTCTCCCTGTAAGCCTGTTGTGGCAGTGGTCATGGCATGAGGCTCCTTTGCCTTAAGAAAGGGGAGGGATGAGTAGGAAGGACAGTATCTTGTGGCTTGAGTGCCAGGTCAGCTGCAGTGCAATAGAACGCCGGGTGGACTTCAAGGATTTTATTTATTTATTTATTATTATTATTATTATTATTATTTTGAGATGGAGTTTCACTCTTGTCACCCAGGCTGGAGTGCAATGGCTTGATCTCGCCTCACCGCAACCTCCGCCTCCCGGGTTCAAGCAATTCTCCTGCCTCAGCCTCCTAAGTAGCTGGGATTACAGGCATGCACCACCACGCCCAGCTAATTTTTTTGTATTTTTAGTAGAAACGGGGTTTCTCCATGTTGGTCAGGCTGGTCTCAAACTCCCGACCTCAGGTGATCCGCCCGCCTCAGCCTCCCAAAGTGCTGGGATTACAGGCGTGAGGCACCACGCACGGCGGCGGAATCTGTTAAACACAAAAACGGGAGAGGTGGCCCCATGCTGATCATGGACTTCAGTCAGTGGGCAGAGATATCCCAGCTCCTGTCCACAAGCACGAGCAAGGGTGAACCACAGCTTTTCTTTTCCTTTTTTTTTTTTCTTTTTTTGAGACGGAGTCTCACTCTGTCCCCCAGGCTAGAGTGCAGTGGCGCGATCTCAGCTCACTGCAAGCTCTGCCTCCCAGGTTCACACCATTTTCCTGCCTCAGCCTCCCAAGTAGCCGGGACTACAGGCGCCCGCCACCACGCCCGCTTAATTTTTTCTATTTTTTTTTTTTTAAGTAGAGACGGGTTTTCACCGTGTTAGCCAGGATGGTCTCGATCTCCTGACCTCGTGATCTGCCCATCTCAGCCTCCCAAAGTGCTGGGATTATAGGCGTGAGCCACCGCGCCGGGCCGGGCCACAGCTTTTCATCTTCATCTGGAGCCCCTACCCCCTCCCTTTCCATGAGGACCTGGGGTTCCTCTTCTGTCCCACACAGAAGTGGAAATTTCCTCCCTAATGACCCTGGGACAGTCTTAGACACAAGCAGGCTGTCAGCTTTCAAGTTTGTTCTTTGATGTGCAACCTTCTCAAATTAAAGAACTTTTCATTTCTTTTTCTGCACAAAACTTTCATAATCTACATATTTCGGATGTATAATCTACATATTTCAGATGTGTGTATGTGTGTGTGTGTATATATATATATATATATGTATGTTTTGAGACAGGGTCGTGCTCTCTCACCCAGGCTGGAGTGCAGTGCTATGATCATACCTCACTACAGCCTGGACCACCCAGGCTCAAGCAATCTTCCCACCTCAGTGTCCCAAATAGTTGGGACTGCAGTCGTGCACAAACATACCTGATTATTTCTTCTTTGTTATATGCAGAGACGGGGTCTCACTATGTTCCCCAAGCTGGTCTTGAACTTCTGAGCTCAAGGGATCCTCCATCCTCAGCCTCCCTAGGTGCTCAGATTACAGGGGTGGGCCACCGTGCCGGGAACTTCAAACATAAGGAGCATTTCTTGGTATTTGGAGCAGATGTGGGCTCTTGAGTTGGGGCATCAATCATCCTCCTCTACTACGGAGCTCAATGCCAGGATCCTCTCACACCCCAACCACTCCTGTCTTAATCTGGTCTGGAAATTCACCATGGCCAAGCCCCCTCCCATGTCCCAGGCACCACTGAGCCCCACATCCACTCTGAGAAGCTGAGGTCATGACCACAAGTTCCAAAAGAGAAAGGCTCAAGCAAGCCACTTTGCTGTCCAAGGTCACATAATCGGTGGAATTAGGAAGAAAATTCAGCTCCCCACTCCACCCCATGAATCAGATGACAAACCTGAGTAATTGTTCTGAAAACCTTGAACATGGTTGGAGGCACAGAGGGACGGCCAAGGACAAAGGGGCACTGAGGAGGCAGGAACGACTTAGAGGTTCATTCCCAGCGGAGGGGTTTTGTTGCTCTGCCCTAGCCCTTGGTGAGCTGAGTATAGGTCAGGCCGACAGCGGCTAGGGCTCAGGGAGACCCCATTTCTGTCTGAAATGTCTGCAGAGAGCCTGGAGCTCACCCCAGCCCCATCCCTGGGGAAATGAGAGCCAGGCTCTTGGGGAGGGCAGTTCCCCTTCCTGTGGGGCTTCCGATGGGACAGTCTTGTGACAGGGAGAACCCAGCCTCCAGTCCACACTCTGCGTGTTTTTGTGTCCTGCCAGGCACCGTGGTCTCATCCGCCTGCACAGCTGAGTCCAGTGGGAGCTGACGCCATGACCCTCACCCTCTCAGTCCTGATTTGCCTCGGTGAGGTTTGAAGAGGGGGAAGGAAGGTCCCCGTCTTGGAGGGAGCTCACTCTAAAGCGAGGCTCTGGTCTATCAGAGAATCTGGTCTATCAGAGGCTCCGAGGGAGGAGAGGAACTGCTGGGGCTTCCAGGGGCAAATCCCTCACAGGGAACTCTCTTCCAGGGCTGAGTGTGGGCCCCAGGACCTGCGTGCAGGCAGGTGAGTCTGTCCCCAGCTGTCCCAGGTCCCTTCTTCTCACTGGGGACAAGGGCCCAACCCCGGGCAGCTGGGGGTGGAGATAGCTGTTCTGGGCTGACTGATGGGGACGTCTGGAGGGTCCTGGGGCTGAGAGCTGGAATCTGAGGGATGGGGATGTCTTGGGATCCAGCCTCTGATTCCATTCTAGGCACCCTCCCCAAACCCACCCTCTGGGCTGAGCCAGCCTCTGTGATAGCTCGGGGGAAGCCCGTGACCCTCTGGTGTCAGGGGCCCCTGGAGACTGAGGAGTACCGTCTGGATAAGGAGGGACTCCCATGGGCCCGGAAGAGACAGAACCCACTGGAGCCTGGAGCCAAGGCCAAGTTCCACATTCCATCCACGGTGTATGACAGTGCAGGGCGATACCGCTGCTACTATGAGACCCCTGCAGGCTGGTCAGAGCCCAGTGACCCCCTGGAGCTGGTGGCGACAGGTGAGAGGACACTCAGGGGTCCCAGCCCCAGGCTCTGCCCTCAGGAAGAGGGTCGGCTCTTAGGGACGTCTACCTCTCACAGCCCAGCCCTGGGGATGATGTGGGAGGTCGGAGCCCCACTTAAGACGTGCCTCCTTCTCTGCTAGGATTCTATGCAGAACCCACTCTTTTAGCCCTGCCGAGTCCTGTGGTGGCCTCAGGAGGAAATGTGACCCTCCAGTGTGATACACTGGACGGACTTCTCACGTTTGTTCTTGTTGAGGAAGAACAGAAGCTCCCCAGGACCCTGTACTCACAGAAGCTCCCCAAAGGGCCATCCCAGGCCCTGTTCCCTGTGGGTCCCGTGACCCCCAGCTGCAGGTGGAGGTTCAGATGCTATTACTATTACAGGAAAAACCCTCAGGTGTGGTCGAACCCCAGTGACCTCCTGGAGATTCTGGTCCCAGGTGAAAAAGCCACCACACTTCTTTATATAATTTTGGGGAACCAGATAGGTTGTTGGGAGTTTGGTTGATGACTGATCATGGCAAGGACCCCAGAAGGATGTGTTGATGGATGGGCTGAAGGCGTGAGGAAGACCCCACGGGGAGGCTCAGATGGGGAAACAGGAGCCTGAGTCACCCTCACCTGGAAGGGGTCGACTCAGGAAGGCAATGGGTGTATTTGCTGCAATTTCCTGTCCCTCAATGAGGAGAGGACAGACCAGACAGACAGTGGCCAGGAGTCAGAGAGACACTATCGGTCTGGAACTACTCCAAGACAGACCCAGGTGAGAAGGAGACCCCGGGATCCGAGACACAGAGCGTGAGAGACAGTGAGACCTGCAGGGCCAGGACGCCAGGACGGGAGAAGGAAGGGGCGGGGGAGGAACCAGCCTTCCAAGTCCCAATTCCTCTTTCCCTCCAGGCGTGTCTAGGAAGCCCTCCCTCCTGATCCCGCAGGGCTCTGTCGTGGCCCGCGGAGGCAGCCTGACCCTGCAGTGTCGCTCTGATGTCGGCTATGACATATTCGTTCTGTACAAGGAGGGGGAACATGACCTCGTCCAGGGCTCTGGCCAGCAGCCCCAGGCTGGGCTCTCCCAGGCCAACTTCACCCTGGGCCCTGTGAGCCGCTCCCACGGGGGCCAGTACAGATGCTACGGTGCACACAACCTCTCCCCTAGGTGGTCGGCCCCCAGCGACCCCCTGGACATCCTGATCGCAGGTGAGGAGCCCAGCGGGTTCAGTCAGGGACCCAGGCTCCGCACAGGCCCTGCCGGGGGAATCCAATTAGTGATGGCCGGGATGAGGCGGGGGGGTGGTCCCAAGGGAGGGAGAGACAGACAGAGACAGGGGATGGGTGGGGAGGGGAAGACTCAGAGAAAACAGAGACAGAGGCTCCTAGAGAGGCCTGGGGAGGTCTCAGCTCAGAGCAAGGTGGGGCAGCCCCTCACCCATCCTTCTTCTCTCCAGGACTGATCCCTGACATACCCGCCCTCTCGGTGCAGCCGGGCCCCAAGGTGGCCTCAGGAGAGAACGTGACCCTGCTGTGTCAGTCATGGCATCAGATAGACACTTTCTTTTTGACCAAGGAGGGGGCAGCCCATCCCCCGCTGTGTCTAAAGTCAAAGTACCAGTCTTATAGACACCAGGCTGAATTCTCCATGAGTCCTGTGACCTCAGCCCAGGGTGGAACCTACCGATGCTACAGCGCAATCAGGTCCTACCCCTACCTGCTGTCCAGCCCTAGTTACCCCCAGGAGCTCGTGGTCTCAGGTGAGGGCCCTGACCCTGTCCTGTCCAAGCTCAAAGGCTCAGCTCAGGCCCTGCCCCCAGGAGAGCTCTGGGCTGGGATGGAGTCGCGGTGCGGGGGGGAGGGTTTGAGGGGGGCTCAGCCAGAGGGAGACTCACCCCTCAGAGGGGAGGAGGACAACGGGGGCTCCCCAGGCATGCCCACACTTGGCCCCATCTCCTGGGATGCAAATGGTGAAAGGTGAGCAGAAGAAAGTTTCCAGAGAAGCCACGGGCAGGTGGAGGGACGGGTTTCCTCACTCAGCACCAAAGCGCCTCGCTCCCTTTCTGTGCTTATTCCCAGGACCCTCTGGGGATCCCAGCCTCTCACCTACAGGCTCCACCCCCACACCTGGTGAGTCACTGAGGCCTCTGGGCTCGGAGGGAGCGTGGTCTCCCCCCAGGCAGCCCTGAGTCTCCCCGAGGATCCTATTCCCCTCAAAGACTCAAGCGGGAGCTTCCCTCCAGGGAGCTGGGCAGAGCCAGAGGAGGGGCCACAGGCTCCCCGGGGCTCTGAGGCTGGGCCGGTGAGGGGGCGGGCGTCGAGGCAGAGAGAGATGTTGGGTGTTGGGGCCCAGCCTGGGGGAGGAGCAGCCGGGCTGATGTGGGGAGCAGGGCAGCCCCAGCCCTCACCTCCCCGTCCTGACCCAGCAGGCCCTGAGGACCAGCCCCTCACCCCCACGGGGTTGGATCCCCAGAGTGGTGAGTGAGGGGCTCTGAGTGGGAGGTGGGCGGAGACCAGGGGAGGCAGGGGTGGGTTCTGTCGTAGGTTCAGGCTCCTCTGGAGATGGTGAAGTGCACAAGCCCTTCCCCTGCCTGGGCCTCAGTTTCTCCAAGTGTAAAGGAGAGAGGCCTGCATTGATGGGATTCTTCAGGGGACTGTCCTGTCCCACCGGCAGCAGTGACAGTGACCTGGGGCAGGGGAGGGGAGCAGGGCCGTGGTTTGGGGCATTCAGGCTCTTTCCCTGCAGCTCCGGGGCTCCGCTCAGGTGCAGAGAACAAGGGCTGCGGGTCAGACTCCTGGGTTCACTTCCCAGCTCTGCCGCATCCCACCGTGGGCCCAGGCAGGTCAACTTTCTACTCTGACTCAGTTTCAGCAGCTGTAAACTGGCTCAGTCCCATCCAGCTCACAGAACTGCTGCGAGGCGTAAGCAAAATCATGGGACCTGGCCCTGTACACAGCTCGGCAGGGGCACCGTCCTCCTGCTACCCTCAGCCCTTCCCAGATACACACAGAGCCCCTATCCAGACAGGTTCTGCATGGGAGTATGGGAACTTGGCAGAGTGGGAAACGGACCTGGCTGAGCTGGGAGTGAGAGCAATGCAGGGTCCGTCCTGCACAACCCACTCCCTCTCCCAGGCCCTGCTGTGCTGGGGAAGGGAGGATCCTAAGAAGGACACCAGCCCCAGATGGAGACACTAGGACAGGCCCCTCCTGTCAAATAGGAAACAGGTGTGCACCTGGTGGGGCAGCAGGAGGACAGCTGGGGAAAACACAAAGTCCCTGGTTCCCTTCCCAGACCTGCTTCTTCCAGGCTGAGGAGCCTGGGGCAGGCGATTCCCCTCTCTGAGCCTCAGTTTGCTCCTCTGTGAATTGGGGGGTTGGCAATCCCATGTTGCACAACTGCTGTGAGGGTTGGAGCTCATGAAGGAAAGACCTAGCTCGCGCCTGCACACAGAAGGTGCTCACATCAATGACGTCATCCCCATTCCCAACGTCATCACGCTCAAGGTCTGGGAAGGCACCTGGGGGTTGTGACTGGGGTCTCAGTGGCCTTCGTCCTGCTGCTGTTCCTCCTCCTCTTCCTCCTCCTCCGACATCGGCATCAGAGCAAACACAGGACATCGGGTGAGTAGGGAATGGGGGAACCCGTGGGCCGACCGAGGGTGGGCTCGGGGCACCAGCCAGAGGGAAACCAAACACAGAGGAAAGTCAGCTTAGAAAAACTGCTCCAGAAATTCCCAGGTGAAAAATCGATCGAGAAAGAAGAGAATAAATGTGAGCATGTGTGGAAGTGCTTGATTCTTCTGATTTTACTTTAAACTTACGACGTATTTAAAGCCTCAGTGCCAGTGGGCCTCCAGGTTTCCTTCTTTCCGCTCGAGTTGTGTGTGCAGGGCAGCTGGTTCGAATTCTCCCAGGCCTGACCCTCTGTCCATCTCTGTCCAGCCCATTTCTACCGTCCTGCAGGGGCTGCGGGGCCAGAGCCCAAGGACCAGGGCCTGCAGAAGAGGTAATTCTGCATGAAGACCCAAGACTCCCATCCACCCGCACAGCCCTCTCACTGCCCCTCACACTCCCGTGTCCTCCCCCAGGGCCAGCCCAGTTGCTGACATCCAGGAGGAAATTCTCAGTGAGTGACTAGAAGCGGAGGGCACCTGGGGTGGGCAAGGGAGCACCAAAGTTTCTGTAGCAATGGGGGCAGGAGCACAGGCTGGGAGGGGTCTGGGGCCAAGGGGGAGGTGGTCTGAACCCACACTGTGGGACCTCAGGGACATCACAGTCCCTCCCTGGATCTCAGCCACCCTAGTGGGAACAGGGCAAGGGCTGGCAGGACTGAGAAGTCTCAGAGAACCTTCCCAGGAGACGAACCCCTTGCTCTGGCCCAGCAGATGCTGCCGTGAAGGACACACAGCCCAAGGACGGGGTGGAGATGGATGCTCGGGTGAGGCCCCGCCCCTGTCCCGGGCACCAAAGGCCTCCTGGTGCCAGATCTAATCCTGCAGGACTTCTCTGTCCTCCTTCCCCCGGCTCTCAGCATCGTCACGGTGGACCCCTCCTTGTCCAGCACGCTGCCTCCCGCCTGCTGCGACCTCACTCTCTTCTGCTGTCCTGGGACCTCGTGGGCCTCCTCCCGGGTCCCCTTCCTGCTCCTCATCCTCTGTTTGGCCGTCTGGTTGTTAGAGCGCTCCCCAGGCCTCAGGAGGATGAGGAATAAATGAACCACCCCGGTCCCCCAGGCTCCCCTTCATTCATTCAACCAGCGAGTGTTCCCAGGGAGCTCACTGTGGATGGGGCTCCCCATGGGAGCTGCAGACACAGCAGGGAGCAAAGCCGCCCCCGCCTCCTGAGCTCACCTCATGGTGGGAGACAAAATGCAAATAAATGCATCGTGTCCAGGAGTGCAACGTGCTGTAAGGAACATAAACCAGGGAAAGGGCAGAGAGTGTGGGGCAGTGGGGCCAGTCTGAATGGAAGGGGAGGGCTGTCTGCTCAGCTGTCATCTGAGAAGCCTGGACAGAGTGGGGCACACGATCCTCTGATGGACGAGCCCCTGCAGGCAGAGGAAACAGCCGTGCAAAGGCCCCCAGGCAGCAGCGAGCTCTTGCAGGAAGGCCTGTGAGGCTGCAGCCAAATGGGCAAGGTCAGAGTGAGGAGCAGAGGCCAGAACCACAGGGAGGGAGCGGCCAGACCCTCCACGGCCTTAGGGCGTCCCTGAGATTCCATCAGGAAAGGGATGTAATCGGATCACCCCGGGAACAGTGAGGAAAATTGACTCCAGGAGGTCAGGGGGACTCAAGGACACCCCCCACCACTGTCTCTCTCCAGCAGAGCCCACACGATGAAGACCCCCAGGCAGTGACGTATGCCGAGGTGAAACACTCCAGACCTAGGAGAGAAATGGCCTCTCCTCCCTCCCCACTGTCTGGGGAATTCCTGGACACAAAGGACAGACAGGCAGAAGAGGACAGACAGATGGACACTGAGAGAGTCCTTTCCTCTCCAGGCCCCCAGGCCTCCCCACCCCCACCACGTTCCTTACCTCTCACTCTCCCCCGCTGCAGGCTGCTGCATCTGAAGCCCCCCAGGATGTGACCTACGCCCAGCTACACAGCTTGACCCTCAGACGGGAGGCAACTGAGCCTCCTCCATCCCAGGAAAGGGAACCTCCAGCTGAACCCAGCATCTACGCCCCCCTGGCCATCCACTAGCCCACGGGGGACCCAGATCTCATACTCAACAGAAGGAGACTCAGAGACTCCAGAAGGCACAGGAGCTGCCCCCAGTGGACACCAATGAACCCCAGCCAGCCTGGACCCCTAACAAAGACCACCAGGACATCCTGGGAACTCTGGGACTCACTAGATTCTGCAGTCAAAGATGACTAATATCCTTGCATTTTTGAAATGAAGCCACAGACTTCTCAATAAATCAATGAGCTGAGAAAACTGAAACAGAAATTAGAGCATGGTATAAATTTGGAATGATAATGTAAATATTACACATTAAATGATGAAATCGGAAAACTACAAATGAGCGAATGAATTAGAAAAGAATAAAACCTACGTAATTAATGACCTTGGCAATGACAGAAAGAATTTAGAAAAAGAACAACAAATTATTCCAAATGAAGGTGTGAGGAAGGGGACAAAAATAACAAGAGGAGTTACTAATGAGGGCTACGTGAAAACTCGATGAAGCCAAAAAAGCTCATTCTTGAGAATGTGAATTACATTCACAAATCCTAGCCACAATAAGCAAGGAAAAAAGCGGGGTTCAGGCACACATTTCCATATGGGGGTGAAACAGCAGACACCACCACAAATCTGACACATATTGCCTTTATTTTTTTCACTTTTAAGTTCAGGGATACATGTGCAGGTTTGTTAGACAGATAAACTTGTGTCAAGGGGATTTGTCTTGGTTTTTGTGTGAGGGTTTTTGTTTTGTTTTGTTTTGTTTTGTTTTTTGAGACGGAGTCTCGCTCTATCACCCAGGCTGGAGTACAGTGGAGTGATCTCGGCTCACTGCAACCTCTGCCTCCCGGGTTCAAGCGATTCTCCTGCCTCAGTCTCCCGAGTAACTGGGACTACAGGCACCTGCCACCACGCCCGGCTAATTTTTGTATTTTTAGTAGAGACAGGGTTTCTCCATGTTGGTCAGGCTGGTCTCAAACTCCCGACCTCAGGTGATCCGCCCGCCTCAGCCTCCCAAAGTGCTGGGCTTACAGGCGTGAGCCACCACGTCCAGCCCATACATTTCAATTTTAAAGGGATGCGCCCTAGTCCTTAGTTAGTCTCTCCTCATCTCTATAAAATGTTCAGCTACTCACCTCTTGGGCTATTGCTAGACATCGTTTTCTCTTCCTTCTTTCTGACGCCTACAATAGATAGGACATTCCCCCTCCTCATTCTATTCTCCCAAGTACTTTAAATTGCAATTTATAAAGTTTCTATGCTACACTCTAAAAAAAATTCTGTTTTGTTTTCTAATTTCATAATTGGTGCTTCACTGTGTCTTGTCCTCGAAGGAATGAGTATTTTGATTGTGTTCATTAAATCTGATTTTTCTATGTCTTCTAATTATTTTATATAATATTCATTCTGCTGTAGAAAAAAAAATCATATAATCCTGCCTCAGAAATTCAATGTCCTCTGTATTTCTCAAATATTTAAACATGTTTAACCTAAGATGGGTCTCACACATTCCTAGTACTCCTTTTGACCATGATAATCCTCATTAGTGAGTGTGGATTGTCAACCATAGCACTTTGTGTTTGATTTTTTGGTTTGTTTTTTGTTTTTATTTATTTATTTATTTATTTTTTGAGACGGAGTCTCACTCTGTCACCCAGGCTAGAGTGCAGTGGCGTGATCTCAGCTCACTGCAACCTCTGTCTCCTGAGTTCAAGCAACTCTCCTACCTTAGCCTCCCGAGTAGCTGGGACTACAGGTGCCCGCCACCACAACCAGCTAATCTTTTTTTTTTTTTTTTTTGTATTTTTAGTAGAGATGGGGTTTCACCGTGTGGCCAGGATGGTCTCGATCTCTTGACCTCATGATCTGCCTGCCTCGGCCTCCCAAAGTGCTGGGATTACAGGCGTGAGCCACCACGCCCAGCCTGTGTTTGTTTTTGAGACAGGGTCTTGCTCTGTCACCCAGGCTAAAGTGCAGTGGCGCACCACCCCAGTTCACTGCAACCTCCGCCTGCCAGACTCAAGCGATCTTCGACCTCAGACTCCTAAGTAGCTGGAACTACAGGTGTGCACCACCACACCCAGTTCATTTTTGTCTTTTTAGTAGAGATGGGGTTTCACCATGTTGCCCAGGCTGGTCTCGAACTCCTGGGCTCCAGCGATCTGCCCACCTCGGCCTCCCAGAGCGCTGGGAAAATAGGCGTGAGCCATCGCAGGCAGCCAGTCATAGCACTTTTTATCATTAGGATGATTCCTCTTTCTTCTCATTCTTGGACACTCATCTCCCAGTGCCTCATCTGCCAGAGAGGGTTTCTACCAGGGCTGCACTGGGCGTTAGGCTTGAAAAGAGGAGGACGGCACCACCTGCCCGGGTCTTGTGAGTCTGCTCAGGCCTGTAACCAGCAGGGGAGGGTCCAGTGTGAACCTCATGTCTGACAACTCTACAATGAATCTATTTCACACACACAGAGGGGGAGGCTCAGGGCTGACCATAAACCTGAGTCAATGAGCAGAGATACCCCAGTGCCATCCACAAACACAGGGGACGAGGAGCCACAACTTCCCACTTTCACCCAAAACCCCAACCCCTCCCTGACTGTGAGGGCCCTGGGGTTCTCCTCTGTCTCATATAGAGGCGGAAACCTCCCTTTTAGTGATTCCCTGACATTGCAAGTCACCAGAAGCCAACTCAGCTCTGACCTCGCTGCTTCCTGAGGTTTCCTGCCTGTGTCAGGAAGTTTCATTTCTCATTTCCTTCTATGGCTGCGTATTTCAGAAACATGTATTAGTCAGGGTTCTCTAGAGGGGCAGAACTAACAGGATAGATGTATATATAAAGGGGAGTTTATTAAGGAGTATTGATCCACACGATCACAAGGTGAGGTCCCACAATAGACTGTCTGTAAGCTGAGGAGCAAGGAAGCTAGTCCGAGTACCAAAACCTCAGAAGCCGAGAAGCCGACAGTGCAGCCCTTCAGTCTGTGGTCAAAGGCTCTGCATGGGAAGGTCAGGGATTGGCAGAGTAGGAGATGGACCTGGCTGGGCTGGGGGTGAGAGCAATGCAGGGTCCGTCCTGTACAGCCCACTCCCTCCCCCAGGCCCTGCTGTGCTGGGGAAGGGAGGGTTGTAAGGAGGACACAGCCCCAGATGGAGACACTAAGACAGGCCCCTGCTGTCAGATGAGAAGACCCAGAGCAGGAAGCAGGTGTCCACCTGGTGGGGCAGCAGGAGGACAGCTGGGGAAAACACAAGGTCCCAGGTTCCCCTCCCAGACCTGCTTCTTCCAGGCTGGGGGGCCTGGGGCAGGCGATTCCCCCCTCTGAGCCTCAGTTTGTGCATCTGTGAAATGGGTTGGGGGGTTGGCAATCCCACGTTGCACGACTGCTGTGAGGGTTAGAGCTCATGAAGACCCAGCACGCGCCTGCACACAGTAGGTGCTCACATCAGCGATGTCATCCTCATTCCCGACGTCATCACGCGCAAGGTCTGGGAAGATACCTGGGGGTTGTAACCGGGGTCTCAGTGGCCTTTGTCCTGCCGCTCGTCCTCCTCCTCCAATGTCGGCGTCAGAGCAAACACAGGACATTGGGTGAGCAGGGAATGGGGGAACCTGTGGGCCCACCGAGGGTGGGATCAGGGCACCAACCAAAGGGGAACCAAACACACAAGAAAGTCAGCTTAGAAAAACAGCTCCAGAAAGTCCCAGCTGAAAAATCTAGAAAGAAGAGAATAAATATGAGTGTATGTGCAAGTAATTTATTCTTTGAGCTTTTTATTTTATTTTATTTGAGACGTGATCTGGCTCTGTCACCCAGGCTGGAGTGCAGTGGTGTGATCTCGGCTCGCTGCAACCTCCACCTCCCAAGATCCTCAATGATCCTCCTACCTCAGCCTCCTGAGTAGCTGGGACTACAGGCCCCTATCACCACGCCAGGCTAATTATTTTTTTGCGGGGGAGAGATGGGGGGTCTCACTATGTTGCCGAGGCTGGTCTCAAACTCCTGAGTTCAAGCAATCCACCCGCCTCAGCCTCCCAAAGTGCTGGGATTATAGGCATGAGCCATTCGGCCCAACGTCTTCGGGCCTTTTTAAGTGTATCCAGTATTTAAAACAACTATGCCTGTAATCGCAGTACTTTGGAAGGCTGAGGCAGGTGGATGGCTTGAGCCCAGGAGTTTCAGAGGACTCTGGGCAATGTGGTGAGACCCCATCTCTACAAAAAAAATTAAAAATGCAAATAAGCCAGGTTTGGTGGTGTGCACCCGTGGTCCCAGCTACTCAAGACGCTGAGGCAGGAGGATCACTTGACCCTATGAGGTCAAGGCTGCAGTGAGCTGGGATCGCACCACTGTGCTCCAGCCTGGGCGACAGAGCGAGACCTTGTCTCAAAAAAAAAATATATATATATATATATATATATATATATATATATATGGGTGTGTTTTCAAGTTTCATTTTTTCCCCTAAAGTCGCATGTACTGGGTGGGTGGTTCTAAGGTTCCCAGGGCTGAGACTTTGTCCTTCTTCACCTAGCCCAGAGAGAGGCTGATTTCCAACACCCTGCAGGGGCCGTGGGACCAGAGCCCAAGAACAGGGGTCTGCTGAGGAGGTAATTCTGCCCAAAGACCCCAGACTCCCACACTCCACCACACCACACTCTCGTGTCCTCCCCCAGGTCCAGCCCAGCTGCTGACATCCAAGAAGAAAACCTCAGTGAGTAAGAGGAAGAGGGGGTGCACCTGGGGTGCAGATGGGGACCCTGCAGTTTCACTAGTAACAGGAAGGGGCTGGGAAGGGTCTGGGGCTCAGGGGAACATGGTTCACTTCATACTGTGGAACCTCAGGGACATCACACCCGCTCCCTAGATCTCAGCAGTCCCACTGGGAGCAGGACAGGGGGAGGTGGTACTGAGAGGTCCCAGGGAAACTTACCAGGAGACGAACCCCTTGCTTTGCCCCAGCAGACCCTGCTGCGAATTTTTTTTTTTTTTTTTTTTGAGATGGAGTCTCGCTCTGTCACCCAGGCTGGAGTGCAGTGGCGCGATCTCGGCTCACTGCAAGCTCCGCCTCCCGGGTTCATGCCATTCTCCTGCCTCAGCCTCCCGAGCAGCTGGGACTACAGGTGCCCGCCACCACGCCCGGCTAATTTTTTGTATTTTTAGTAGAGACGGTTTTCACCGTGTTAGCCAGGATGGTCTCGATCTCCTGACCTCGTGATCCGCCCGCCTCGGCCTCCCAAAGTGCTGGGATTACAGGCGTGAGCCACCATGTCCCGCCTGAAAGTGAGACTTTTAACAGGGTCTTGCAAAATTGGATGTCTGCTAGGTAGGCATAGCCGGGGCAGTCACAGCAGGTAATTTATCTCTTGGCACTCAACTATCCCTTCCCCAGTTCCTCACTGGTCGAGTACTATGAGGTTACAATCTTCCCAGACTTCGCCTGAGTTTCATTATCCCCCTTATAAGGTTGTACCCCGTCCCCTTCCCCGCTTAAGTTGCGATTTCCCAATAACAAAATTTTTTTCCCTTTTATGGGCTGACCGCCTCCTCCCCCACAACCCCCCGCCATTCTGTTCACTTATTGTGATTTGCTAGGAGCATGAGCCGTGCGGTTTGTTACATCCGCAGACTGGCTGCCAATACTTGGATATCATGACTTGAAAATGGACCCTTTAAAATGTGTTCTCACAAATTCCCTCCTCTTTTTTATTTACTTCCTTTGGTCTCATTTTCATTTGAACCCTTCTGGTGCTTGAATCGCTTTAGAAGTTGTTTACTTTCTTTTTTTCTTTTTCTTTTTCTTTTTTTTTTTTTTTTTTTTTGAGACAGAGTCTTGCTGTGTGGCCCAGGCTGGAGTGCAGTGGTGCCATCTCAGCTCACTGCAATGTCCGCCTCCTGGGTTCCAGCGATTCTCCTGCCTCAGCCTCCCGAGTAGCTGGGATTACAGGCGTGCACCACCATACCCAGCTAATTGTTTTTGTATTTTTAGGAGAGATAGGGTTTCACCATATTGGCCACGCTGGTCTCAAACTCCTGACCTCAGGTCATCCGCCCACCTCGGCCTCCCAAAGTGCTGGGATTACAGGCATGAGCTACCACGCCCGGTCAAATTTTTCACTTTATGGCTACATAGTAGGTGTATATATTTATTAAATTACTTTTCGATGGTATTAATTCAATTTACTATTTTTCACCTTCACGACGTCTGTCTAATGCATTTCAACAACTGTCTGTGTTTTCCTCACGTATCTTGGTTGTCATTCCTGTGGGACAGCTCCTCCCACGCACCCGGCCTTTCATAAAGGGTTTCTCCCACGGCTGTCCAGGCATCAGCCTGATGAAGGGGATTGTTGCCGCTGCTCCTGCCCCACTCCCCCAAACTCAGTGTCAGCTCAAGATTGTGCCCAGCAGGGATGGGACCAACGCCAGCCTCACACTCACCTGTGGGGCAGACGCCCATGTCTGACCACCGTGGATTGAATCTGTTTCTCACACACAGGGGAGGGGCTGAGCGCTGACCGTGGCCTCCAGTGAGTGAGCAGAGACCCCCCAGCGCCTGTCCACACACACAGGGGAGGGGGAGCCACCGCTTCCAGCCTCACCCAGAGCCCTGACCCCTCCCTGCCTGGGAGGACGTGGGGTTCCTCTTCTGTCCCACATGGAGGTGGGAGCCTCCTCCTCCCTAATGACGCTCGGTGGTCCCAGACACCTGTGGCCACTCAGCATTGAACTCTGCTCATGGAAGGGGATGCGTCTCAATGTGAGGAACTGTTTTTCCTCTTTCTCTGCCTGTGGCTGTGATGATCTGCATATTTCAGACGTATCACAAGGAGAATTTCATGGTATTTGGAGCCGATGTGGGCTCTTGAGTGGGGGCGTCAATCATCCTCCTCGACTGTGAAGCCCAGCACCAGGATCCTCTCCCGTCCCCACCCTCCTGTCTGAACTGGTCTGGAAATTCACCATGGCTGAGCCTCCCATGTCCTGGGCACCACTGACCCCCACAGCCACTGTGATGAGTGGGGTTCATGACAGCAGGCTCAGAGGTGACATTCATGTCCAAAGTCACATAAACCCTAGATGATAATCAGGAATTAAATACAAATCAGCTCACCTTCCCCAGAATCAGATTATAGATTACAATGAAACATATATATATATATTTCTCTTTATCCCCTCTATTTCTCCTTTTTAGACAGGATCTTGCTCTGTCGCCCAGGCTGGAAGGCCAAGGGGTGATCATAGCTCCCTGAAGCCTCCGCCTCCCGGGCCCAAGTGATCCTCCCACCTCAGCCTCCTGAGTAGCTGGGACCACAGGCATGAGCCTCCATGCCCAGCTCACTTTTTTCTTTTCTGTAGAAACAGGGTCACAGTCTGTTTCCCAGGACTGTCTGAAGCTCCTGGCCTCAAGCCATCACCCGCCACAGCCTCCTGAAGTACTGGGATTCCAGGCATGAGCCACCACGGTAGACCCTGCATTTCTCTGTGCTCACTGCTACACGCAGCTCAGCCTGGACTACACAGCCAGGTGTCAGGTGCGTCTCTGCTGATCTGAGTCTGCCTGCAGCATGGACCTGGGTCTTCCCTGAAGCATCTCCAGGGCTGGAGAGACGACTGCCATGGTAAGGACCCCGTAACGCTGAACTGATGGACGAGCTGAAGGAGGGAGGGAGACCCCATGGGGAGGCTCTGAGAGGGAGGAGGAGCCCACGGTCACCCTCGCCTGAAAGGGGCTGACTCAGGAAGGCACCAGGTCTATTTGCGGCTGT
Source organism: Homo sapiens (assembly GCF_000001405.40). NCBI lineage: Eukaryota > Metazoa > Chordata > Mammalia > Primates > Hominidae > Homo > Homo sapiens. The sequence goes on along the minus strand of NT_187693.1, from coordinate 218,011 downwards.
GTCCCCGTCCTCAGTGAGATAAAGATAAATCAGGCAGACAGTGGCCCGGGGGCAGGGAGACCCCATTTCTCTCTGAAATGCCTGCAGAGAGCCTGGTGCCTGCCCCCACTTCAGCCCTGGGGAAATCAGAGCCAGGTTCCTGGGGTGGCAGTTCCTCTTCCTGTGGGCTGAGGATGAGACAACCCCATGACAAGAAGGACCCAGCCTCCGAGCGGCCACACCCTGTGTGTCTCTCTGTCCTGCCAGCACTGAGGGCTCATCCCTCTGCAGAGCGCGGGGTCACCGGAAGGAGACGCCATGACGCCCGCCCTCACAGCCCTGCTCTGCCTTGGTGAGATTTCAAGATGGGGAGGGGGAGATCCGAGTCTTGGAGGAACCCCACCCCACACACAAGCCCTGGTCCATCAGGAGACCTCAAAAGCTCAGGAGGCACCCGGGCGGGGACCTGCTCAGGCTTCAGGGCAAATGCCTCACAGGGAACTCTCTTCCAGGGCTGAGTCTGGGCCCCAGGACCCGCGTGCAGGCAGGTGAGTCTGTCCCCAGCTGTCCCAGGTCCCTACTCCTCACTGGGACAGGGGGCCACCCATGGGCAGCTGGGGGAGGAGACAGTAGTTCTGGGTGACTGATGGGGATGATGGGGAAGTCCTGGGGCTGGGAGCTGGGATCTGAGCGTGGGGATGTCTTGGGATCCAGCCTCTGATTTCCATCTAGGGCCCTTCCCCAAACCCACCCTCTGGGCTGAGCCAGGCTCTGTGATCAGCTGGGGGAGCCCCGTGACCATCTGGTGTCAGGGGAGCCTGGAGGCCCAGGAGTACCAACTGGATAAAGAGGGAAGCCCAGAGCCCTTGGACAGAAATAACCCACTGGAACCCAAGAACAAGGCCAGATTCTCCATCCCATCCATGACACAGCACCATGCAGGGAGATACCGCTGCCACTATTACAGCTCTGCAGGCTGGTCAGAGCCCAGCGACCCCCTGGAGCTGGTGATGACAGGTGAGAGGACACTCTGGGGTCCCAGCCCCAGGCTCTGCCCTCAGGAAGGGGGTCGGCTCTCAGGGGCGTCTCCCTCTCACAGCCCAGCCCTGGGGATGATGTGGGAGGTGGGAGCCCCATTTAACACGGTGCCTCTTTCTCTCCTAGGATTCTACAACAAACCCACCCTCTCAGCCCTGCCCAGCCCTGTGGTGGCCTCAGGGGGGAATATGACCCTCCGATGTGGCTCACAGAAGGGATATCACCATTTTGTTCTGATGAAGGAAGGAGAACACCAGCTCCCCCGGACCCTGGACTCACAGCAGCTCCACAGTGGGGGGTTCCAGGCCCTGTTCCCTGTGGGCCCCGTGACCCCCAGCCACAGGTGGAGGTTCACATGCTATTACTATTATACAAACACCCCCCGGGTGTGGTCCCACCCCAGTGACCCCCTGGAGATTCTGCCCTCAGGTGAGGGAGCCACGGCCTTGTCTAACACACTTTCGGGGCAGCTGACAGGTTGTGGGGAGTTTGGCTGGTGACTGAATCTGGAAAGGACCCAGAGTGATGTGTTGAAGGACGGGCTGAAGGCATGAGGGAGACCCCATGGGGAGGCTCTGACATGGGAGGAGGAGCCCTTGACCACGTTCACCTGGAAGGGGAGGACTCAGGAAGGCATCGGTGTGTTTGCTGTGAGGTCCCAGCTCTCAGGGAGAGGAGGAAAGATCAGGCACAGTGGCCAGGGCTAGGGAGACCCCACTCCTCTGAAATGACTCCAAGACAGCCCCGGGTGAGAAGGAGGCCCTGGGGTCAGAGACTCAGAGCGTGAGAGACAGTGAGACCTGCAGGGCCAGGACGGGAGAAGGAAGGGGCGTGGGAGGAACCAGCCCTCTCAGTCCTGGCTCCTCTTTCCCTCCAGGCGTGTCTAGGAAGCCCTCCCTCCTGACCCTGCAGGGCCCTGTCCTGGCCCCTGGGCAGAGCCTGACCCTCCAGTGTGGCTCTGATGTCGGCTACGACAGATTTGTTCTGTATAAGGAGGGGGAACGTGACTTCCTCCAGCGCCCTGGCCAGCAGCCCCAGGCTGGGCTCTCCCAGGCCAACTTCACCCTGGGCCCTGTGAGCCCCTCCCACGGGGGCCAGTACAGGTGCTATGGTGCACACAACCTCTCCTCCGAGTGGTCGGCCCCCAGCGACCCCCTGAACATCCTGATGGCAGGTGAGGAGCCCAGCGGGTTCAGTCAGGGACCCAGGCTCTGCACAGGCCCTGCCGGGGGAGCCCAGGTGGTGATGGCCGGGATGAGGGGTGGGGGTCCCAAGGGAGGGAGAGACAGACAGAGACAGGGGATGGGCGGGGAGGCGAGACTCAGAGAAAACAGGGACAGAGACACTGAGGGTCCCAGGGAGAGGCCTGGGGAGGTGTCAGCTCAGAGCAAGGTGGGGCAGCCCCTCACCCATCCTTCTTCTCTCCAGGACAGATCTATGACACCGTCTCCCTGTCAGCACAGCCGGGCCCCACAGTGGCCTCAGGAGAGAACGTGACCCTGCTGTGTCAGTCACGGGGTTATTTTGACACTTTCCTTCTGACCAAAGAAGGGGCAGCCCATCCCCCACTGCGTCTGAGATCAATGTACGGAGCTCATAAGTACCAGGCTGAATTCCCCATGAGTCCTGTGACCTCAGCCCACGCGGGGACCTACAGGTGCTACGGCTCATACAGCTCCAACCCCCACCTGCTGTCTTTCCCCAGTGAGCCCCTGGAACTCATGGTCTCAGGTGAGGGCGCTGACCCCGTCCTCTCTGAGCTCAAAGGCTCAGCTCAGGCCCAGGCCCCCAGGAGAGCTCTCGGCTGGGATGGACCGAGGGAGGCTGTGAGGGAGGCTTAGCCAGAGGGCACCCAGCCCTCAGAGGGGAGGAGGCCAACAGGGGTTCTCCTAGGCGTGGCCACCCGTTCTCCCCTGCCTGGCATGCAGAAGGCACCAGGTGGGCAGAGAGATGGTTCCAGGGAATCCACTGGGCGGAAGCAGGAGAGTGGGAGTGGAAGGGTGCACTCCATGGACGGCCCCCGCCCCTCACCCGCCTCCCGTGCTCCTTCCAGGACACTCTGGAGGCTCCAGCCTCCCACCCACAGGGCCGCCCTCCACACCTGGTGAGTCACTGAGGCCTCGTGGGGAGCGCGGCCTCCCCCAGGGCAGTCTGAGTCTCCCAAAGGATCCCACTCCCCTCCCCTCAAGGACGGGCTTGTGTCCCAGGGGCTCTGAGGCTGGGCTGGTGAAGAGTGGGGGGTTCAAGGCAGAGAGAGATGTTGGGGCCCAGCCAGGAGGAGGAGCCGGGCTGATGTGGGGAGCAAGGTAGCCCCAGGCTTCACCTCCCTGTCCTGACCCAGGAGGTCCTGAGGACCAGCCCCTCAACCCCCCAGGGTCAGGCCAGTGACTCCCTGGAGCTCGTGGTCTCAGGTGAGGGCCCTGACCCTGTCCTCTCTGAGCTCAAATGCTCAGCTCAGGCTCTGCACCCAGGAGAGCTCTGGGACACTAGGAAAGAAGGGAGTGAAGGTGGAGAATCCAGCCCATGGGAGGGAGGAAATGGCTCAGGAGCAGCGTTGAAATTCATAGAACACAGGAAAACTGAAATAGTTTCATGAGGAGACTGGAGGGAGCCCTGCTGCAGGAGAGGGAGGGTTTATTGAGGAACTCCGTAAAAGCCACGTCGTGAGGCCTGGAAGAATAAGAACGCAGAGCCCAGGGGAGAGGCTGGCTCAGGGCTCTCCCCTTCTGTTTTGATTCTCAGGAGGAGCTGAGACCCTCACCCCATCACAAAACAAGTCAGACAGTTATGGGGCGGGCACAGAGGGTCAGGTTCTGTCAATGGCGGATGGGGGGTGCCCTGGGTTGGGCATCCAGGGGTCCTGGGTGAAGTTGATCTGCCCGGACCTCTGTGACCTCTTTGCCCACCATCCCCAGCCTCACACGCCAAGGATTACACAGTGGAGAATCTCATCCGCATGGGCATGGCAGGCTTGGTCCTGGTGTTCCTCGGGATTCTGTTATTTGAGGCTCAGCACAGCCAGAGAAACCCCCAAGATGCAGCCGGGAGGTGAACAGCGGAGAGGACAATGCACCCTTCAGCGTGGTGGAGCCTCAGGGACAGATCTGATGATCCCAGAAGGCTCTGGAGGACAATCTAGGACCTCCAGAGGGGGGTGAGATTTCAGGCCACACACTGTGGAAGGTAATCATGTCTGATCACAAATTTTGGGTCTCCACCTTACTTCCAATCTATGTTGTGAATGCCCAGTTGAGACCCACGGAAAAGAGCTCATGGGTGAGTGTGAAGTGCTTCTCTGTCTTAAGTTCCCAGAGATCCTTGCCTCTTGGAGGCCAGCAAACACTAACTCTTGAGGAATTCATGACAATATCATCTGATTCCTCCTTCCCAGCTTGTATGGCAGTCTCCCACCCTCATGTGTTCAATCTGATGATCCCAGGAGGTTCTGGAACAAAATCTACAGCCTATGCTTTCTGGACTATCTGTCGATCATTCCTGAAGAGAGGGATCAATGTTGAGGTATTCATTTCACATGATGAAAATGACAATATCAAATGTCAGAGGTAGTAGGGCTCACGTAGAAATCCAATACATCCATGGTAGGACTGCAAATTACTTGAATCAATTTGGGGAAAATATCAGAAGTACCCAGTGAAAAAGAAGAAACATGGCCGGGCACGGTGGCTCATGCCTGTAATCCCAGCACTTTGGGAGGCTGAGGCGGGCGGACACGAGTTCAGGAATTCGAGTCCAGCTTGGCCAACATAGTGAAACCCCGTCTCTACTAAAAATACAAAACATTAGCTGGGCGTGGTGGCAGGTGCCTGTAATTTCAGCTACTCAGGAGGCTGAGGCAGGAGAATTGCTTGAACCTGGGAGACGGAAGCAAGTTGGCGCCAGTTGGTGCAGTGAGCCAAGGTGGCGCCATTGCACTCCGGCCCAGGTGACAGTACGAGACTTCATCTAAAAAAAAAAGAAAAAAAAAAAGAAGAGACACACAGCTATGAACACAAAGCACAGAACCTAGAGGAAAATGTGTTCATATGGTGAGGTTTCATTCACAACAACATGGACAGGACTGCTGCTCATATTACACAACAGCCATAAAACCCAAAAATACATCTAAAACAAAGGAAACATATGTGGTTCAATTCCACCAAGGGATACTACGAGGCCGTGCAGAGGCACAGACAAAATCTACAAAGAGCAATGCAAACCAACCTTCCATCATGATGTTGAGTAAAGAAACAAGAGTATAAAAAGAAGGTGTGCACATGAAGCTCAAAAAGAGGCAGCATTTATTTTCTAGGGAGGCAAACTCAAAATAGACCCCATAAATAAAGGAAATAGATTATGTAATCCAAAATAGTGCTTGCACATCAGGAAATACTGGAGGGTTCTGTTCAACATGGAAACTCCAAGGACCACTGGACGCGGGCACTGGAACGCTGACTTTCATTTGGTGACCCTCAATCCACTTCGAGTTATTGGTAAATCACATAATTTTAATTTGATACGGAATAATCATACATGTTTCTTGGGAGCATGTGGTAATCTGATTCATCCATGCAATGTGTAACGATCCAATAAAGGTTCCCAGGACATTCATCACCCTGAACATTTGTTATTATGGTTATTATTTTGAGACAGAGTCTTGCACTGTCGCCCAGCTGGCGTGCAGTGGCAGGATCTTGGCTCACTGCAAACTCTGCCTCCCGGGTTCAAGCAGTTTTCCTGTCTCAGCCTCCTGAGTAGCTAGGATTACAGGCATGCACCATCACACCTCGCTAATTTTTGTATTTTTATTACAGACGGGGTTTCACCATGTTGCTCTGGCTGGTCTCGAACTCCTGACCTAAGGTGATCCACCAGCGTCGGCTTTCCATAGTGCTGGGATTACAGGTGTGAGCCACTATGCCTGGCCAACTTTTATAATTTCTGTGCTGGGAACATTCCAAATCTTCATTTCTCACTCATGTGGAAAATACAATAATCTGTTGCTAACTATGGTCACCCTACTGAGCTCTCAGGCCCTGGAACTTACTCCTTCTCTCCACCTGTATTTCTGCACCCGTCCACCAACCTCTCTCCATCCCTGTCCTCCACACTCCCTTGCCAGCCTCTGTTGACAACCATTCTACTCTCTGCCATCACAAGGCCCACTTTTGTAGCTTCCGCGTGAGTGAGAACATGCTCCTCTTTCTGGGCCTGGCTTATTTCACTGAACATAATGTCTTCCAGATTCATCTGTGTTGCTGAACATGGTACAATTTCCTTCTTTTTATGCCTGAATATTATTTCATTGTGTATATAGACCACATGTTCCTTATCCATTCATCCATTGATGGACATAGGTTGATTCCATATCTTGGCTATTGTGAATACTGCTGCAATAAACATGGCAATGCAGACACCTCTTTGATATACTGATTTTCTTTCTTTTGGAAATATACCCATCTGTGCGATTACTGGATGGTGTGGTTGTTCTACTTTCAGTTTCTTGAGGAACCTCCATGCTGTTTTCCATATTGGCTGCACCAACTTGCGTTCCCACCAAGGTAGAAGGGTTTCTTTTCTCCATATCCTTGACAGCATCTGTTAATTTTTGTCTTAGAGATAACAGCCATTTTAACCAGGGAATAGCATATCTCTGTTTTTGTACCTATCTATCTTTATTTGTCATGCCATTTAGGGAGCTGAGATTGAAGTGTGGTGGTGAATGCCACAGGCTGCACTGGCCACTAAATGGCAAACCAGGTGGTTCTTGACCTGTCAGAGCAATGATCTCACAGGTTGACTTTGTGTTTCATTCACAACATGACACCCACCTGCCTGATCAACCTCACCTGAGTCCACGCAGACAATGAGCCACTTACCCAGGTAAGAATGGGCCTCAGAAAGGGAAACACCTTGTCCAGTACTTCATGACATGCACTTGACATTTTTAAGTGGCCATATAACTTTCTGATTTCATTATGTTGAAACCACCAGAACTGGGATGAAGGACACCAACATGGCCTTGGGGTTATTTCAGACATGAGGTTCAACCCAATCAGGTGGTGGTTTAGGATGATCACACAGGGCTTGGTTATTCCAGAGATGAGGTTCCATCCAATCAGGCGGTGGTTTAGGGATCACACAGGGCTTGGTTATTCCAGAAATGAGGTTCCACCCAATCAGGTGGTGGTTTAGGGATCACACAGGGCTTGGTTATTTCAGAGATGAGGCTCAACCCAATCAGGTGGTGTTTTAGGGATCACACTGGGATTGGTACCAAATGTGACAATGCTCCATGTGCCTGATCACCTCCTGGACCCCTCTGAGGTGGAAATCAGAGAAAGGCATTTGTGTGCAGCTGCTGTTCATTCCGGATTCCTTTCCTACATGGGAACTTACATGATGCTTGACCCTGAAGAACAGAACTGGCTGAAAAAGAATTCAGGAATGAAATCCCATTTATAATAGCCACAAACAATAAAAGACCTGCTAATAAATTTAACTGACAAGGTAAAAACCTCTACAAATAAAATTATAAAGCTCTAAGAAAAATTAAAGAGGACACGAAAAAACTGGAAAGATACCTCATGTTCACACGTTGAAACAATAAATGTTTACAAAAAGGACCATAGGACCCAAAGCTATCTACAGATTCATTGTAATTCCTATCAACATACAAGTGTCTTTCTTCACTGAAATATAAAAAATTCTAAAATTAATATAGAGCCATAAAATACCCAAAATAGCCAACGCAATGTAGAGAAAAAAAAACAAAGCTGGAGACATCACACTACCTGACTTCAAAATACACTACAAAGCTATAGTAACCAAAACAGTAAGGCACTGGCTTAAAAACAAACACATAGACAAATGGAACAGAACAAAGAACCTAGAAATAAATCCACAAATTGACAGCCAACTGATTATCAACAAACATGCCAAGAACATATATTGGGTAAAGGACAGTTTCTTCAATAAATGCTGCTAGCAAAACTGCATATCCATATGCAAAAAAACAAAACTCAACCTCTGTCTCTCACGATATACAAAAATCTACTCAAGACAGAATAAGACCCAAAGTAAGACCTGAAACTATGAAACTATAGAAGAAAACACAGAGGAAACGCTTCAAGACATTGGTCTAAGCAAACATTCTATCAGTAAGACCTCAAAAGCATAGGAAACGAATTTAAAAATAGACAAATGGGTGTATCAAACTAAAAAGCTTCTGCAGAGCTCAGGAAACAACCAACGGTGTTATGACCTACAGAGGCAGGGAGAAACATTTGTTACCTATTCCTCTAACAAGGGTTTGATCATCAGAATATATGAGGAACTCAAACAGCTCAGAGCCTTTGATGGAGAAATGAAGAGGTGCTGCTACGTAGAGAAATAAAGAAGTCAGAGGGAGGAAGTTTGGGAGGAACAAACCATGCTTTCCAGGTATTGGGAGGCTCTGTTTCTCTCTCTGACTTAGTTAACTGTTTTTAATACATCTCCTTCAGTCTGCTTCCCACATGGGGTCATTGCTCCTGTGATGGCCCTATTGGTTCCTCTTGTCAACCAAGTCAGAGAATGGAAGAGCTTTCATTCCCTGAGCATCTTCTTCTTCACACACAATGAACAAATCCACACCATTCTACCACAGAGTCCTTTTTATCAATGTCTCCTGTCCAACGCTACAGTCCAAGCTCAGCTGGTTTCCTCAGCTCAGCACTTCATGGATTATGACAGCATAACTCCAATCCCTGCCTCTATCTCTGGGCTGGTTTCCCATTATTACTGCAGAAGCCCCCATTCTGTGTGAACAGACACAGTGACACACCAGACACCCCCTCCAGCCTGGCCCCTGGAGGATCTGAATGGAGATTGGGACTCCGCAGGGTTGCCCAGGAACATGGTTTCACACATTCTCCTGTAGGAAATCCATAACCACTATCACCACGTGGTCATTTCCAGCATCTTGGGATGTAGAGGATGCCGGCTGGTCCCTGCAGTGGCAGATCCTGTGGCAACTCTGGAAATCCTGTGAAGAACTTACGGAGGCCCTGTGAAGATCCTATGGAGATCCAGTCGAGGTCCTATGAAGATCCACGGAGAACCTATGGATGTCCTGCAAAGGTCCTATGGAGAATCTATTGAGATTCTATGGGGGTCCTGTGGGGGTTCTATTGAGATCCTATGGAGGTCCTGTGGGGGTTCTATTGAGATCCTATGGAGGTCCTGTGAGGGTTCTATTGAGATCCTATGGAGGTCCTGTGGGGGTTCTATTGAGATCCTATGGAGGTCCTGTGGGGGTTCTATTGAGATCCTATGGAGGTCCTGTGGGGGTTCTATTGAGATTCTATGGAGGTCCTGTGGATGTCCTATTGAGATCCTATGGAGGTCCTGTGGGGGTTCTATTGAGATCCTATGGAGGTCCTGTGGGGGTTCTATTGAGATCCTATGGAGGTCCTGTGGGGGTTCTACTGAGATCCTATGGAGGTCCTGTGAGGGTTCTATTGAGATCCTATGGAGGTCCTGTGGGGGTTCTACTGAGATCCTATGGAGGTCCTGTGAGGGTTCTATTGAGATCCTATGGAGGTCCTGTGGGGGTTCTATTGAGATCCTATGGAGGTCCTGTGGGGGTTCTACTGAGATCCTATGGAGGTCCTGTGAGGGTTCTATTGAGATCCTATAGAGGTCTTGTGGGGGTTCTATTGAGATCCTATGGAGGTCCTGTGGAGGTTCTATGGACAACCTATGGAGAACCTGTGGAGAACCTATTGAGATCTTATGGAGGTCCTGTGGAGGGCCCATGGAGATTCTATAGAGATCTTGCTGATCCTATGGAGATTCGAGCACTTTTCCATGCATGAGGTTGGGAAATAGACGTGGGGTTTCAGGATAGGAAGTCTAAGGCCAGCACTATGTTTTCGTAGGAAACTCAAAGTAAATAGTTTCATGTTCCAGAAGAAGCCCAAATTGAGATATATCTGGGGACCTAAGACAGAGGGGTGCTGTGCACTCACCCAAAGGCTCTTTTTCTTGGGTCTCAACCGTGCATTCACAAAACTGATTTGGAGCAAGATGGAGACCCCACATTAGTGATCAGACAGAAAGAGCTTCCACTGTGCATGGCCTGAAATCTCATTTCCCACCCAGGTGTTTCTCTCACATGGAGGAAAAGACATAAGCCATTGGAAGAGGCTCAGATAATTCTGCCCACCTCAGATCCCAGGTAATGACTCATTGTGGCCGGAAGAAGGTGGATCATAAAATCCCTCTACCCTAGGAGGAGTGCAGAGAACAATCCTGGACTGTGATCCTAGACAAATACCATTAGAGATATGCAAATTTGGAATAGGGACAGAAAACCCGTCCCCATCAAACAAACCTACTCAATACAATGCAGCTGCCATGAGGAGCGGGGACAGAAACACGGAGACAAACCCACCCTCAAGGCCCAGGCACACAGAAACTGCCGGAGACTGAGGCTGGAGGAGGACAGGAGAAACGTCTGCTCTCGACCAGGAGCTTCTCCTGAGAAGCTAGCAGGAGCGCCCACAGCTGGGGTTAGGAGATCTAAGGATCCGCTGATGACTGGGTTAATGCCGTGAGCTTCAGCCAGCTCTGTGTCAGCAGCCCCAGTGCGTGCTGGAGGGGCCCGTGAGTGTCGTGGCCATGGAGCAAGAAAAAAAGGACATGCTGCCAGGCGCAGTGACTCACGCCTGTATTCCCAGCACTTTGGGAGGCCGAGTTGGGCAGATTATCTGACGTCAGGAGTTCAAGACCAGCCTGGCCAATATGGCGAAACCCCGTCCCTACTGCAAATACAAAAACTAGCCAGGTGTGGTGGAAGGTGCCTGTAATCCCAGCTACTCGGGAGGCTGAGGCAGGAGAATCAGGGGACAGAGGTTGCAGTGAGCCGAGATCGCGCCACTGCACTCCAGCCTGGGCGACAGAGTGAGACTCCGTCTCTAAATAAAATAAAATAAAAGAATCAAAGAAAAAAGGACATGCATGGAACCAACACCAGCGACTCCCTCTTACCAAGGACCAAGCAGCCACCACTGTCGCTGAGAGTCTCACCTGTGACCAGCAGAGCGCTCTGGATGTGATGCCTTTGAGTGGACCAGCGAGCGAGTCATCTGGTGGCCGCTTGACGACATGGCGCGCATTCCACCAGGAGGGGGCAGCAAATCCTCCTGACCGGGCTGGATGCTGGCGCTCAGATGGGTTCTGCTGGGCTCACTGTGGCTCTCCGCCAGGAATCAGAGGCTCCCGCCTGTTTAAATGGAGCATCTCATGACTTAATCTCAGATCGAGGGACCTGCACGCCCATGAAATCAGTGGGGCAATGAGAACAGGGCCACGTGATATCCTGGGGATGATCTGAGATAGGATGCGTGCCATGTAGTGGTTGGGTGCTGCTGGGGCTGACAGAGCATCGGAATGGCCTCTTACAGTAGATGCAAGAAACAGTTTGTGGATGAGACTCTGCACTTTAGGTGCTCTCTGATGGTGTAACAGACATAGATATAAAACAGAGATATAGATAGCTGTAGACAATATACATATTCATATGAATGAACACTAAATGATGCTATGTCTTTTCCTTCTAATATTTTTGTTCTTATTTTTCTATAATGGGCTCTGCAAATGAAAATGCTATGTCTTTTCAGAGGTAGAACACACGGGCTGGGAAAGGAAAGGAGCGTGTCATCAACAGCCCCCATCACCACCCCTCCAGGTGACTCACTGGGCAGATAAGCACGTCCTGGGCCTGCACTTTTAGGTGATTTGGGGTTAGACGATCTGCCTGGTGGGAAATTACTACCAGGGAAGAAACTAAGGGTTACCCTACGCCAAAAATGATCACTTTGCCCTTTTCTCTTTTTTTTGGCTAACTTTAGGATATCTATTTTGTAAAAAATTAGTTGCTTTTTATACAACTTTACAAAGTTTTTAATGTTTCTTTGGCATTGGAATATAATGGAATTTTACAACTGTATAAAAAAGTTACGTTTGCCTAAGAAACAGTATTTACCGTGTGTACCTAGTTGACTGACAAAATTCTCTACCATCCAGCACCCTAATTAATTGATGAAATAGACTATTTAATATTACAAGATTCCCCAAAAGAAAGGAGGAGAAAGATACACACACACACACACACACACACACACACACACACCCTCCCTTCTTGGCTCAGAACACAGTATCACGGCCCTATCTGCAGGCAACCTGGAATTACCAAATACAATTCAGTGATTAAAAAAAAAAAAAAAAAACCTTTCAGTGATGACACAATACTTATAAGTCCCACTGAAGTACTGCTTTAGTTTAACTATACATAAGAAATTATTTAACCTTCTGCTATTCCAAATATATTTAATCCTCATGTCTTAAGATAAGGCTTCCTCCCCCGAAAACTAACTGCATTTTATCTCTGAAATTAAACAGAAAAACAAACAAAAAACAAAAACCCAGTGCTGATGGCAAACATACAGCCAATTCACTTCTTCGTTCTTCGCAAAGACTGAAATCAGTTTCCAGTACCATGAAGAGCTAGAAATTCACCTGTTTTCAAAGACTTGTTTGTAGACTATGCAGCAGCTTTGTTGTCTTTCTTTCAGAGAGCAGTACTATCAATTCAGACTATTTAGGGGCCAAAGGCTGTGCTTTTCCTATATTCAAAATCTGCAAACTCCCGACCCGTGGAACCTCCTCTGAATCCGCCGCGAAATCCTCAAGGGGTGGTCAAGGTACCACTTCTGCCACCACGCCCTCTGCCACCATGGAAACCAAGACCTCCCTCTGCCTCTGTATCCCCCATGGCCACGGTTTGGACAAAGTGGGATTCCAAATGTTTCAGCATTTAATCTTCTTCCTTCAGCCCAGGTTGGCCTCCGTTCTCTATTGTCATCACCAGAAATATTATCAAAGGAGGATTTAGTTTGGTCATAAAAGCAATTAGGTCCAAGTGCATCTTCTTCATCAGCATGTCCTTCACTGTTTTGGGTATCAACTCCTGAGTCTCCTTTATCTTCACCATTTACAGGCTTCTCCTCTTTCTCAAGTTTATCTTCTTTTAATTTAAGTTTATTATGAAACTCTCTGCCCATCTCTTCCTTGTTGAATTGGGCATTTGCACTTTCAAAGTCAAACTCTTTCTCTCACGCCTGTAATCCCAGCAATTTGGGAGGCCGAGGCGGGCGGATCACGAGGTCAGGAGATCGAGATCACGGTGAAACCCCGTCTCTACTGAAAATACAAAAAAATTAGCCTGACGTGGTGGCGGGCGCCTGTAGTCCCAGCTACTGGGGAGGCTGAGGCAGGAGAATGGCGTGAACCCGGGAGGCGGAGCTTGCAGTGAGCCGAGATCGGGCCACTGCACCCCAGCCTGAGCGACCGAGCGAGAGTCCGTCTCCAAAAAAAAAAAAAAAAATTCTCAAATTTCATTGGCCCATCTCGCCGAATAGCAAATCTTCCCCTGCCACCCCATGACCCCCACGCCCTCTCCTTGGCGCTGAAGGAGCACCTGGAGCTGCTTGTCTCTTGTTTCATTCCTGAGTTGCTCATTTTCTGGCCTTGGAACGTTGTGCGCTTCAGCTCACCTCTGCTCCTGATTCTCTATTGCTTTTTGGCTGGTAGATGGCAAAGGCCTGGTTGATACAGGACTCCTTCTCCCAACAGGTGCTGGAGCAGGTCCGTGGGCCCAGGCGGTCTGCACTCCTTGTTCCATGGTTGGGCTTCTTCTCAAAGGGTCGAACTGAGCGCTTGAAGGACCTTGAGATAATTGTGTTTTTAGGGATCTTGTATCCTGTGTAAAGGCAGAATCAACCGCTCTACTTTGGGGCAAGGTACCACTGTTTGATATTTCTGTTCCAAAGGAGGTCAAAGAGCTTCCAGCAACACCAACAGCACCAAACTGCTGCCCCACTAAGGAACTTGGACTGAACTGGCTGGATGTGTCCATAAGAACCCATGGACTGGAATGAAGAAGTCGATGAGCCTAGTGAGAACTGAATGATAGCTAGAGTTTCCATGTCATTCTTACTTTCTCAAATATTTGGTAGAAATCAACAGTGTACCCATTTAGGCCAGATTTCCCTATGGAAAGATTTCTGAGTGTAGGTTGAATTTCTTTTCTTTTCTTTTTTTTTTTTTTCAGAGTCTCCCTCTGTCGCCTAGGCTGGAATGCAGTGGTGTGATCTCAGCTCACTGCAACCTCCGCCTCCTGGGTTCAAACAGATCTCTTGCCTCACCCTCCTGAGTAGCTGGGATTACAGGCATGCGCCACCTCACTTGGCTAATTTTTGTATTGTTAGTAGAGGTGGGATTTCACCATGTTGGCCAGACAGGTCTTGAATTCCTGACCTCAGGTAATCTGCCCGCCTCAGCCTCCCAAGGTGCTGGAATTAAAGGTGTGAGCCACCAATCCCGGCCAGTTGAATTTCTTTAATAAAAATAGGAAATGTTACACTATATATTTGTTCTTGAGTAAATTTTGGTAGTTTGTATACTTCAAGATATTTTCTATTAAATGTGAGTTGTAAAACATCTTAGCATAGATTCCTAGTTTTGCTTCACTAGTCCTTTTATGTCTGTAGGATGGGTAGTGGTGCCTCTTTCCATCTTGATTTGGTAATTGTTGTGCTCCCTCTCTCTCTCTCACTCTCTTACTTTACATCCTACAAACGTTCATATGTTATAATTTCATTGACATTTTTCGTTAATGTTCTATCAATTTAATGTTGTGTGATTCTATAACCCATGAATATTTGTTTTTGCTTTTGCGATGGAGTCTTACTCTCTCACCCAGGCTGGAGTGCAGTGGCACAATCTCGGCTCACTGCAACTTCCACCTCCTGGGTTCAAGTGAATCTCCCGTCTCAGCCTCCCGAGTCATTGAAAATACAGGTGCATGCCACCACACCCAGCTAATTTTTGCATTCTCAGTAGAGACAGCATTTCACCATGTTGGCCAGGCTGGTCTCAAAGTCCTGACCTCAAGTGATCCACCTGCCTCAGCCTCCCAAAGTGCTGGGATTACAGGCATGAGCCACCACATCCAGCCTATAACCCATGAATATTTAGAATGTTATTTGTTTCCAAAGTATTGCTTTTTCTCTAAATGTCTTCTTATTGTTGGCTGCTAATTTAATTGAACTTCTAATCAGGAAACGTTACCTGTAGTAACAGTTTGGATGCTTACTTTGCTGTGTAAAAATGATAGAGACGGCTGGGCACAGTGGCTCTCACCTGTAATCCCACCACTTTGGGAAGCTAAGGCGGGTAGATCAAGAAGTCAGGAGACCGAGACCATCTGGGCCAACATGGTGAAATCCCGTCTCTACTAAAAATACAAAAAAATTAGCTGGGTGTGGCGGTGCACGCCTGTAATTCTAGCTACTCGCAAGCCTGAGGCAGGAGAATCGCTTGAACCCGGAAGGTGGAGATTGCCGTGAGCCGAGTTCGTGCCACTGCACTCCAGCCTGGCGACAGAGCTACACTTCGTTTCAAAAAAAAAAAAAAAGATAGATATTTCTGATCAATATGTTTTCATAAATAAGTATTCCTGGCCTCGCACAGTGGCTCACACCAGTAATCCCAACACTTTGGAAGGCCAAGGTGGGCAGATCCCGTGAGCCCAGGAGTTTGACACCAGCCTGGGCAACATAGCGAAACCTCGTCTCTACAAAAAAATACATATTAAAAAAATTTAGCCAGGCAAGGTGGCATGATCCTGTAGTCCCAGCTACTCAGGAAATGGTTGTGGCAGAATCACCTAGGCCTCAGGAGGTCGAGGCTGCAGTGAGCTGGGATAGTGCCATTGTACTTCAGATGGAGCAACAGAGAGAGACCTTGTTTCAAAAAAATATATATAAAGAAATATGCATTCCCACTTTGTTGCTATATGTATATTCCAGAAACGTTTCTATACAAATTTACATAATATATAAACAATCGAAACATCATATTTGCGCATGAGATTGAACATTTGTGCCATGCAACCCTCACGAATATTTTGTTCACTTAATCTATCAAAGTCTGATCAATATTTCTTCAAATCCTCCACTGTGTCTCAATTGATGCTTTGTAAATTTTAAGGACATGTGGTTGGTTGAGTGAAAGTGTATAACTTTCTCTTCTTCACAGATTGCTGATTTAAAAGTATGAAATATCCGGGCGTGGTGGCTCACGCCTGTAATCGCAGCACTTTGGGAGGCCGAGGCAGGCGGATCATGAGGTCAGGAGATCGAGACCACGGTGAAACCCCGTCTCTACTAAAAATAGTAAAAAATTAGCCGGGCGTGGTGGCGGTCGCCTGTAGTCCCAGCTACTCGGGAGGCTGAGCCAGGAGAATGGTGTGAACCCGGCAGGCAGAGCTTGCAGTGAGCCAAGATCGCGCCACTGCACTCCAGCCTGGGTGACAGAGCAAGGCTCCGTCTCAAAATAAAATAAAATAAATAAATAAATAAATAAAAGTGTGAAATATCATCTATTTTTCTTTTCAAAGGCTGTTTGTGTTAGTATTGGTTTGCTATTGCTGCCATAACAAATTACACGTATTGAGCAGCTTCAGCAACACAAACTCATTATCTCACAGTCTTTTAGGACAAAATCAAGGCCATAACGTGGCTGCATTCCTTTCTGGAGGCTCCAGAGACGCGAATCCATTTCCTTGCTCTTTCAGATTCTTAGTAGAAATGCATATACTTGTATATACACAGATTACAGATAGATCTATGCTTATTCGTTTTTTGTATGTACTGTTGACTTATTCACAGTAGCATCTCATCTTCTCCATTTGGGGTTCATTATTCCACTCCCTGATTTACATTGTTTAGTATTGCTTTCAGAAAGAGCCCAGATGCAAACATGTCTGCAGCCTTGCAGCTCAAGCGATGCCTGCTTCTCTGTCTCTGTCTCTCTCCGTGTGTGTGTGTGTGTGTGTCTCCCTCTCCCTCTCTCTCTCTGTCTCAATCTCTCTCTGTCTCTCCGTCTCTCTCTGTCTGTCTCAATCTCTCTCTTTCTCTGTTGTTATCATAGTACCTGATAAAAGGACACTGAAAACGCCCTCCTTATTCCTCATAAGGCCACCGCCTGACCTGACGGGTCACGAGTGCCCCGAGTCTCCTTATGTTCTAGGATTTATCCACAGCTGACACTGCAACTCGGTCCTTTAATAATAACTAGGCCAGGTTGCGGTGAGCCGAGATCGCGCCATTGCACTCCAGCCTGGGCAACAAGAGCGAAATTGCATCTCAAAAGATAATAATAATAATAATAATAAATAATTATAATAGTAATAATTAGGCCCAGCACAGAACTCTCTCCTCACAGTTAAACGCTTGTGGTTGTTTCTCCTGTATCTTCTGGGGCTGCTGTTTGCTCTTTGGAACTCCAGTCCCGACGAGCTTGTCATTCATTCAAGGGTAATTTACATTTTCTCTGGTAGTTTTATGATTATTTTAAATTAATGCCTCATGGTTTTCACTTTACCATGATCGAGATATTCAATTTAGTTATAAACTGATGTTTTCTCTTCAGTTCTGTAAAAATTTCAACCATTAGCTCTTCATGCATATCATGAACTAACATCCTTCTTCCTTCTTTCATTCTGAAACCGTGACAGACACGTTCTTTCTTCTCATTCAACTTCGTGTATATATCAATATTTTCTATTGTTCAATTTCTGTTCTTTCCATGATACAGTCTGGAAAATTTCATGAATATTTTATCCCAATGTATATATTTATTATTTCAGCTGTCTTGCCCTGGATTAAATTATGCTTTGATTTTGTTATGTTTGCATGGTAGGTATATATGGTTAGTAAATTGCTTCTTTTTTTGAGACACAGTTTCGCTCCTGTTGTCCCAGCTGAAGTACAGGGGCGCAATCTCAGCACACAGCAGCCTCCATCTTCCAGGTTCAAGAGATTCTCCTGCCTCAGCCTCCCGAGTAGCTGGGATTACAGGCACTCACCACCACGCCCAGATAATTTTTTGTATTTTTAGTAGAGATGGGGTTTCACCATGTCACCCAGGCTGGTCTCGAACTCCTAGCCTCAAGTGATCTGCCCGCCTCCACCTCCCAAAGTGCTGGGATTACAGGCATGAACTACCACGCCCAGACATAAATTCCTTTTTAATGGCGTTAATTTAATATAGTTTTTCACCTTCACGATGTCTGTCTAATGCATTTCAACAACTGTCTATTTTGTCCTCATATGGTTGTCATTCCTGTGGGGCGGCTCCTCCCACGCACCTGACCTTTCATAAAGGGTTTCTCCCACGGCTGTCCAGGCATCAGCCTGATGAAGGGGATTGTTGCCGCTGCTCCTGCCCCACTCCCCCAAACTCAGTGTCAGCTCAAGATTGTGCCCAGCAGGGATGGGACCAATGCCAGCCTCACACTCACCTGTGGGGCAGACGCCCATGTCTGACCACCGTGGATTGAATCTGTTTCTCACACACAGGGGAGGGGCTGAGCGCTGACCGTGGCCTCCAGTGAGTGAGCAGAGACCCCCCAGCGCCTGTCCACACACACGGGGGAGGGGGAGCCACAGCTTCCAGCCTCACCCAGAGCCCTGACCCCTCCCTGCCTGGGAGGACGTGGGGTTCCTCTTCTGTCCCACATGGAGGTGGGAGCCTCCTCCTCCCTAATGACGCTCGGTGGTCCCAGACACCTGTGGCCACTCAGCATTGAACTCTGCTCATGGAAGGGGATGCGTCTCAATGTGAGGAACTGTTTTTCCTCTTTCTCTGCCTGTGGCTGTGATGATCTGCATATTTCAGACGTATCACAAGGAGAATTTCATGGTATTTGGAGCCGATGTGGGCTCTTGAGTGGGGGCGTCAATCATCCTCCTCGACTGTGGAGCCCAGCACCAGGATCCTCTCCCGTCCCCACCCTCCTGTCTGAACTGGTCTGGAAATTCACCATGGCTGAGCCTCCCATGTCCTGGGCACCACTGACCCCCACAGCCACTGTGATGAGTGGGGTTCATGACAGCAGGCTCAGAGGTGACATTCATGTCCAAAGTCACATAAACCCTAGATGATAATCAGGAATTAAATACAAATCAGCTCACCTTCCCCAGAATCAGATTATAGATTACAATGAAACATATATATATATATTTCTCTTTATCCCCTCTATTTCTCCTTTTTAGACAGGATCTTGCTCTGTCGCCCAGGCTGGAAGGCCAAGGGGTGATCATAGCTCCCTGAAGCCTCCGCCTCCCGGGCCCAAGTGATCCTCCCACCTCAGCCTCCTGAGTAGCTGGGACCACAGGCATGAGCCTCCATGCCCAGCTCACTTTTTTCTTTTCTGTAGAAACAGGGTCACAGTCTGTTTCCCAGGACTGTCTGAAGCTCCTGGCCTCAAGCCATCACCCGCCACAGCCTCCTGAAGTACTGGGATTCCAGGCATGAGCCACCACGGTAGACCCTGCATTTCTCTGTGCTCACTGCTACACGCAGCTCAGCCTGGACTACACAGCCAGGTGTCAGGTGCGTCTCTGCTGATCTGAGTCTGCCTGCAGCATGGACCTGGGTCTTCCCTGAAGCATCTCCAGGGCTGGAGAGACGACTGCCATGGTAAGGACCCCGTAACGCTGAGCTGATGGACGGGCTGAAGGAGGGAGGGAGACCCCATGGGGAGGCTCTGAGAGGGAGGAGGAGCCCACGGTCACCCTCGCCTCAAAGGGGCTGACTCAGGAAGGCACCAGGTCTATTTGCGGCTGTGTCCCCGTCCTCAGTGAGATAAAGATAAATCAGGCAGACAGTGGCCCGGGGGCAGGGAGACCCCATTTCTCTCTGAAATGCCTGCAGAGAGCCTGGTGCCTGCCCCCACTTCAGCCCTGGGGAAATCAGAGCCAGGTTCCTGGGGTGGCAGTTCCTCTTCCTGTGGGCTGAGGATGAGACAACCCCATGACAAGAAGGACCCAGCCTCCGAGCGGCCACACCCTGTGTGTCTCTCTGTCCTGCCAGCACTGAGGGCTCATCCCTCTGCAGAGCGCGGGGTCACCGGGAGGAGACGCCATGACGCCCGCCCTCACAGCCCTGCTCTGCCTTGGTGAGATTTCAAGATGGGGAGGGGGAGATCTGAGTCTTGGAGGAACCCCACCCCACACACAAGCCCTGGTCCATCAGGAGACCTCAAAAGCTCAGGAGGCACCCGGGCGGGGACCTGCTCAGGCTTCAGGGCAAATGCCTCACAGGGAACTCTCTTCCAGGGCTGAGTCTGGGCCCCAGGACCCGCGTGCAGGCAGGTGAGTCTGTCCCCAGCTGTCCCAGGTCCCTACTCCTCACTGGGACAGGGGGCCACCCATGGGCAGCTGGGGGAGGAGACAGTAGTTCTGGGTGACTGATGGGGATGATGGGGAAGTCCTGGGGCTGGGAGCTGGGATCTGAGCGTGGGGATGTCTTGGGATCCAGCCTCTGATTTCCATCTAGGGCCCTTCCCCAAACCCACCCTCTGGGCTGAGCCAGGCTCTGTGATCAGCTGGGGGAGCCCCGTGACCATCTGGTGTCAGGGGAGCCAGGAGGCCCAGGAGTACCGACTGCATAAAGAGGGAAGCCCAGAGCCCTTGGACAGAAATAACCCACTGGAACCCAAGAACAAGGCCAGATTCTCCATCCCATCCATGACAGAGCACCATGCAGGGAGATACCGCTGCCACTATTACAGCTCTGCAGGCTGGTCAGAGCCCAGCGACCCCCTGGAGATGGTGATGACAGGTGAGAGGACACTCTGGGGTCCCAGCCCCAGGCTCTGCCCTCAGGAAGGGGGTCGGCTCTCAGGGGCGTCTCCCTCTCACAGCCCAGCCCTGGGGATGATGTGGGAGGTGGGAGCCCCATTTAACACGGTGCCTCTTTCTCTCCTAGGAGCCTACAGCAAACCCACCCTCTCAGCCCTGCCCAGCCCTGTGGTGGCCTCAGGGGGGAATATGACCCTCCGATGTGGCTCACAGAAGGGATATCACCATTTTGTTCTGATGAAGGAAGGAGAACACCAGCTCCCCCGGACCCTGGACTCACAGCAGCTCCACAGTCGGGGGTTCCAGGCCCTGTTCCCTGTGGGCCCCGTGACCCCCAGCCACAGGTGGAGGTTCACATGCTATTACTATTATACAAACACCCCCTGGGTGTGGTCCCACCCCAGTGACCCCCTGGAGATTCTGCCCTCAGGTGAGGGAGCCACGGCCTTGTCTAACACACTTTCGGGGCAGCTGACAGGTTGTGGGGAGTTTGGCTGGTGACTGAATCTGGAAAGGACCCAGAGTGATGTGTTGAAGGACGGGCTGAAGGCATGAGGGAGACCCCATGGGGAGGCTCTGACATGGGAGGAGGAGCCCTCGACCACGTTCACCTGGAAGGGGAGGACTCAGGAAGGCATCGGTGTGTTTGCTGTGAGGTCCCAGCTCTCAGGGAGAGGAGGAAAGATCAGGCACAGTGGCCAGGGCTAGGGAGACCCCACTCCTCTGAAATGACTCCAAGACAGCCCCGGGTGAGAAGGAGGCCCTGGGGTCAGAGACTCAGAGCGTGAGAGACAGTGAGACCTGCAGGGCCAGGACGGGAGAAGGAAGGGGCGTGGGAGGAACCAGCCCTCTCAGTCCTGGCTCCTCTTTCCCTCCAGGCGTGTCTAGGAAGCCCTCCCTCCTGACCCTGCAGGGCCCTGTCCTGGCCCCTGGGCAGAGCCTGACCCTCCAGTGTGGCTCTGATGTCGGCTACAACAGATTTGTTCTGTATAAGGAGGGGGAACGTGACTTCCTCCAGCGCCCTGGCCAGCAGCCCCAGGCTGGGCTCTCCCAGGCCAACTTCACCCTGGGCCCTGTGAGCCCCTCCAATGGGGGCCAGTACAGGTGCTACGGTGCACACAACCTCTCCTCCGAGTGGTCGGCCCCCAGCGACCCCCTGAACATCCTGATGGCAGGTGAGGAGCCCAGCGGGTTCAGTCAGGGACCCAGGCTCTGCACAGGCCCTGCCGGGGGAGCCCAGGTGGTGATGGCCGGGATGAGGGGTGGGGGTCCCAAGGGAGGGAGAGACAGACAGAGACAGGGGATGGGCGGGGAGGCGAGACTCAGAGAAAACAGGGACAGAGACACTGAGGGTCCCAGGGAGAGGCCTGGGGAGGTGTCAGCTCAGAGCAAGGTGGGGCAGCCCCTCACCCATCCTTCTTCTCTCCAGGACAGATCTATGACACCGTCTCCCTGTCAGCACAGCCGGGCCCCACAGTGGCCTCAGGAGAGAACGTGACCCTGCTGTGTCAGTCATGGTGGCAGTTTGACACTTTCCTTCTGACCAAAGAAGGGGCAGCCCATCCCCCACTGCGTCTGAGATCAATGTACGGAGCTCATAAGTACCAGGCTGAATTCCCCATGAGTCCTGTGACCTCAGCCCACGCGGGGACCTACAGGTGCTACGGCTCATACAGCTCCAACCCCCACCTGCTGTCTCACCCCAGTGAGCCCCTGGAGCTCGTGGTCTCAGGTGAGGGCGCTGACCCCGTCCTCTCTGAGCTCAAAGGCTCAGCTCAGGCCCAGGCCCCCAGGAGAGCTCTCGGCTGGGATGGACCGAGGGAGGCTGTGAGGGAGGCTTAGCCAGAGGGCACCCAGCCCTCAGAGGGGAGGAGGCCAACAGGGGTTCTCCTAGGCGTGGCCACCCGTTCTCCCCTGCCTGGCATGCAGAAGGCACCAGGTGGGCAGAGAGATGGTTCCAGGGAATCCACTGGGCGGAAGCAGGAGAGTGGGAGTGGAAGGGTGCACTCCATGGACGGCCCCCGCCCCTCACCCGCCTCCCGTGCTCCTTCCAGGACACTCTGGAGGCTCCAGCCTCCCACCCACAGGGCCGCCCTCCACACCTGGTGAGTCACTGAGGCCTCGTGGGGAGCGCCGCCTCCCCCAGGGCAGTCTGAGTCTCCCAAAGGATCCCACTCCCCTCCCCTCAAGGACGGGCTTGTGTCCCAGGGGCTCTGAGGCTGGGCTGGTGAAGAGTGGGGGGTCGAGGCAGAGGGAGATGTTGGGGCCCAGCCAGGAGGAGGAGCCGGGCTGATGTGGGGGGCAAGACAGCCCCAGCCTTCACCTCCCTGTCCTGACCCAGGAGGTCCTGAGGACCAGCCCCTTAACCCCCCAGGGTCAGGCCCTCAGAATCGTGAGTGAGGGGCTCTGAGTGGGAGATGGGCGGGGTCCAGGGGAGGCAGGGGTGGGTTCTGTCCTAGGTTCAGGCTCCTCTGGAGGTGGTGATGTGGACAGGCCCCTCCCCTGCCTGGGCCTCAGTTTCTCCAAGTGTAAAGGAGAGAGGCCTGTGGGTGGGAAAGTTCCTTTCAGCTCTGACCCCCAGCTGTGACCTCCTGGGAGAGGAGGCCTCCCAGGGAACCTCCCAGACCCGATTCCACAGGGGCCTGTCCCGTCCCACCTGCAGCAGTGACGGTGACCTGGGGCAGGGGAGGGGAGCAGGGCCGTGGTTCAGGACGGTCAGGCTCTTTCCCTGCAGCTCCGGGTCTCGGCTCTGGTGCAGGAACAAGGGCTGCAGGTCAGACTCCCGGGCTCCCTTCCCAGCTCTGCCGCTTCCTCGCTGGAGGCCTGGGGCAGGCGACTCCCTGCTCTGAGCCTCAGTTTGTGCATCTGTGAAATGGGTTGTACGGGTGGCAATTCCATGTTGCACGACTGCTTGTGAGGGTTGGAGGTCACGAAGGAAAGACCTGGCTCGCGCCTGCACACAGTAGGTGCTCACATCAATGACATCATTCCCACTCCTGACGTCCTCATGTCAAGGTCTGGGAAGATACCTGGAGGTTTTGATTGGGGTCTCGGTGGCCTTCGTCCTGCTGCTCTTCCTCCTCCTCTTCCTCCTCCTCCGACGTCAGCGTCACAGCAAACACAGGACATCTGGTGAGTAGGGAAGCGGGGGACCCATGGGTCGACCGAGGGTGGGCTCAGGGCACCAGCCAGAGGGAACCCAAACACACAGGGGTGTCAGTTTAGAAAACCGGTTCCAGGGGCACGTAATTTCAATACGCATTTACAAACTTCAGTATTCATGGGAGTTTTTTTCTATCTCATAAAATATTTGGAACATCCATGCAGGAATATTTTTAGTTTTCCTTCTTTCCCTCAAGTTGCATGTGTAGAATGGGAGTTCTAATGTTCCCAGGGCTGAGACTCTGTCCATCTTCACCCAGACCAGAGAAAGACTGATTTCCAGCGTCCTGCAGGGGCTGCGGAGACAGAGCCCAAGGACAGGGGCCTGCTGAGGAGGTAATTCTGCCCCAAAGACCACAGACTCCCACCCACCACAGCCCATACACTGCCCCTCACACTCCCATGTCCTCCTCCAGGTCCAGCCCAGCTGCTGACGTCCAGGAAGAAAACCTCTGTAAGAGGAAGAGAGGGGACAAATGGGGGTGCTGGAGAGACAGGAGTCCCAAAATTTCAGTAGCAACAGGGAGGGGCTGGGAAGGGTCTGGGGCTCCGTGGAAGATGGTCTTGCCCCACACTGTGGGACCTCCCTGCATTCGGTGGCCCCATCTGGGAGCAGGGCAGGGGGCCAGCAGGACTGAGAGGTCTCAGAGAACCAGGAGACGAACCCCTTGCTCTGCCCCAGCAGATGCTGCCGTGAAGGACACACAGTCTGAGGACAGGGTGGAGCTGGACAGTCAGGTGAGATCCCGCCCCGTCCCAGGCACCAAAGGCCTCCTGGTGCCAGATCTAATCCTGCAGGACTTCTCTGTCCTCCTTCCCCCGGCTCTCAGCATCGTCACGGTGGACCCCTCCTTGTCCAGCATGCTGCCTCCCGCCTGCTGTGACCTCACTCTCTTCTGCTGTCCTGGGACCTCGTGGGCCTCCTCCCGGGTCCCCTTCCTGCTCCTCATCCTCTGTTTGGCCGTCTGGTTGTTAGAGCTCTCCCCAGGCCTCAGGAGGATGACGAATAAATGAACCACCTCCGTCCCCTGGGCTCCTCTTCATTCATTCATCCAGCGAGTGTTCCCAGGGAGCTCACTGTGGATGGGGCTCCCCATGGGAGCTGCAGACACAGCAGGGAGCAAAGCCGCCCCCGCCTCCTGAGCTCACCTCATGGTGGGAGACAAAATGCAAATAAATGCATCGTGTCCAGGAGTGCAACGTGCTGTAAGGAACATACACCAGGGAAAGGGCAGAGAGTGTGGGGCAGTGGGGCCAGTCTGAATGGAAGGGGAGGGCTGTCTGCTCAGCTGTCATCTGAGAAGCCTGGACAGAGTGGGGCACATGATCCTCTGATAGACGAGCCCCTGCAGGCAGAGGAAACAGCCGTGCAAAGGCCCCCAGGCAGCAGCGAGCTCTTGCAGGAAGGCCTGTGAGGCTGCAGCCAAATGGGCAAGGTCAGAGTGAGGAGCAGAGGCCAGAACCACAGGGAGGGAGCGGCCAGACCCTCCACGGCCTTAGGGCGTCCCTGAGATTCCATCAGGAAAGGGATGTAATCGGATCACCCCGGGAACAGTGAGGAAAATTGACTCCAGGAGGTCAGGGGGACTCAAGGACACCCCCCACCACTGTCTCTCTCCAGCAGAGCCCACACGATGAAGACCCCCAGGCAGTGACGTATGCCCCGGTGAAACACTCCAGTCCTAGGAGAGAAATGGCCTCTCCTCCCTCCTCACTGTCTGGGGAATTCCTGGACACAAAGGACAGACAGGTGGAAGAGGACAGGCAGATGGACACTGAGGTGAGTCCTTTCCTCTCCAGGCCCCCAGGCCTCCCCCACCCCCACCACGTTCCTTACCTCTCACTCTCCCCCGCTGCAGGCTGCTGCATCTGAAGCCTCCCAGGATGTGACCTACGCCCAGCTGCACAGCTTGACCCTTAGACGGAAGGCAACTGAGCCTCCTCCATCCCAGGAAGGGGAACCTCCAGCTGAGCCCAGCATCTACGCCACTCTGGCCATCCACTAGCCCGGGGGGTACGCAGACCCCACACTCAGCAGAAGGAGACTCAGGACTGCTGAAGGCACGGGAGCTGCCCCCAGTGGACACCAGTGAACCCCAGTCAGCCTGGACCCCTAACACAGACCATGAGGAGACGCTGGGAACTTGTGGGACTCACCTGACTCAAAGATGACTAATATCGTCCCATTTTGGAAATAAAGCAACAGACTTCTCAACAATCAATGAGTTAATAACAAAAAAACAAAAAACAAAAACAGACGTAAAGGCCGGGTGTGGTACTCAGGAGGCTGAGTGGGGAGGATTCCTTGAACACAAGAAGTTAAGGCTGCTGAGGCTGCAGTGAGCTATGACTGTGCCACTGCACTCCAGCCTGTGTGACAGAGCGAGACCTTGTCTCTAAAAAAAAAAACAGTGAATGTTTTAAACTGAATGATAATGTAAATATTATACATCGAACTTATGACATGGGAAAATTAAGAAGCATAAATAGGCCGGGCGCGGTGGCTCACGCCTATAATCTCAGCACTTTGGGAGGCTGATGCGGGCGGATCATGAGGTCAGGAGATCGAGACCATCCTGGCTAACACGGTGAAACCCCGTCTCTACTAAAAATACAAAAAAATTAGCCGGGCGTGGTGGCGAGTGCCTATAGTCCCAGCTACTCAGGAGGCTGAGGCAGGAGAATGGCATGAGCCCGGGAGGCAGAGCTTGCAGTGAGCTGAGATCGCACCACTGCACTCCAGCCTGGGCGACAGAGTGAGATTCCGTCTCGAAAAAAAAAAAAAAAGAAAGAAAAAAAATAAAAAAGAAGCATAACCAGGTGCAGTGGCTCACACCTGTAATCCCAATACTTTGGGAGGGCAAGTGGGGAGGATAGCTTGAGCTCAGGAGTTCGAGTCAGTCAGATCAGCATTGTGAGGCCCCATCTCTACAAAAAATAAAACCAGTCCGGCGTGGTGGCACACACCTGTAGTCCCAGCTACTTGAGAGGCTGAGGTGGGAGGATCACTTGGGTACAGGAGGTCGAGGCTGCAATGAGCCGAGATCGCACCACAGCACTTCAGCCTGGACGAGACCCTGTCTCAAAAAAACAAAACAACTAACAAGCCAGTGAAATTATCTGTTGATTAGTGTTTGCATAATACATTTTTCATCCTTCTGCTTTTTTAATGTGATAAAATATAAACAACAGGCCAGGCGCGGGGGTTCATGCCTGTAATCCCAGCACTTTGGGAGGCCAAGGCGGGTGGATCACAAGGTCAGGAGTTCAAGACTAGCCTGGCCAAGATGGTGAAACCCCATCTCTACTAAAAATACAAAAACTGGCCAGGTGTGGTGGCAGGCACCTGTAATCCCAGCTACTAGGGAGGCTGAGGCAGAGAACTGCTTGAACCCAGGAGGCAGTGGTTGCAGTGAACCGAGATCACACCACTGCACTACAGCCTGGGCAACAGAGCAAGACTCTGTCTCAAAAAAAAAAAATTCCAATCTTGTAATCTCTTTTTGATCACTTATATTTAATGTAATCACTGATGACATTACAACCGTATGTCACTTAATGACAGGGATATGTTCTGAGAAAGCCATCATTAAAAAATTTTGGCCAGGCGTGGTGGCTCATGCCTGTAATCCCAGAACTTTGGGAGGCCAAGATGGGTGGATCACCAGAGGTCGGGAATTCGAGACCAGCCTGCTCAACATGGTGAAACCCTGTCTCTACTAAAAATACAAAAATTAGCCGGGCATCGTGGTGCATGCCTGTAATCCCAGCTACTTGGGAAGCTGAGGCAGGAGAATCGCTTGAACCTGGGAGGCGGAGGTTGCAGTGAGCCAAAATCGTGCCATTTCACTCCAGCCTGGGAGACAGAATGAGACTCCATCTCAAAAAAAAGAAAAAAAAAAATTCACCGTCGTGTGAACATCATAGAGTCTACTTACACAAACCTACGTGGTATAACCTACTACATACATAGGCTATACCATCACATATGAAATGTGTAGTGGAGCGAAACATCGTTATGCGGTGCATGACTGTGTTCAGGTGTGCCTTTTTGTTTGTCTCCTCTGCTGTGTGTTGTTTCCCCTTTCCTGCCTACTCTAGGTTTTTAGAAATATTTTGATTTGTTAAAAACTTATGATTCCCCCCTCGCCCGGCCAGCCGCCCCGTCCGGGAGGGAGGTGGGGGGGTCAGCCCCCCGCCAGGCCAGCCGCCCCATCCGGGAGGTGAGGGGCGCCTCTGCCCGGCCGCCCCTACTGGGAAGTGAGGAGCCCCTCTGCCCGGCCGCCACCCCGTCTGGGAGGTGTACCCAACAGCTCATTGAGAACGGGCCATGATGACAATGGCGGTTTTGTGGAATAGAAAGCGGGGAAAGGTGGGGAAAAGATTGAGAAATCGGATGGTTGCGGTGTCTGTGTAGAAAGAGGTAGACATGGGAGACTTTTCATTTTGTTCTGTACTAAGAAAAATTCTTCTGCCTTGGGATCCTGTTGATCTGTGACCTTACCCCCAACCCTGTGCTCTCTGAAACATGTGCTGTGTCCACTCAGGGTTAAATGGATTAAGGGCGGTGCAAGATGTGCTTTGTTGAACAGATGCTTGAAGGCAGCATGCTCGTTAAGAGTCATCACCACTCCCTAATCTCAAGTACCCAGTGACACAAACACTGCGGAAGGCTGCAGGGTCCTCTGCCTAGGAAAACCAGAGACCTTTGTTCACTTGTTTATCTGCTGACCTTCCCTCCACCGTTGTCCTATGACCCTGCCAAATCCCCCTCTGCGAGAAACACCCAAGAATGATCAATAAAAAAAAAAAAAAAAAACTTATGATTCCTTAACTTTTCTATTTAATATTTTTGGACCATGGTTGACCACCAGGTAACTGAAAACACAGAAAGAAAATTACAGATAAAGGGGGACTACTGTATTAGAGTTTTTTAAAAATATATTTTAAATTTTTTTGTAGCAATGGGATCTCACGATGTTGCCCAAACTGGCCTCAAACTTGTGGGCTCAAGAGCCTCCCATCTCCGCCTCCCAAAGTGTTGGGATTACAGGCATGAGCCACTGTGCCCAGCTTAAGAGTTTTTAATTGAAAAATAATAATTGTACATATTTATGGAATACAGAATATTTGATTTTATCTACGTGTGTGTGTGTGGTTTTTTTTTTTTTCGAGATGGAGTTTCACTCTTTTTGCCCAGGCAGGAGTGCAATGGTGCAGTCTCGGCTCACTGCAACCTCCGCTTCCCAGGTTCAAGTGGTTCTCCTGCCTCAGCCTCCCAAGTAGCTGGGACTACATGTGTGCACCACTATGCCCAACATATATATATTTACATATATATATATTTTTTTTTGAGACGGAGTCTCGCTCCATTCTACCTCAGCCTCCCGAGTAGCTGGGATTACAGACACATGCCACCACGCCTGGCTAAGTTTTATATTTTTAGTAGAGACAGGGTTTTGCCAGGCTGGTCTTGAACTCCTGACCTCTTGATCTGCCTGCCTCCCAAAGTGCTGGGATTATAGGCGTGAGCCACCGCACCCGGCCCAACAAATATATTTTTATTGAGATACAACTCTATTTTGTGGCATTTAGTAAATTCACAATATGGTGTAAGCATCACCTCTATCTCATTCCGAAACATTTTTATCATACCGAGAAGGAAACCGAGTTTACATCAAGCAATCACTCCCACCTAATCCCATGCAACAATTAACCTACTTTCTGCCTCTATCGATTGGCCTTCTTTGAATACCTTTTTTTTTTTTTTTTGAGACAGGGACTCACTCTGTCACCCAGGTTGGAGTGCAGTGGTGTGATCTCGGCTCACTGTAACCTCTGCCTCCCAGGCTCAAGCGATCCTGCCACCTGAGCCTCCCAAGTAGCTGGGATCACAGGCACATGCCACCATGCCGGGTGAATTTTTTGTATTTTTGGTAGAGATGGTATTTCACCATGTTGCCCAGGCTGGTCTCAAACTCCTAAACTCAGGCAATCCACCTGCCTTGGCCTCCCAAAGTGCTGGATTACAGGCAATGAGCCACCACACCCAGGCTGGATACTTCTTATAAATGAAATAACGTCATATGTGACCTTTTTTTCCTGACTGCTTTTATCTAGTATATTATCAAGGTTCACACATGTAGCATGTATGAGTACTTCATTCCTTTCTACGGTTGAATAATATTTTGTTGTAAGGATATACCACACTTTCTCTATTCACCAGCTGATAGACATCGCTACAAAAATAAGTAGTGGCTGTGGAGGTGCACGTCTGTAGTCCCAGCCACTCGGGAGCCTGAGGCGGGAGGATCACCTGAGCCACGATGTCAAGGCTGCAGTGAGCTATGATAGTGCCACTGCACTCCAGCCTGGGCAACAGGCCTCATCTTTTAAGCAAAGAAAAAAGAGGCCGAGCATGGTGGCTCATGCCCGTAATCCCAACACTTTGGGAGGCTGAAGCGGGCGGATCACCTGAGGTCAGGAGTTCAAGACCAGCCTGGCCAACATGGTAAAACTCTGTCTTTACTAAAAAATACAAAATTTAGCTGGATATGGTGGCGCGCATCTGTAATCCCAGCTAACTGGGAGATTGAGGCAGGAGAATCGCTGGCACCTGGGAGGTGGAGGCTGCAGTGAGCTGAGATCACGCCACTGCACTCCAGCCTGGGTGACAGAGCAAGACTCTGTCTCAAAAACAAAAAAAAAAAAAAAGAAAAAGAAAAAAGAGGCCGAGCATGATGGCTCATGCCTGTAATCCTAACACTTTGGGGGGCCAAGGCAAGAGGATGATTTAAGGTCAGGAGTTCGAGAATAGCCTGGCCAACATGGTGAAACTCTGTCTCTACTAAAAATACAAAAATTAGCCAGGCGTGGTTGCACGTGCCTGTAATCCAGCTACTTGGGAGGCTGAAGCAGGACAATCACCTGAACCCAGGAGGTGGAGGTTGTAGTGAGCTGGGGTCACGCCACTGCACTCCAGCCTGGGAAACAGAGCAAGACCATGTCTAAAAAAAAAAAAAAAGGGGGAAAGAAAAGAAAGAAAAAAAGAGTGCTACTCATTAACAGGAAAGTTGGCTGGGCGCGATGGCTCACGCCTGTAATCCCAGCACTTTGGGAGGCCGAGGCGGGTGGATCACGAGGTCAGGAGATCGAGACCATCCTGGCTAGCACGGTGAAACCCCGTCTCTACTAAAAATACAAAAGATTAGCCGGGCGTGGTGGCGGGCGCCTGTAGTCCCAGCTACTCGGGAGGCTGAGGCAGGAGAATGGCGTGAACCCGGGAGGCGGAGCTTGCAGTGAGCCGAGATCGCGCCACTGCACTCCAGCCTGGGCGACAGAGCGAGACTCCGTCTCAAAAAAGAAAGTCAGTGAAGGGACCTGTTTGGGAAAACAAAGCCCAGGCTCGAAGGAAGCTTGTGCTTCCCTCTGTGAGCAAGTTAAGTCTTAGAAACATCTCCCCGAGCCTCCTTCTCCCACGCGGGTCGTCTGTCCTGCGGCAGCCCCACTGGTTCCTCCCATCAACCAAGGCAGAGAGTGGAAAAGCTCCTCACACTCTTCTGCTTCACACACAGTGAACAAATCCAAACCTCTCTGCCCACATCCCTCCTCACCCGGCTCCACCCGTGTCCGCTGGTCCATCCCCACAGTCTAAGCTCAGCTGGGGACCGAGGACGCCCTGTCTGTGCACTGCACCAACCTCCCTCCTGGCCCCCTACTGGCTCCCATCCCTACTCCAGTCCATCCCTCTCATCACTTCCGAGGCCTCTTCTGACCATCTTACCTGGCTGTGACCCTCCACTGCTCAAATTCCCCCAACGGGGCTCCATCTTCCAAAAATAAGATGCACGTTCCTGTACTTCATGTTCAAGCCTGTTGATGACCAAACCTGATACACTTTCCAGCTTCACAGGCTATGGCTCCCCCTCTGCCACACCAAACTCATCACAGTTACCCACCCCCTGCCACACACACACAACCTCAGTTATTAAACACGTGTAAGTCTTCTGACGGCCGCTCCCTGAGCCAATCCGGATGTAGCTGACACCTCTGCAGAGCTGGTAGACTATGACAAAGAGAAGCCCTCCTGCCTCGTTCCACTCCACTGTAAACGTATGTGTGTCATAGGTCATGAGGAGTCCACATAAACCACTTAGAATCCTTATCAGCACATTGCCTAGTGGCTGGGCTCACGCTGGAGTGTGGTTATGGTTAACCATTAGTGAAACCCTCCCATATTGCATTCTGTGCAGTGATGGGCTTGTAAAAACAGACATCTGTTTCCACTGTGCTTTCTAAAGATTCCCCGGTTTTTTTTTTTTTTTTTTTGAGATGGAGTCTCACTCTGTCACCTAGGCTGGAGTGCTGTGGCGCAATCTCGGCTCACTGCAACCTCCACCTCCCGGGTTCAAGTGATTCTCCTGCCTCAGCCTCCCGAGTAGCTGGGATTACAGGCGTCCACCACCACACCTGGCTGATTTTTTGTGTCTTTAGTAGAGACGGGGTTTCACCATGTTGGCCAGGCTGGTCTCGAACTCCTGACCTCATAATCCACCCACCTCCGCCTCCCAAAGTGCTGGGATTACAGGTGCAAACCACCGTGCCGGGCCGGATTTTCCATTTTCTTAAACATAGCATCCAATAAATCTTCACGGTGCACAAGTCCCCTGAATGACAAGGTCCCAGCTTCCTTTGGCTCACTCTCAGGTCTGAGAACAGCCCACACTGTTTCTGGTGGAGGACACTCTGCGTGCCACACTCACTGTTCACGTCTTGGTCTCTCCATCCCCCAGAAGGACCCCTCACTCCCATGACAGGTGTACGCTGCTCACCTGCTATGAGCATGTTTTCCTCCTTTCCTACAACTTGTCGAAACCGGAGCAGAATTACCTCCTATCTAAACATGGGTAATGTGTCATTAACCCAGGCTCTGTGAGTCCAGCAGGAATCCTATCAGCTTCACCCACGACTCCCCTCCTCCTGGCAGCATGCCTGGATGTGGTAACCACTGAATAAACATCGCCTGATCGCAAGGCTCATGAAAGAAAAGATGCATTACAGAGCTCAGGACATGGAAGGGGCTTGCCTCTAGAATTAGAACAGTGACTGGGCTGTGTCCTAAGGCCCTGCCCTCTCTGGCCTCAGCCTCATGTGCTAGAACAAGGGTCACCCCTGGATGAGAGTTGGGTGAGGTGGAAGCAGGCAGAGTATGGGGAAGTCAAATTTTGACTCAAATGTGGTCTGAAAGGCCCCCAGAGCCTGCTGTCCCCTCAGCCCCATCCTTCAGGGGGAGCAGAGCGAGGCCCTGGGGAAGGGGCTGTTCCCCTCCTGCAAGGCCACTGGTGAGAACACATGACCTGTAACACAGAGCCCGGGGCTCCTTATACCAGCACACCCATCTGCCCTCCAGGCTCTGTGGCTCAATGGTCTAATTCATCTGCACTGCTGGGGACCGTGACAGGCAGGGCCACAACCCCCACCCTCATTGCCCATCTCCCTGCTGTGTGTCCAGGGAAGCCTTAGGTGGACACGGGGTGGTCAGTGACCCCGACCTCTTGGGCCAGAAGCACAAGGCAGAAGGCATGGAGTTGAGACCGGTGAGAGCTCTCCCTGCAGGCCCCAGCGGGCCCCAGAGAGTACGCATCCCCTAAATACCAGTCGCCTCATCTCAGGGGCGTCCAGGCAGCCCTCAGCCCTCCCTCTCAGCACAGCCGGGATCGCCGGTGCTCTCTGGAGACAGCCTGACCCCTCAGCATCACTCAGAGGCCGGTTTTGACAGCTCTGCATTGACCAGGACAAGGGGCTCCCAGCCCGCCAGCGCCTAGATGGGCAGCACCTCCTGGACGTCCCCCTGGGCCATGCGAGCCACCCCCCTGGGGGCCAGCACAGATGCTGCGGTGGACACAATGCCTCCTGCCCAAGGTCGGTCCCCCGTCGCCCCCACCCAACATCCTGGTTGCAAGTGAGGGGCCCCTACCCAGACCCCATCCCGTTCTCTGCTCTGGACCCTGGGCTCAGGGTCGAGAGAGAGAATGATACAGGGATGTGGTCCAAGGAGATCACCAAGAAAGGGAGAGCAAGAGGCCCGGAGATTAAACAGACCCACGCAGGCCAGGCACTGTGGCTCACACCTGTCATCCTAGCGCTTTGGGAGGCGAGTGGATTGCTTGAGGCCAAGGGTTTTAGATCAGCCGGGGCAACACATTGAGACTCCATCTCTACAAATTCTTGAGATGGAGTCTCCCTCTGTTGCCCCGCTCGCTGCCTCTGTAGACAGAGCCCTGAAGACCCTTTTCCTTTCCAAGCCCGTAGGCTTCTCCCCAGAACCGCATACCTCAACTCCCACTCTCCCCTCCCTCCAGGCTGCCGTGGAGCTCCGCAATTGTGAGCTACACCCAGGTGAGCCACCACCTCTCAGACCAGAGACAACTGCAGTCTCTTCCTCCCAGGGGAGCTCCCAGGAGCCCAGTGAGTACGCTGCCCCGGCCATCCACTAGCCCAGACCCCACGCTCCAAGGAAGGAGACCACAGTGAGCCCAGATGGTGCAGCAGCTGGCCCCATGGACACAAGACCACCGTCATTTCCCAAGTAGCAACGCTGAGGGAAGGAAGGGCCAACCACCTAGCTTGAGTAAGCCGCAATGGACTTCTCCACGTGGTTTACAGTAACTTAGCTGTGTTCCAGAACTGTCCCTGCCCTGACCTCAAACCCTGAAGGCCTCCAGATAAGGACCCAATCAACTACAGCCTGCAGCCTGAGGGGGTTGCACAATTTCAGGTTTCTCACTTCCTCAGAAACCAAACCCCTTCCCAACACAGATGATCAACAAGGCTGAGAAAAGGGAAGCCTGCCAACCTCTTGACCGTGAGTCCACAGAAGCACTGAACGCGGAGAGGAGGAACAGACTTCCCTCAACGCCCCTTCTCCTACGCTAACCCACTTCCCCTACATGTGAAGACAAAACTGGGAACTTGCCCAACATCAACCGCATCACAAGCTTTGAAACTAGCAAGCAAATTCTGTGAAGTGTTCCCCAACAATCACCAACAGTTCACCTTCCCCAGCAACCCGTCAGCCTCTGGTCAGCTCCCGTCCCACCTGTCTCTTGCCTGGCGGGGTCAGGGTCCCAGGGCCAGCAGGCAGGGAAGGCCCCCACCTCCACTCGGCGCCTGCCCTGCCTAGCAATGACCGGCTCCCTCCCACCCCTATATGCAAACACCGGCTTACTTGGAATTTCCTTCTGGTTTTGACACAGTTTTTCCAAAAATACCACTCGTCTCTCCCCTGATGACAGAAGTTTCTGGTAAAGATGTGTGTTCACTACTGTAGAATAGTACTGAGAGGCCAGGGACCACTAGCTGGTAGGCACTCCCAAGTGAGTGAGCCTCCCAGGGAAGGCTGCATGTTTAGAGCAGGGGAAAGAGTCAAGGATGAGAGACCCCCACACACCAATTGTAAAGCGCTGATCCTGTTTATTTGGCAGGAAAACGAGACAATCCAGCAGCCCAGGAGGGACAGGTGGACTTAATCCTCCTCCTCGTCGTCTCCAGCCCCAGCCCCACCCTGGCCCTTCTTGGCATTCTTCCTCTTCACGCGGCCCGGGCGGCCACCCCCGTAGGGAGAGCGCAGAGAGAAGTCGATGTGCTTCTGGGAATCCAGGCGGACAATGAAGGACGGGATGTTCACCACCTGCTTGCGGACCCTGGAAGAAGCGACAAGGTGAGGTGGACTGGAGGAGAAACGGACGCTAACCCCAGCTACCGCACCACTCTTTCCTCTCCACCCACCCCGTGAGGCCGCCACGGCTGCAGACACCAAGGCGCTGCAGGAAGGGTGCACCTGATCCTACGTGCGCCCTCCGGGGTTTTAGGGTATCACCTTAATCCCCAAAAATGCTTCAGATGACTTTCTCAACCCCATTTTATAGGAGAAATCTGAAAGTATCCCACCTAAGACCACAAAGCAAATGAGATGGCCATGTGAGAGCCCCCAAGTTCCGAGTCTGAAATATCGTGAACCCCACACCTGACACTGAGCTGTATTACCACGTGCAGCAGCAATGCCCACAATAACACAGCAACCCGAGGCTACGTCTCCGACGAAAGCATTGACACACAAGGCTCTGCCTACGGCTCACAGGGTTAGTGAAGGGCTGGGGCGAAGATTCTAAACGCAAACATCTTGCCCTCTTTCTGTACAGCTCCTCCCCCTCAATGGTGCCACATTACAGAAAGGGCACACTGAGTACCCAGAACGCAGTCATGGATCGGGGTCTGGAATCAACTTCACAAGCGAGCCAGGAGACAGCTGAACCCACCACCCAAGCGAGGTGAGGCTGGTTCTCTCCCTCCACTGGGGACACCAAGAGCTGTTACCTGTCCAGCTGCCCACATGCCTGGCAGAGGCCTTCACAAGGTGTACGGCTAGAGCCGCAGTGACCCTTGCGCTGGGCTATTGGGGCAAGAGGCTGCCCCAGCTCCCTGGTGAGCTGTGTGCAAGGGTGAATCTGTACCCTCTGGGTGAGTTCACACCCATCACCTCCGAGGGCTGCATAGGAGATAGGGACAGCAGGCTTAGTGAGGGCAACCATCAGAGGGGCAGGTGGAGGAAGATTCAGGTGCCCATCCGAGGTGGTACCTGATATGGCGCTGGCGGATCAGCACGCGAGCGTGGTGGATGGACTTGGCCAAGCCCAGCTTGAAGACCTGGGTCTGCAGGCGTCTCTCTAAGAAATCCTCTATCTTCAGGCCCAGGATGTAATCCAGCTTCATCTTGCCCTCATCCAGCACCCCAATGCGGACCAGCCGCCGCAGCAGGGCGTTGCCTGGGAAGAGTGGGAGGAAACACTGATTCCGCCTTCTGACCTCAGGCTTCTTGGGTTCAAATCCTGGCTCCGCCTCTTGGTAGCTCCATGCCGCGGCGGTGAGGCACAAGTAGTACAGCGCCATCACCGTGACCCATGTCACTGTCAAAACCACCCTACGGGCTGGGAGTGGTGGCTCACACCTGTAATCCCAGCACTTCGGGAGTCCGAGACGGATCACTTGAGGTCAGGAGTTTGAGAGACCAGCCCGGCCAACATGGCGAAAGCCCGTCTCCACTAAGATTACGAAAAATTAGCCAGGCCGTTGGCGCACTGCCTGTAATCCCAGCTATTCAGGAGGCTGAGGAAGGAAAACTGCTTGAACCCAGGAGGCGGAGGTTGCAGTGACCTGAGATGGGGCCACTGCACTCCAGCCTGGGCGACAGAGTGAGGCCCTGTCACAAAACAAAACAATACAAAAAACCAAACTACCCTATGGTTGTCAGGTCATCATTCATAGTAAACTGCAGATGACAGGAGGGCAAAATACACCTGCCTCCTCATCTGAGAGCATACATCCCTCGCTCCACATTCTTAGCAAGAGTAAAGGAAATCACCTCCTTACAAGGACTCAGTCTGCAAAAGACCAAATGCAGCTGCTATTAAGCTACTACCACCGTAACAAAGCACAGTGCTGAAGAGTTCATATCCTCAGCCCAGAAAGCTCTTCTGATTAAGCAGATGTGAGATTGAATCACATTCCGTGCCATAAATAGCAGTATCTACATCTTTTAAGGAGAGAAAAGTAATTTCTAACACTAGAATTTTTCCAGCTAAGTACATGTCATTCATTTTACTATTCTGTACAAAATTTTCCACCAAAAATAGATCTAGTATGTATATAACCTAACAATGCACTGCATAAAATATCCAACAGATGCCCTACTACACCTTTCTTCCAACCCCAGGCTCAGGACGGCTTGCTCCTTACCCTGTCCAAAGCCATGGCTTCTAGCTAATACTCTGGACTGCCCTTGCCCACAGCCCCAGGGCCCTGGGGGCAAACGCCATCCCCTAGGCTCCCGCTCACTGCTATAATCCCACACGCCTTCAGCAAATCAACTGCCCCTTGACTGGGGTAAACACCTCAACCTTTTTTCCTTATGTGCACTTTTATAAAAAGTGGCTCTTACTAGTTACAGCAAACCATTCAAGCAAGCTTTCATAAATAGATCTACATGCATCAGGCACTTCTGATATTCCTGGCACTGTTACCCTCCAAGCAAAGTTTGAAAGAAAGCTAGCTCACTTTGTGAGGACCCAAAGTTTTCCCAGTAGGGAGCAGTTACAGGTAGGGAGAATCAAAATGGAAACACCAGCTGTGTGCATTTCCAGCATCCTATGTCATACTATGGCTTCAATTTTTGTTCTTTTTTAACTCAACATCAGAGGATATTTAAACACCTGAATATCAAAATACAAAAACATGTCCAAAAGGCAATGAAAATGAGTTTGGGATCATTTACCTCTTTGGACACTTCACGCCTTTTTGTCTTTACATTAGAAAATGGAAACTTAAGCCACGCACAGTCCCTTATGCCTGGCCTATAAACCCAATATTTTGGGAGGCTGAGGCAGGAGGATCAGTTGAGTCCAGAAGTTTGAAACTAGCCTCGGCAACACAGTGAGACCGCATTTGTACCAAAACAAACAAAAAAGTAAAACTAAATTAGCTGGGCATGGTGGTACATGGTGGATTGTGGTCCCAGCTACTAGAGCTGAGGAGGATCACTTAAGCACAGGAGGTCCAGGCTGCAGTGAGCCACGACCATGCCACTGTGCTCCAGCCCGGGAGACAAAGTGAGATCGTCACCATTAGGCAAAACAAAGGCATGATTTTAAAAAAATGTTTCACATTTATTATCATTTTTGAGACAGAGTTTCGCTCTCGTTGCCCAGGCTGGAGTGCAATGGCGTGATCTCGGCTCACTGCAAACTCCGCCTCCTGGGATTCTCCTGCCTCAGCCTGGGATTACAGGCATGCGCCACCACGCCCCGCTAATTTTGTATTTTTTCAGTAGAGACTAAGGGGTTTCTCCACTTTGGTCAGGCTAGTCTCAAACTCCCGACCTCGGGTGATCCGCCTGCCTCTGCCTCCCAAAGTGCTGGGATTACAGGCATGAGCCACTGCACTCAGGCCCACATTTATTGAACCATCTATCTCCTGAAAAAGAACAGGAGAGTCAGCCACAGGCAAAACCTTTAAGTATGAAGACAATAGTTTTCAACAGCACAATAAACCTTACACCTTCAACAAAAGCATGTCCTACTGCTGAGGCTCCACTGGGCCAATGCACCAAGAGAATTTAAAATGCTTTAAAAATGCAAACCAGGGAGGACCTCAGTGGGAAACAGGTCCTTGTCATCATACAAGGCAGTTAGGTATTACAATGCCTTCATTTCTGATCTGAAAAATGGACATGACTCCTACATTTCTTCACAGTTGTGCTGGGGGGTGGGGGGGGAGTTCGTGTTGTTTTGTGTCTCGCTGTCACCCAGTGCAGTGCCGCGGATCTCGGCTCACTGCAGTCTCTGTCTCCCAGGTTCAATCAATTCTCCTGCCTCAGCCTCCCGAGTAGCTGGGATTATAGGCACACCACCATGCTCGGCTAATTTTTGTATTTTTCGTAGAGATGGAATTTCACCACGTTGGCCAGGCTGGTCTCTGACTTGAGGTCTCCTGACCTCAAGTGATCCGACCACCTCGGTCTCCCAAAGTGCTGGGATTACAGGCATGAGCCACCACGCCTGGCCTCTATCTGTTGATTATTAACTGCCAGCCAAATGTTGGCGGCTGTTCAGTCTTAACAGACGAGACTCAGAATCTCGCTAGTCACACATCTTAGTGGGAAAGGCTGGATCTGAATCAAGGCAGGATTACACCAAAGAGCAAACATCCAAGCTCCTCCTTCCTGTCCCTGACTAGGCTAGATGGCTTCATTTACTAGAAAGTGTACTCACCTGAACAACTGTGTACCCCTTGGGAATTTTCACTTCTGCCTTGGAAAACCACAAATAACCCTCAGACACCTGCACCGCTTTCTCACATGACTGTAAGTTTCATTGCAATTAGGATCTATGTCCAGAAAGTCCTCCCTAAAACCAGAACCAGCTATAGCCCACTCCCCACAGAACCCTGGGATGAATTCCCACCCAGCATCAGTATCTATGGGGGAGGGATCTCCAGCACTTTCATGAGATTATCAACGGGGTCTACAAATTGACGAAAAGAATGAAAGGGTCAGGTGCGGTGGCTTACACCTGTAACCCCAGCACTTTGGAAAGCTGAGGTGGATGGATCACTTGAGGTTAGGAGTTGGAAACCATCCTGGTCAACACTGCAAGATCCTGTGCCTATTTAAAGAAAAAGCTTCTAACATCTGCAAGCCTGGGACAAACTGTGATAATCTGTAGCTAAACATGCGCCAGGACTTTCTCAACGCCTAACATGGATGACCACTCTCATGCCTAACAGTCAGGGCTCAGGTGTAGAGACTGCTTTT
This sequence comes from Homo sapiens, assembly GCF_000001405.40. NCBI lineage: Eukaryota > Metazoa > Chordata > Mammalia > Primates > Hominidae > Homo > Homo sapiens. Next base: position 177,715 of record NT_187693.1, on the reverse strand, counting down.
CACCATAAATCATGACTACCCAAACTCAGGCAAAAGCAGCGTCTCAGGATATACAAATGCCAATCTTGGTCATGCCAATCTGCTGTAGAAAGCACTCCAATAACACCGCATCTCAGAGTAGATTTTAAAACAAGATGGTTAAGATGGTACATTTTCAATTTAATGTGTATTTCACCACAATTAGTAAAGTAAGCCTAAGTCTATGTGATCTGCATGCCCTCCTAAAGTCATCACCTGAAATGCTGTTCCCTGAGACATTTTACAGGTTCTCTCCTGTTCAGGCCTTTGCTAAATACCACCTAAATGTCCTTGACCAGCTTAAAAAAACAAGCACCAGCCTGGACAACATGGTGAAAACCCATCTCCACTAATAATAGAAAATTAGCCAGGCTTGGTGGCCCATGCCTGTGATTCCAGCTACTTAGGAGGCTAAGACAGGAGAATCGCTTGAACTCTGGAGGCGGAGTTTGCAGTGAGCCAAGATTGCGACAACTACACTCCAGCATGGGCAATGGAGCGAGACTCCGTCTCAAAAGTAAAATTAGCCAGGTGTGGTGGCGTGCGCCTGTCTGTAGTCCCAGCTACTTGGGAGGCTAAGATAGGAGAATTGTTTGAACCCAGGAGGCGGGGGTTGCAGTAAGCCGAAATGGCGCCACGGCACTCCAGCCTGGGCAACAGAGCAAGACTCCGTCTCAAAAGACTAAATAAAACGAGAAAACTTAATTAAAAAAACAATAAACCAAGCAAATGTGCAAACCCTGTTATCACCATCACTTAGCCCAGAAATTCCACTTCATAGTCTACTCTCATCCACTAGCAAACAGGCCACATAAACAGAATATAAAGATATAGACGGGTGCCCAGGTGTGCCAGGCCTATCTTTAGCTCTGGTCATTACTAAACTGAAGGTCCAATAACTGGGCAAAAAAGCCACACACCTAAGAAACAGGGCAAAGACTGATCCAGATACACTTTTCCTACTTCACAAGTGCCACTAAAAGTTAGAAGGCTGGTTCCATTTATCCAATGACACAACTCTCATCACTGGAACAGAGGCAACAGAAGGGAGAATGAACCTCACAAGCCCTGCACCCCATCCCTCTGCTGTGGACTCCCATACGCACCTTCGAACAGACGCCGTGGGTCCTTCTCATCAAGCGTCAGCAGTTCCCGGGCGGCCTTGCGGATCTTGGCCAGGGTAAATTTGACCCTCCAGACCTCACGTTTGTTCCGGAGCCCATACTCGCCTGGTGGGGAGAAGGGGGTGGACAAGTGTAGTCCCACGTACTGGCACAACAACTAGACTGGCAGCTTTGGAATCACAAAACCTTCCTAAACCACGAATAGTACCAAATTTAGGGGACGGACTAGATAGAGTACATGGGCACCTTCATCCACGTGCTAACCGCCTCCCGGAAGCCGAACCACTTCCCGGAAGCCTTGGCCACTCACCGATCAGCTTCAGCTCTTGGTCGAGACGAGATTTCTCGAAGGGTCTCCGCGGGGTCACATAAGTTTTGCGACAAACCCAGCTCCGGGCCACTGGCATGTTGGCTCCGCTTCCCCGTCTGCGCCTGCGCGGGAGAGAAGTGTGAGCGTAAGGGCTCCAAACGGCGCCTGCGCAGTCCCACAACTACGCCAAAACCTCGCGGAGCCCAGATCCGATCTCGCGAGAATAACCTCCAACGCTCTCATAGTCAGTATCTGCCCCCACAACCGTGCTGCACTCCCGTTCAACCACCCTGCTCTGTTTCCTAACGTCTTTAGCTTACTCATGGAAACTCGGAAGGCCCGGGCCACCATCCAACCCAAACCCTAGAGAAAAAGCACACCGCCGCACCTCACCTAAGCAAACCACCCGGTCACTGAGAAAGAGGCGCGCAAGCGCCACGGCTGCGCTCTTATAGTAACGCCGGCGTCTCGTGACGTTTTCACGCACCACGCACGTCAGAGCCAATCAGAAGAGGCGTTGGCTGGCTGAGAAGCAGTGGAGACGTGAGGCTGGGCTAGAGCGGCGTGCTAACCTGGGAGGACTAGGTTTTTTCCGGCCAGGGAGTGGAAACCTGAGAAGTAGGGAGAACCTTCCTTCTCCGCCCCTGGACGGTGGTTTTTCTTTTTCTTTCTGAGACAGGGTCTCGCTCCGTCGCCCAGGCTGGAGTGCAGTGGCGTGATTTCGGCTCACTGAGGCCCCGACCAACCTCTCGGGCTCGAGCGATCCTCCCACCTCCTCCCCAGTAGCTGGGATTACAGGCACACGCCACGACGCCCGGGTAGCATTTTTTTTTTTTTAACAGTCGGCGTCTTGCCATGTTGCCCAGGCTGGTCTTGAACTCCCGGCCTCGAGAGAGCCTCCCGCCGTGGCCCCCCCAAAGTGCTGGGATTACAGGCGTGAGCCACCGCGCCCAGCCGAGATTATTTCTGTCACTAACAATAATGTGGCATTCTGGAACGCTATGTGCCACATACTGTTCTAAGAATTTTAAATGTATTTACTCAATCTTCAATACATACTTACAGAGCACTCTCAGAGAAGTTGCCCCCCCACCCATGGTACTATTATTATCAATAGCCACTTAAGGGGTATTAGTACTATTATCAGTAATTTATTTTATTTTTGAGACGGAGTTTTTCGCTCTCGTCACCCAGGCTGGAGTGCAGTGGTGCGATCTCGGCTCACTGCAACCTCCGCTTCCCGGGTTCAATCGATTCTCGTGCCTCAGCCTCCCGAGAAGCTGGGACTACAGGCGCCCACCACCATGCCCGGCTAATTTTTAAATTTTTAGTAGAGACGGGGTTTTGAACTCCTGGTCTCCAACGCCTGACCTCAAGTGATCCACCCGCCTCAGCCTCCCAAAGTGCTAAGATTACAGGTGTGAGCCACCGCGCCTGACCTAGAGTTCTCTTTTTATATATAGTCTGGTTATTGTCTGTCTGTACACCCATCTCTCCACTCCGAATGCGATGGTCTGTCTCCACAGCTCGTGTTCTTCAGTTGTCTTCCCTACGCTGCTGCCTCGGCAGTCACTATCTCCTCAGGAAGCAGTCCCACCCGCCCCTTTCTCTTCCACGGCATCCACACCATCCGGATGCCTGGATTCAAATGCCACGTCACCACTTGCCAGCTGCAGTGCCTTCGACAAGTTTCTCAATCACTCTGTGCCTCAGCGTCCTCCTCTGTAAAACGGCGAATGATGGTAGCGCCTACCTCATAAGCTTGTGAGGATTAAGTGAGAGTCTATCCAGTGTTGAGGAGAGTGGCATAAATAAAGCGCCTAGTGGTAGCTACCATCGTCATTATTGTCATCTGCATTGTACTTCCATATCTTACAAACTACCTTGTTCAGTTTTATGGGTTTTTTGTTTGTTTGTTTTGTTGTTTTGAGACGGGGTTTTGCCATATTGCCCAGGCTGGTCTTGAACTCCTGGGCTCAAGTGATCCACTCGCCTCAGCCTCCCCAAGTGCTGGGATTACAGGTGTAAGCCACCATGCCTGGCCAAATTTTATGCATTTTTGTATCTTGAACACGCGTATATTATTCATCTGGAAGGGGGAAACGTGGAAGGAAAAAACTTCCATAAGTTTTCACTCCCTTCAGGATGAAGTCCAAGCTCCACAAATTCCGGGTGCCTCGTGATTACAGAGATGGTTTTATAATGGTGGTTGAACCTGTAGGTTCTCAAGTCTTAAAAAAGATCTGCGTTTGAACCTCAGCAGTCACTGACGAGCTCTTGATCTTAGGCAAATTAGCCTCTTCAAGAGTGCTAAATGGGAGAAAGTAACAGGACTTTCCTCATAGGGTTTGATGATTTAGAGTAAAAAAAAAAAAAAAAGAAAAGAAAACCAGCACAGAGTCTTGTGTACTGAAGGTGCTTAATATCTTAACACAGCTGACTCTGTACAGTCTGGGGGCGAGGGGCACTGACCCCCAGCTCAGCCGAAAACCTCCATATAGGCTGGGCGCGGTGCCTCACGCCTGTAATCCCAGCACTATGTGGAAGGCCAAGGCCGGCGGATCAACTGAGGTCAGGAGTTCGAGACCAGCCTGGCCAACATGACAAAACCTGGTCTCTACTAAAAATACAAAAATTAGGCAGGCGTGGTGGCAGGTGCCTGTAATCCCAGCTACTTAGGAGGTTGAGGCAAGAGCATCGCTTGAACCCAGGACGTGGAGATTGCAGTGAGCCGAGATCGCACCACTGCACTCCATCCTGGGCGACAGAGCAAGACTGCCTCAAAAAAAAAAAAAAAAAAATCAAGAAAGAAAATCTGCATATAACTTTTGACTTCCCCAAAACTTAACTACTAGGCCAGGCACCGTGGCTCACACCTGTAACCCCAGGTGGGATTTGGGAAGCTGAGGTGGGCAGAGCACTTGAGCCCAGGAGTTCAAGACCAGCCTGGGCAACACGGCAAAACCCAGACTCTACAGAAAACAGAAAAATTAACTGGGTGTGGTGGTGTGTGCCCGTAGTTCCAGCTACTTGGGAGGCTGTGGTGGGAGGACTGCTTGAGTCAAGGAGGTTGAGGCAGCAGCGAACTAAGATCATGCCCCTGCACCCCAGCCCAGCTGGCAGAGCAAGACACTGTCTCAGGATTTAAAAAAAACATTACTCGTAGTTGACTGGAAGCCTTACCAATAACATAGTCAATTAACACATATTTTATACGCTATATGTATTATATTCTGTATTCCTATGATGAATTAAGCTAGAGAAAAGAAAATATTGGCCGGGCGTGATGGCTCATGCCTGTTACCCCAGCACTTTGGGAGGCTAAGGCGGGCGGATCACCAGGTCAGGAGATCGAGACCATCCTGGCTAACACGGTGAAACCCCATCTCTACTAAAAATACAAAAAATTTGCCGGGCGTGGTGGCAGGCACCTGTAGTCCCAGCTACCGGGGAGGCTGAGGCAGGAGAATGGCGTGAACCCGGGAGGCGGAGCTTGCAGTGAGCTAAGATCGCGCCACTGCACTCCAGCTTGGGTGACAGAGCGAGACTTCGTCTCAAAAAAAAAAAAAAAAGAAAATATTAAGAAAATTCTAAAAAAGAGAAAATATATTTACTATTCATTAAGTGGAAGTGGATCATCATAAAGGTCTTCATCCTTGTCTTCATTCTGAGTAGGCAGAGGTGCAGAAAGAAGAGGAGGGTTTGGTCTTGCTGTCTCAGGGTGCCAGAGGTGGAGGAGGTAAAAGGCAAAGCAGGAGAGGCAGGCATGCTCTGTGTAACCTTTACTTTTTTCAATCTGCATAAAAGTGGACCCGAGCAGTTCAGACCCATGTTGCTCAAGGGTCAACTGATGAGATCTGGCCTCACCCTGATCCTCTTCAGAAGCATGGTCCAGTCATATGGCACCAGGCCCTCTTCCACAAACCCCTCATGCTTCCTCCTCTCTCTCTCTCACTCAGGCTGGAGCCCTCTAGCCCTTCCTCTCTGAAAGGAGCACGGGTAATATAAGAGGAACCCTTGGTTTCCATCATGGGTTGCCAAGGACCAGCTGGGCATGCTTGGGGAGCTGAATTCCTTTCCTTTTGTACAAGTGTAATAAAATCTAATTATGCCCCATCCATAGGACGCAAAACCATGTAGCTGTTGGCAAAAATGAGACAAGCCTGGGCATATCCAATAAGCAAGATGCAGAAGTGTGCATAGTATGCTACAATTTTCATTAATAAAAATGACCTTAACGTATGTATATTTATTTAAAATATGCTTAGAAAGTCATGTAGGAGAAATTATAATTTCCAAATTGTCTCAGCCCTGATTTAAAAATTATAGTTTAAGCCACTCATTTATTTAGCAACAATGTATTGACTGCTGTGTGCCAGGAACTGTTCTTGGACCTGGGGATACTGCATGAACAAGGGTAAATAAAACAAAAACCAAAACCAAAACCTTGTCCTTAACTAGAAACAAATGCCAATCACCTGATGAATGGATAAATAAAATGGGGTTATGTCCATACAATGGAATATCCAGCAGTAAAGAGGAACAAAGCTGGCCGGGCACGGTGGCTCATGTCTATAATCCTAGCACTTTGGGAGGCTGAGGTGGGCGGATTGCCTGAGCTCAGGAGTTCGAGCCTGGGCAATTATGGTGAAACCCTGTCTCTACTAAAATACAAAAAATTAGCCTGACGTGGTGGCAGGCGCCTGTAATCCCAGGTACTTGGGAGGCTGAGGTGGGAGAATCGCTTGAACCCACTTGAACCCAGGAGGCAGAGGCTGCAGTGGGCCGAGATTGTGCCACTGCACTCCAGCCTGGGCAACAGAGCAAGACTCTGTCTCAAAAATAAAAAAAATAAATAATAATAATAATAATAAGCAAGGAAGAGAATGCACATGGCCAGTTCATGAGGAAGCTGCAAAGTAGGACCTTTGAGTTTTACTCTGAGATGGAAAACTCCAGGAAAGTTTTAGACAGAGCTGTGACATGGTCTGACTTATCTTTTAATATGATGATTCTGGCCGGGCGCGGTGGCTCACGCCTGTAACCCCAGCACTTTGGGAGGCCGAGGCGGGTGGATCACAAGGTCAGGAGATCGAGACCATCCTGGCTAACATGGTGAAACCCCGTCTCTACTAAAAATACAAAAAATTAGCCAGGTGAGGTGGCGGGCGCCTGTAGTCCCGGCTACTAGGGAGGCTGAGGCAGGAGAATGGCGTGAATCCGGGAGGCGGAGCTTGCAGTGAGCAGAGATCGCGCCACTGCACTCCAGCCTGGGCGACAGCGAGACTCCGCCTCAAAAAAAAAAAAAAAAAAAAAAACAAAAAAAAAAACGATGATTCTGGCTGCTCTGTTGAAAACAGACAACAGAGGGGCAAGAATGGAAGGCAGGGGATGAGTTAGGAAGCTATCAATATCAAATGAGCCATGGTTTGGTTTTTCTAAGATACTGGCAGTGAAGGTGGAGGGTGGGGCCTAACTGTGGATCCACAGTGCTTTGAACATGGCACCTATAGAATTTGTTGACTGACAACATGGGGGGACACCAGTCACAAAAGTTTTTTTTTGTTTGTTTGTTTTAAATAGAGATGAGATGAGGTCTCACTATGTTCAGCCAAGGCTGGTCTCAAACTCCTGAGCTCAGCGGCTCAACTGATCTTCCCACCTTGGCCTCCCAAAGTGCTAGGATTACAGGTCTGAGCCACCACATCTGGCCACAGGAGTTTTAAATGAGGAACTTTTCAGAGGAGAGACTCATGACAGAGGGAATGAGACTTCTAAGTACTTTGTTGTAGAGAGGAGAAAGGGTGGAGAATAGACTTACAAAGCCAATTATGAAGCAGGCACAAAGAGAGTATTGGCCAGACAGGGGTTAGCGTCATTTTTTTTCTTTTCTTTTTATTTTTTTGAGATGGAGTTTAGCTCTTGTTGCCCAGGCTGGAGTGTAGTAGTGCGATCTTGGCTCACTGCAACCTCTGCCTCCTGGATTCAAGTGATTCTCCTGCCTTAGGCTCCTGAGTAGCTAGGAGTACAGGCGCATGCCACCACGCCCGGCTAATTTTTTTTTTTGTATTTTTAGTAGAGATGGGGTTTCACCATATTGGCCAGGCTGATCTCAAACTCATCTGCCCACCTCAGCCTCCCAAAGTGCTGGGATTACAGGTGTGAGCCACCACGCCTGGCCCAGTGTCATATTTTAAATTAATCTAAACTTACAGGAAATTGAGATTCTATGAAGTCTGTTTACTGGGAATGGCAAGAAAGAGGGGAGATGGGAGTCTCTCTAAACCTATTCTGGTTCCAGAGGCTGCTCAATTCACACAAAAAAGAGAAAGAATGAAACATGGGGGGAAGAAATGGAAGAACTAGAGGTGGAGACTTTCAGCCCCAGAATTTTACCATGTGGAAGTTTTTGTTTGTTTTTGTTTTTTTGAGACAGTGTCTAGCTCTGTCGCCCAGACTGGAGTGCAGTGGCGTGACCTTGGCTCACTGCAACCTCCACCTCCCAGATTCAAGTGATTCTCCTGCCTCAGCCTCCGGAGTAGCTAGGATTACAGGCGCCCGCCACCACGCCCGGCTAATTTTTGTATTTTTCATAGAGGCGGGCCATGTTGGCCAGGATGCTCTGGAACTCCTGACCTCATGATCCGCCCGCCTTGGTCTCCCAAAGTGCTGGGATTACAAGCATAAGCCACCACGCCCAGACTCACCATGTGAATGTATTACACTGACAAAATAAACGTGACAAAATAAAACTGCACATTGATAAGATAAAGGTGTAATTATTGGAATAGTGGTAGTGTTCTAGTACTTTCTTAAGCAAAAACATGGGTAAATGATTTCATAAGTGCAAATTTTTTACAAATACATGTGTTTTAGCTTTTATAAAAATTGCAGAATATAACACATCCAAAAAAGAGTCTAAAATATAAATATACAGTATCAAAAAAATTCTCCACCACTACCCAGGCCATGAAAAAGCAGAACGCCTTCCAGAGTCCTTCCTTTCTCCCCAGGCTCTGAACTCCTAAAATTACAATACTCATTTCCTTTCATAATATATATATATATACACACACATATATATACATACATGTGTGTATATTTACATATATACACACACACATATATATATTTTTTGAGACAGGTTCTTGCTCTGTCTCCCAGGCTGGAGGGCAGTGGTGCAATCACAGCTCACAGCAGCCTCAACTTCCCAGGCTCAAGGGATCCCTGGCTAATTTTTTTTTAAATTATTTTTTGTAGAGACTGGGTATTACAATGTTGCCAGAGCTGGTCTCAAACTCCTGGGCTCAAGCGATCCCCCTGCCTTGGCCTCCAAAAGTTCTGTGGGATTACAGGTGTGGGTCATCGTGCCCAGCCTATATTTTTATTTATAACGTTTGTATGCATCTGGGAAATTTCATAGAAATCTTTTCAAGAGGAAGTTTAGTGAGGTAGAAAGAGTGCAGATTTAGGAGTCAGAAAAACCAATTTTGAAAGGCCAGGCCTGCTATTTACTAAGTGTGTGACTTTGGGCAAGTCAGTCCCCCCCCTCCAGGCCTTTTTCTCACCTGTACATGCAGATGAGACCATCCACGGGTTCCAGGACTGTCGCAAACATTCAAATCATGAACATTTATATACCAAGTTTATTGAGACCTCCTGAGACTTAAACCCTGTAGAAAACAGATGAATCAAACCCAGGCCCCATTCTCGGGAAGCTCACAGTGTGAAAATAGGTAACTACAAAAACACAGCCAATAAGTGCTTTGAAACAAGGAAGAACATAAAAAAGATGTAGTGTTCGAAAACCTGGAATCAAAAACTAACCGCGGAGAAAGGTAGGAGGATGTTCTAGACTCCCAGAGAAGAGCTGGGGAACATCCAGAAAGGCTCTTGCTGCCGACACAGCCACATCCCCTAGGTCTCTGGAGTTCACTGCAGGCTGGCCCATTGCAGGGAGGTGTAGACCACCTTACCATCAGGCTGCGGAGAACAGAGGAGCAGGGTCTTTCTGACGCTGGTTCCAAGGCGCCCAGCAGCAACCAGGTCTTGGAGTGGGATGGTGTCCTCGGGGGCCCAGCACTGAGCGATATAATGGGCGTGGAAGCGGAGGGGGTCACCTGGGGGAAGGAGAGAGGCACTGAAGCAGTGACCAATGGCAGACGGCTGGACGCCACGGGAACGACCACTGGGAGGAGATCTGAGATCATTTCAGCCATCACTATAGATACTCTAAAACAGATGCTCTTGGACACAACTATTCCACTTCTAGGCTTTTTTTTTTTTTTTTTTTTGAGACAAAGTCTCGCTCTTGTCCCCCAGGCTGGAGTGCAATGGCACGATCTTGGCTCACTACAACCTCTGCCCCCTGGGTTCACATGATTCTCCTGCTTCAGCCTCCCGAGTAGCTGGAAATACAGGCACCCACCACCACGCCCAGTTAGTTTTAGTATTTTTAGTAGAGATGGGGTTTCACCATGTTGGCCAGACTGGTATCAAACTCCTGACCTCAGGTGATCCACCTGTCTTGGCCTCCCAAAGTGTTGGGATTACAGGCGTGAGCCATTGCGCCCAGCCTGATGTCTAACTACTTCTAAGTGAATCTTCTGGATCACAGTAATCATTTAATAAAAGTCGTTAAACTGCTTGCCCAATGAGTTCAGGAGCTCCCAAATGTTTCCTGTCTGTCTATGAATTTCAGAGGCTAAGAGAAAGTGAGACAAAAAAGAAAAATGCAGCTGGGCCTATAATTCCAGCACTTTGGGGGGCCGAGGTGGAAGGATTGCTTGAGCCCAGGAATAGGGACCAGCCTAAGCAACAAGAGACCCCACCTCTATTAAGACAAAAAAAAAAAAAAGAAAAACGCAGAATACATTGGGATCGTATGGAAAGGCACAGCAACCAGAGGCCCCAACCCATACTCACCAGGATAGACCAGGAAGTCACCTCCGAACTTGCCAGCCGCACTGAGGAAGAAGCCTCGCTCCCACAGGTCTCTGTAGATACTGTAGCGCAGCTCGTGGGCAGGGCGGCCGGCGTGGGGCCAGTCTTTAGACTGGACACGCCAGTCCAGGGGCCTGGCCTTGACCGGTCGAGGCCTGGCAGTGGCCAGCTGGACAAGGAGAGCAGATCTGGGCAAGGGGGCTACCCCATTTGAGGGTCCTGCTTGGGAAGACGAGGGGCCTGGTGGGGAGTACAGAGAAGAGTTTGGTAAATTCAAGGGGTAAAGTCTTCTCACCCTCAGGGAGACCCAGGCACTGGATTCCCAGCTAAAATTCCTAAAAGATCTCTCCTCTCCTTCCCGTGGTCCCTGGACTCCACCTCCCATGCTCACCAGCTTCCTCCTGCTCTCCCGAAGCCTGGCCATCACTGGTCTCATCCTCTTTGGCAGCCTGGCTCGAGCCGGCCTCCTGGCTTGAGCTGGCCCCTGAAGCCTGTTCTAGTTTCTGCTTCTTAGCAGCCTGGCCCTCCGTAATCTTCTCCAGGAGCTCCTGACGACGGGTCTCCCGGGCCTCAGCTGCCAAGGCGCTCTGCTCCTGGAAGCTCTCCTCTTGCTGGCGCTTGAAGGATGTCAGGGCCTGAGAAGCACACTTCGCTGGAACCTCCAAGCTTATGGTCCCTTCAGAAGCCAGGAAACTTGACTCCCAGGTCCCGCTCCCACCGAACCCGAGTTCGAGCCCCGCCCCCTTACCAGGCTGTGGTGCCGAGAGTCTGGACGCGGGGCGCTGACCAGAGTCACGGCGCCGATCTCGGCCAAGAGCCGCGCCTCTTCGGGCATCAGCAGCAGCGGGAGGCCCAGGCGCGAGTTCTGGCGGGGCCCGCGGGGCAGGGCGCCTACCGTGCGGCCCCCCACACCCAGGCGCTCCCGGAGGGCCTGCACCGCCTCGGCTCCCCACACCAGGGAGCGGCCGTTCGCCACCTCCACCACCAGCATCCTCCTGCGGGAGCCGGGAGGCAAAGCAGTTACCGAAACAGCTGCGCGCCGCAGACCGCTGCAGCGCACCCAAAGCCTCCGGGGTCTCGGCGAAGCCCCGCCCCTAGGCCTCAGGGGGCGGGGCCTCGCTCAGCCGCCGTTCACCACCTGCTGGGCCCGAGCGCCAGGCCCCGCCCCCGGGCGATCCCACCAGGCCTCGCGGCCGCCGGAGACGAGACGCCGGAGACAAGCCCCCGACCCTCGCCCCTCGCCAAGCCCCCAGGGTCCCGCTCTACCCTTGTGACCCTGCGGTCGGCACCCGCTCTGTGCCCGCACTGCCGTACCTACCATTGCGCCTTGGAGCGTGAAAAACAAACCTCCGCAAGCGCGGCGACACGCCCCCTTACAAAGGTCCATTTTGGCACCACCCTCTTGCAAAGTGGGCGTCCCCCTTCGGGTGTTCCCGTCAGCGGTCAGAAGCTCTGGAGGCTAAGGCACCGCCGAGGCCACACCCTCTTCCGGACGCTCGAGCCTTCGCTCCTCCTCTTTCCGAACGACTGTGATTCGGCTTTCGGACCTCCTCGCTCTCAGACTCCCACAGTACAAAACCCTGCCCCCTCCCGAGCACAGGAAGTTCGGCGTTCGGGCGTCCTCGGCTCCACCGAATCCGCAGCCCCGCCCCCTTCCCGAACGCCAGCAATTTGACGTTCGGGTGTTCTCGGCTCGGCCGAATCCGTAGCCCCGCCTCCTCCCGGACGCAATAGGTTCGGCGTTCGGGCGTCATCGGCTCCCGGCAGCCTCGCGGCCTGTGGCCCCGCCCCCTCCGAGCGCCAGCGCACCCCAGTTGGGGAGTTCCCGCCCTACGACCGAACCCCACAGCCGAAAGCCCCGCCCCCTGGACACCCGCCGTCCACTCTCCGCTCGGGCGGGCTCACCCCAATTGGGAGCGCTCAGTCCGCCTCCTTGCCTCCCTTCAGAATGTCCCACTGTCCACCGATAGAACCAGCGAGTCACCTCATAAACAGTAATTCGCAGTCGAGGTGGAGCCACCCACTGCGCACCGCGCCACGCGCTCCTTGCTCCACCCCCTCATGCCGACACCCTCGTCAACTTCGTCATCCCGCCCCATCAGCGCCGCGGGAAGTCAGGTCCCGCCCCTCGCAGGACCGAAGCCCCGCCCTCCTCCCGCGGGGGCCACCTTGGCTCCGCCCCACTGAGCGCACCTCCCTCTGCCGCTTCCTCTCCTCTACTTGGGAACTTGAGGATCGTCACCCTGGCCCGGTCCCGTAGGCGCACGCCGGCCCTCGGGGTTCCGCCCCTTTGAGGGCAAGTCGCTTTCGCCCCGCCCCCTTGTAAATACTCATGGGTATCTGGCGAACCTGTTGACTCCGCCTATCATCCTAGCGTCACTTGTACCCAACTATCTACGAAGTAAACCGAAGCTTGTGGCCCCACCCACATCCGGCCGAGTCTGTGGCCCCGCCCACATCGGAACAGTGACCCTAAGGACTCGACTACCTCCGAAGAAAGCCGAAACATGTGGCTCCGCCCACACTGGCCTCAGCTCTCCGTTCTCGACTATTGCCGAAGTGAGCCGAAGTTTGTGGCCCCGCTTCCGGAGAACTCAAGCTCCCGATTGTGCCCGAAGGAACCCGAAGGGAGACCCCGCCTCATTCCTCACGGCGAGCTCCAGACCCCGCCTCCTTTCCGGAGCCCGTCTGTTCCCCTTCGGGTCCAAAGCTTTTGGCTCCTCCTTGTTCCGAGCCCGAAGGCCCGCCCCTTCACGTACTCGGAGCTCGGATCCCAGTGTGGACCTGGACTCGAATCCCGTTGCCGACTCGCGCTCTCGGCTTCTGCTCCGGGGCTTCTTCCCTGCCCGCCCGGGGCCCTGACCGTGGCTTCTTCCCCGGCCTGATCTGCGCAGCCCGGCGGGCGCCCAGAAGGAGCAGGCGGCGCGGGGGCGCGCTGGGCGGGGGAGGCGTGGCCGGAGCTGCGGCGGCAAGCGGGCTGGGACTGCTCGGCCGCCTCCTGCCCGGCGAGCAGCTCAGGTGGGCCAGGGTGGCGGCGCCCAGTGGCGAGGCGAGGTTACACGGCGGCAGGGTCTCTGCGGGCTGGCGGGTGCGGGGCGGCCCCGGAGGCGCGTTGGAACTCGGGGCTGGCGCAACCGCCTGTGGCTCTGCCGGGGATGCGCTGGGGTGCGCGGGACGGGTTGGGGCTGGGCCTGGGCCTGGGCCTGGGGAGGGGAGGGTGTTCGATCCCCGGGTTCTCAGTAGGAGAGGGGTGTGGAGCTCCGAAGGAGGTGCAGGTTGGAGACCCGGGCTCCTCTGGGTGGTCTCGAAGAAGGGCTGGGGGGTCCGGATATCTGGTTTCACAAGGGCCGGGGGATGGGGGATCCAAAGAGGGGGTCTGGGTTCCTGGATCCTCGCTGGAAGAGGGGGCTCGGAGGTCTAGATTCCTGGGCTGTCGAAGAGGAAGGGTCCGGGAGGGGTGCCGTTTCTGGGTTTTTAAAAGAGGGGCGTCTTCAAATCTGGGTCCCCAGTATGGGTGCGGGGAGTAGCTTTGATTTCTGCGTTCGCAAAGGAGGGGCTTGGGTGCTGGGAGATCCCCACACTTTCCTGGGTTCTCCAAGGACAGGAGAGCTGGAGGCCTGTGCGCTCAAAGGAGGGGCTGGGGGTGGATTCCTGTCTCCTCCAAGGAGGAAGGGGCTGGAGTCCGGGTTGCTAGGTTCTCAAAGGAGAGGAGCTGAGGCTCATACTCCATCATCCTCAAAAACTGGGGTCTAGAAGGCTGGGTTCCTGGATCCTCGAAGAGGGAGGAGGCAGGGGGCCTGGATTCCTGGGTTCTCACTGTGAATCTCTGCCCCTCCCCCAGACCATGTCGCCTGAAGAATGGACGTATCTAGTGGTTCTTCTTATCTCCATCCCCATCGGCTTCCTCTTTAAGAAAGCCGGTGAGTCAGGCTCCCTCCCCAGTGGAAAATAAAGGGGGGGGACCCTCTGGAAGGTTCCAGGCTTATGCTGTCCCTTCCCCCTGCAGGTCCTGGGCTGAAGAGATGGGGAGCAGCCGCTGTGGGCCTGGGGCTCACCCTGTTCACCTGTGGCCCCCACACTTTGCATTCTCTGGTCACCATCCTCGGGACCTGGGCCCTCATTCAGGCCCAGCCCTGGTGAGAATTTGGTGGAGGGAGGAGAGGGAGAGGAGGGGAGAGGGGGAAGCAACCTGTTTCCTCTTTGAGTCTTTTTCAGCTTCTGCCTCATCTCTAGCTGTCTCTTGTTGATCAGCTCATTTCTCTGTTTCATGTTTGTTTGTTTGTTTGTTTTTCTTTCTTTCTTTCTTTTTGAGATGGAGTTTCGCTCCTGTTGCCCAGGCTGCAGTTCAGTGGCACGATCTTGGCTCACTGCAACCTCCACCTCCCGGGTTCAAGCGATTCTCTTGCCTCAGCCTCCCAAGTAGCTGGGACTACAGGCATGCTCCACCACGCCTGGCTAATCTTGAATTTTTAATAGAGCCGGGGTTTCTCCATGTTGGTCAGGCTGATCTCGAACTCCTGACCTTGTGATCTGCCCACCTCAGCCTTCCAAAGTGCTGGGATTACAGGCGTGAGCCACCGTATCCGGCCTTCATCTGCTTTTCTTTCTCCCCTGCCTTCTGCGTCTGGTCCCTGTGTGTTTGTCCCAGTCCGCTACATCCATGTCATGGAGAGAGGTGGACAGTGTGTCTGCTGGCCTGGCCACCGTTCATATTCATTCATATCCACCTCTCTCTTCTTGAGCCCTGGACCTCGGAAATAAAGAAAAAGTGGAGGATTGCAGGGTCTTCACCTGAAGCTTCTCTTAACCTCATTCTCTGTTGGTGTGTGTTTCTATGTGGCTGAGCCTCTTCTCCCACTGTTTCAATCATACTCATTCGGTCCCTACATCCACCCTCCTGTCCTCTCTGCCCTTCTGTGTTTCTGTCTCTAAACGAATGGGGAGAGCTGGGGGAGGATTGGTGGCTGGACTCGTGGAGTGAATGGCCAAGGCCGAGACTTCTGTGCCCAACACAGTGCGCCTCCTGCTTTTGCCCAGCTCCTGCCACGCCCTGGCTCTGGCCTGGACTTTCTCCTATCTCCTGTTCTTCCGAGCCCTCAGCCTCCTGGGCCTGCCCACTCCCACGCCCTTCACCAATGCCGTCCAGCTGCTGCTGACGCTGAAGGTCAGACTCGGGGCTTGCCACTCCCCTCCAGCCTCCCTGTGGGCCCCTTCACCTCCCACTTTACCTCCCCCTTCAGTGGCTCCCCGGGATTTTACCTCCAACACACCCTGGGGGTGGGACGTCACCTCACTTGCTGCCCTGGGCACAGCATTCCCCATTCACATGCCCTTGGGCAGGTCTTCACCTCCCAGCTCCTCCTGGGGTGAGGAAATAACCCACATAGGTAACAGTAGGTGCCATTGGGTGCTTGCGGTGTGCCAGAGGCCCAGCTGGGTGGTTTACCAACATGCTGTCCTTGAATCTCTGTAGCCAGCTATTTTGCAAAGGAGAAAAACCAGCTCTGGGGAGAAGGTACTTGGTGAAGGGAACAAAACTAGGGCATCCAGGTCTGGCTCCTAATCACCTGGGAAGAGGGGTAAAAACAGAATCCTAGGGCCCACCCCAGACCCACAGAGTCATGGTTTCCTACTGGCGGCTTATCCGTGAACACAGCAGTCATGCTAGGTAGGGAGTGGCCTTCCCAGCATTCAGTGTGCCCTGTGGGAGCTCAGTGGTGGCAGGAGTAGGTTGGATGAGAGAGGGGTTCGTGGAGGAGCATTTCAGGCCGCAGGATGTGTGGAGGGGAGCAGGCTGGGTTCCACAGGCTACACCAGCCACATCCACTTTCTGGGACGAGCAAAAGGGAACAGGCAGCAGGGCTGACACCGTGCTAGGCCTGGCTGGAGACCGTGAGGACATTGGACTTCTTCCCGTGGAGGATTGAGATCTGCTGGAAGAGGGGATTTTTGGTTTGCTGCCAGAAGAGGCAATGTGACCAGTTTTAAATGTTTAAAAATACTCGTTCTGGCTGGGCACAGTAGCTCACGCCTGTAATGCCAGCACTTTGGGAGGCTGAGGCAGGCGGATCACCTGAGGTCGGGAGTTCAAGACCAGCCTGACCAAAATGGAGAAACCCTGTCTCTACTAAAAATACAAAAGATTAGCTGGGCGTGGTGGCACATACCTGTAATCCCAGCTACTCGGGAGGCTGAGGCAGGAGAATTGCTTGAACCCAGGAGGCGGAGGTTGTGGTGAGCTGAGATCGTACCATTGCACTCCAGCCTGGGCAACAAGAGCAAAACTCCATCTCAAAAATAAATAAACAAATAGAAATACTCATTCTAGGCCAGCTGCGGTGGCTCACGCCTGTAATCCCAGCACTTTGGGAGGCTGACGCGGGTAGATCACCTGAGGTTAGGAGTTTGAGACCATCCTGGCCAACATGGTAAAACTCCGTCTCTACTAAAAATACAAAAATGAGCCGGGTGTGGTGGCTCACACCTGTAATCCCAGCTACTCAGGAGGCTGAGGCAGGATAATTGCTTGAACCTGGAAGGTGGAGGTTGCAGTGAGCCAAGATCCCGCCATTGCACTCCAGCCTGGGCCTTCCCGGGCAAGATTCCATCTCAAAAAAAAAAGAAAAGAAAAGAAAGAAAACTCGTTCTGGATGCTGAAGGAGAATTGAAGTGGAACAGGGCAAGATGGGATGGACTCAGATAAAGGGATCCTCCTTTGTCCGAGTCCAGGTGACAAACTGTGGTGGCTTGATACAGGCCGTTGGCTGGCTGTGGGTAGGTCTGAGTTGCAGCAGGAAACGCGCATTTAGGATGACTGAAGGAGTGGCCACCAATTGGGCAGGATGTAGAAGAGCAAGAAGGGATGGTGCCTGAACCCCAGCCCCGCAGAAGGAGCCGTTCCCAACCCTAGGCCCAGGGGAAATGGGTCAGGTTGTGGTACCTGGATGGAAAAAGGGTTGTGTAGGCCTGGTGCAGTGGCTCATACTTGTATAATCCCAGCGCTTTGGGAGGTCATAGTGGGAGGACTGCTGGAGGCCAGGAGTTTAAGACCAGCCTGGGCAATATAGTGAGACCCTGTCTCTACAAAAAATTAATTTTTTAAATGTTATTTATTTTTAAAGATGGAGTCTCGCTCTGTTGCCCAGGCTGGAGTGCAGTGGTGTGATCTCACTGCAACCTCTGCCTCTCGGGTTCGAGCGATTCTCCTGCCTCAGCCTCTCGAGTAGCTGGGACTACAGGCGCCCACCACCACGCCTTGCTAATTTTTATATTTTTAGTAGAGATGGGGTTTCACCATGTTGGCCGGGCTGGTCTCAAACCCCTGACATCAAGTGATCTGCCTGCCTAGGCCAACCAAAGTGCTAGTGTTATAGGTGTGAGCCGTCACACCTGGCCCTAAATTTTTTTTTTTTTTTTTTTTTTGAGACGGAGTTTCACTCCTGTTGCCCAGGCTGGAGTGCAATGGTACGATCTTGGCTTACCGCAACCTCCGCCTCCCAGGTTCAAGCGATTCTCCTGCCTCAGCCTCCTGAGTAGCTGGAATTACAGGCACTCACCACCATGCCCGGCTAATTTTTTGTATTTTTAGTAGAGACAGGGTTTTTCCATGTTGGTCAGGCTGATCTCGAACTCCCAACCTCAGGTGATCCGCCTGCCTCGGCCTCCCAAAGTGCTGGGATTACAGGCGTGAGCCACCGCGCCCGGCCAAAATTATTTTTTTTAAAGGGTGTGTAGAGCCACCCACCTTGAAATGATCTATCAAGGGTGACAGCCAGCCCAAGGCCATCTTACAAGGGAATAAAAGCCCTACCCTCCCTCTCCTGACTTTGTCTCCAGCCAGGGATTTCTACTGACAACCCAGCCACAAGCTGGAAGAAGGAGATCTATTGATATAGGGTGGACCTTGGGACTGGTGGGAAAGGGTGGAGAGTACAACATATTCAGCTCAGTAGTGGAGATGGAAAGAGGCAACAGACTCAAACTTAAGGGATTTCAAGGCGGGCAGATCACTTGAGGCCAGGAGTTCGAGACCAGCCTGGCCAGCTGAGGCATGAGAATTGCTTGCGCCCCCAGGAGGTGGGGGTTGCAGTGAGCCGAGATCACACCAGTATACTCCAGCCTGGGTGACAGAGCAAAACTTGTCTCAAAAAAAAAAAAAAAAAAAAAGAGAGATTAAAGGATCGGATTTGGGGAGTGAGGGAGATTTTTGGCTTGAACAATTTGGTGGCCTGTTGTTTGAGGGGAGACACTAGAAGAGGGTCTACCTTGTGGGGTGGGTAACATCATGTTCCGTTTCCAGTGCGTTTGGGGTGCCTGGAGACATCCGAGTATAAATGCCAATAAGCCACTTGATTGGATAGGTCTGGGGCTGGGGTAGCGTTTGGGCGTCCTCAGCGTGTGGATAGTATCGAAACCTCCGTGATTGCGTGAGAGCAGGTAAGCACAGAACAGGGAAAGGGGAGGAGGGCCTGGGACTGAGCCCTGGGGAACACCGCCCAGCTAGAGGCGTTACACACAACCTAGATGGGCAGAGCTGCGGGCACCCAGCACCCCTTGGCTGCCGAGGGCAGCCGCGCAAGGGAGATGGGTGTGGGGAAGGGCCCAGAGTCTGACCTGGCCCCTTGCCCACCCCCTTCTGCCCAGCTGGTGAGCCTGGCCAGTGAAGTCCAGGACCTGCATCTGGCCCAGAGGAAGGAAATGGCCTCAGGCTTCAGCAAGGGGCCCACCCTGGGGCTGCTGCCCGACGTGCCCTCCCTGATGGAGACACTCAGCTACAGCTACTGCTACGTGGGAATCATGACAGGTGAGTGGGGCTGCCCTAACAACTCTGCCGCTCTGTCTCCTGTGTCCCCTTCCGCCCTGAGTGCCTGTTGTGTGTTCCCGCCCTGCCCAGGGCAACCTCCATCCTAGCATCTGCTGCTGTGAGGGTGGGCATGTGTCTGGGTCTACGTCTCACACCTCCGCTGGACCAGAGCTGCTTTGGGGTAGAAGCTGGCTGTCTCAACCTAAGCAATTCCTTGCTCTTCTCCTTGTAGCGTATTGGGAGCAAAGAGAAGAGATAAAGGAGGTAAAGATCTATGTCAACCTGATGTTTTTGCTTCCCAGACAACAAATATTCACGGCTTAGGGTCCACTTTCAGCTTAAGGAAATATTTTTCATCTGGGCGTGGGGGCTTATGCCTATAATCCTAGCACTTTCGGAGGCTGAGGCGAGAGGATTGCTTGAGGCCAAAAGTTCAAGATCAACTTGGCCAACATAGCAAGATCCCGTCCCTTTATTTTAAACCTTTATTTTTAAAAAATAAATAAATATAAAATTAAAAGGGCCGGGCGCAGTGGCTCACGCCTGTAATCCCAGCACTTTGGGAGGCTGAGACAGGCAGATCACCTGAGGTCAGGAGTTTGAGACCAGCCTGGCCAACATGGTGAAACCCCGTCTCTACTGAAAATACAAAAATTAGCCGGGCATGGTGGTGTGTGCCTGTAATCCCAGCTACTTGGGAGGCTGAAACTGGAGAATCGCTTGAACCCACGAGACGGAGTTTGCAGTGAGCCAAGATCACACCACTGCACTCCATCCTGGGCAACAGAGCAAGACTCCATCTCAAAAAATACATATGTATGTGTGTGTGCATGTGTGTATATATATGTATGTGTGTATGTGTATATATATGTGAAATTTTAAAAAGAAAATATTTTTCATTAATGTTTACCTCATCAAAGGTTTTTTTTCCAATAACAGCTTTAGGGAACTCTAATTCACATACTCATCCACTTAAAACATACAACTCTTGGCTTCTTTAATTTCCTGGAAAAAAAAAAAAACACAAAACATACAACTCCCTGATTTTTAGTATATTCACCGAGTTGTGCAGACATGACCATTGTGTAGTTATATTCAGAACAGTTTCATACCCTGCAAAGAAACCCCATGTCCATCATCCCACAAACCTCCATCCATCCCTGGTAACCAGTAATTGACTTTCTATCTGTAAAGATTTGCCTGTTCTGGACATTGCGCTTACAAATGGAATCATACAACATGTGGTCTTATTTATTTATTTTAATTTGTTTTTTTTTTCCTTTTATCTTCCCATGCTACATTGACCTAAACATACGGCCTTTGTGAACATATAAAAATTTTAACCCCGGTCCCTTCTGTGAATCACACTGCTTCCTCCCTAGGCCAGACCACCATCATATTGTAGCTAAAGTGCCACAGCTATCTCCTAGTTTCTTTCCTTCCTCCTTCCCTCCGTCCTTCCCTTTTCCCTTCTTCCTTCCTTCCCTCCTTCCTTCCCTCCCTCCTTCCTTCCCTCCTTCCCTCCCTCCTTCCTTCCCTCCCTCCTTCCTTCCCTCCTTCCCTCCCTCCTTCCTTCCCTCCTTCCCTCCCTCCCTCCCTCCTTCCTTCCCTCCCTCCTTCCTTCCCTCCCTCCTTCCTTCCCTCCTTCCTTCCCTCCTTCCTTCCCTCCCTCCTTCCTTCCCTCCTTCCCTCCCTCCTTCCTTCCCTCCCTCCTTCCTTCCCTCCTTCCCTCCCTCCTTCCTTCCCTCCTTCCCTCCCTCCCTCCCTCCTTCCTTCCCTCCTTCCCTCCCTCCCTCCTTCCTTCCCTCCTTCCCTCCCTCCCTCCTTCCTTCCCTCCTTCCCTCCCTTCTTCCTTCCCTCCTTCCCTCCCTCCTTCCTTCCCTCCTTCCCTCCCTCCCTCCTTCCTTCCCTCCTTCCCTCCCTCCTTCCTTCCCTCCTTCCCTCCCTCCCTCCTTCCTTCCCTCCTTCCCTCCCTTCTTCCTTCCCTCCTTCCCTCCCTCCTTCCTTCCCTCCTTCCCTCCCTTCTTTCTTCCCTTCTTCACTCCTTCCCTCCCTCCCTCCCTCCCTCCCTGGCTGGAATGCAGTAGCTCAGTCACTGCTCACTGCAGCCTGGGCTCAAACGATCCTCCCGCCTCAGCCTCCCCAGTAGCTGGGAATTCAGGTGCCCTCCACACCTGGCTGATTTTTATTTTTTGTAGTGATGGGGTCTTGCCGTTTTGCCCAGGCTGCTGTCCAACTGTTGGGCTCAAGCAGTCCTCCCAGCTAGGCCTCCCAAAGTGCTGGGATTCCAGGTGTGAGCCACCGCACCGGCCCCTCTGTCTGTTTTTCTGTTACTGTCTCTGTCTCTCTGAGTTTCTTGTCCCCCCTGTCTCTCGTTCCTTATCCCCATCTCTCAGGGTCTCAGTCCCTACCCTTGGGGTCTCCCCGGCGCCCAGTCTCTGCCCCTCTCACTCCCTCTTCCCACCTTCCTTCCAAGCTCCCTGTCCTCCTCCTGCAGACTTGAGCTCTGCCCACCTGCCTGTCTGACCGCGGCCCTCCCTCCCCGCCCCACAGGCCCGTTCTTCCGCTACCGCACCTACCTGGACTGGCTGGAGCAGCCCTTCCCCGGGGCAGTGCCCAGCCTGCGGCCCCTGCTGCGCCGCGCCTGGCCGGCCCCGCTCTTCGGCCTGCTGTTCCTGCTCTCCTCTCACCTCTTCCCGCTGGAGGCCGTGCGCGAGGACGCCTTCTACGCCCGCCCGCTGCCCGCCCGCCTCTTCTACATGATCCCCGTCTTCTTCGCCTTCCGCATGCGCTTCTACGTGGCCTGGATTGCCGCCGAGTGCGGCTGCATTGCCGCCGGCTTTGGGGCCTACCCCGTGGCCGCCAAAGCCCGGGCCGGAGGCGGCCCCACCCTCCAATGCCCACCCCCCAGCAGGTCAGGCGGCGCGAGGGAGGCTTCCCAAGACCCAGCAGCCCCCACCTCCAAGGGCTGGCTCTGCCCCTAGCCGGGAGGAGAGCGGGGAGCAAGGGGCCAGGGCCACCACCTTTTTGAGCAGAGTGTCGCCCCCTCGGCAACCATGGCCTGCCAGCCCCTGTCGGTAGGGAAAAGATCCCTGGTACTGACAGATGCCCCTTGTTGCTAGCGCTTGTCACCCCGCAGTGTGGTGAACTGCCCCCTGTCGCTAGGAAAAGGTGGTAACTTAGCAACCCTGTGCCACCCCTCTGTTGCCACAGAAGTGTCACCCCCCAGAACCAGATTGTTCCTGCTTGCTGGGGATGCCATCCTTTGCTAGTGGTGGGTCACCCTCTGTTGCTAGGGAAACGGTTCCCTAGCAACAGAACGCCACTATTTGCTAGGGAAGCAGGATCCCTAGCAACAGTAGCTCACCTCCTTTTTACCAGAAGTTTTGCTCTGTTGCTGCAGATACGGCACTCCCTGCACTGCCCCTTTGTTGCTAGGAGCTAGCACTGCTCCACCCCGTGGGATGTCCTCACATAGCAGCCCTCAGCAGCCCTCTGCAAGGAAATAGCAATTTCCAATCCCTGACCAGTGCTGTTCCCCAGCAGAGGGCACGCCATTCCTACCAACTACAGTTACACTGTTGCTAAGGAAGCCAAACCTCCCCCTGGAAACTATGGGTTGACCCTTGTTGCCAGAGAGGCTCCACCCCCCGGCACCTGCATTGCTAGGCAAGTCGCACGGCCATAGCTGTGGACTCTCTTGTGGCTGAGGAAGTATTGCCCCCGTGTTGCTAGGGAGATGGCACCCCCGGCAACCAGGAGTAGACTGCCCTTGTGTTCCTGACAGCTGCAGTCAGCCTTCCCCCAGGGGCTTGGACTGCGGCTGGGGGAACAGCCTGTTGATGTAAATGATGAACTACTACTCCCTGCTAGGGTTGTCCCCTAGTCGTCACAAACTGCCATTCTGTTGTGGGGGTAGTGACACCCCCACGGGAATTTGTTACCACTGCCCTAATAACCGTGCCCTGACCTCCAGCTGCTAGAGAGAGGATGTCCCCCTAGTAAAGCCAAGCAGGAATTGAAGGTTTTTCTAAATCTGCTCGGTCCTCACTCCTAAAGGATGGCTCCCCTCCTGTCATCAGAGGCCACCAAGGCTTCATATGGGCCAGTGTTTCCCACTGCTGGGGCTGTCGACATGAGTGATGAGGGAGCCACTGTATTGCTAGAGGTGACACTTCTCCAATAATCACTGCGACCAGGAAAAAAGCCCCTTCCTAAAAGCCTTTCTAAACATCCTAGGCATTGTTGCTAAGGAATGCCTTTTCCTTAGCAACAAAGATCATGGGGACCCCACTGGCGCCTGGAACATCTCCCTAGCAACCGTGAAGCACCTTGTTATTAGGGATGATAACCACAACTTCCCTGGCAACTGCAGTGTCCGACAATTTAGAAGGGACCATCCTTGGCGGCTTCTCTGAATATACTGAGTTTGGTTGCTAAAGGACTCATAGCTTAGCAACCATAGCCCTTCAAGGCTTTTCATGGCTGTGGCGGGCCCCATTAGGTACCAAAAGAAGAAGAACCCCATTGTCAGTGAACTGTACCACCCAGCCCACCCACCTTCCTACCCTACAGGCACCCTCTGGGCCACCCTCCCTTGCTGCCCTAGCAAGTCTGACAGCCAGAGGGCCATTGCCTGGCCAGGATCCCTTCCTTAGCATCCGGGGCTGGGACACTAGCAGGCGTCGGGAGGGGGCCTGGCTGAGCTGCATGTCTGTCCCCCACCCTCATCCTCCACCCCCCAGTCCGGAGAAGGCGGCTTCCTTGGAGTATGACTATGAGACCATCCGCAACATCGACTGCTACAGCACAGATTTCTGCGTGCGGGTGCGCGATGGCATGCGGTACTGGAACATGACGGTGCAGTGGTGGCTGGCGCAGTATATCTACAAGAGCGCACCTGCCCGTTCCTATGTCCTGCGGTGAGTGAGCCCGCCCAGTCTCAGGTGACACTGCAGAACTACATCTCCCAGCAGGCCCCAGGGTAGCCTGCAGCGTCCCTGGCTGGGCCCCTGCCCCCGGAGGCTCATGGGAATTGTAGTTTGTTTAGCCTGGTTTTGCCCTGCCTCTAATTATAGTGGCAGCATGCCGGTGTAAAATCGTTCCCCCTCTCGGGGCCTCAGTTGCTACTTCTGTAAAGTCAGCCTCACTCAGCAGAAGCAATGTACTGAGTCCTGTGGACTCAATAGCCAGCCTTCCTGGAATCTTGGCCGTCCAGGTTATGGAGAAACCTTGAGGAGTTAGTTGACCTCTTAGTTGCCTCAAGTGTTGAATGGAGTGAATGCTATTTATTACTGGTTTCATAGGTAGATAGAAGGACTAAATGTGATAAAATGTGAAATGTATTTAATGTGAGGCCTGACAGGTAAGTGCGTGCTGTGTATTCATTTTTATTGTTTTTCATTCTTCCAATATTTCTCGAGTGGAGACTCTGTGCTTGACACTGTTATCTGTGCAGCCTTTAGAAGCAGAAACTCAGCCGGGTGCGGCAGCTCACGCCTGGAATCCCAGCACTTTGGGAGGCCCAAGCAGGTGGATCATGAGGTCAGGAGTTCGAGACCAGCCTGACCAACATGGTGACATGCTGTCTCTACTAAAAATACAAAAAATTACCCTGGTGTGGTGGTGGGCGCCTGTAGTCCCAGCTACTCGGGAGGCTGAGGCAGGAGAATGGCTTGAACCCGGGAGGCAGAGGTTGCAGGGAGCTGGGATCTCGCCACTGCACTCCAGCCTGGGCGACAGCGAGACTCCGTCTCAAAAAAAAAAAAAAAAAAAAAAAAAAAAAAAAAAACAGAAGTAGAACTCATAGCCAGGCATGGTGGCTCACACTTGTAATCCCAGCAGTTTGGGAGGCCCAGGCAGGTGGATCATCTTGAGGTCAGGGCAATATGGTGAAGACCAGCCTGGGCAATATGGAGAAACCCCTTCTCTACTAAAAATACAAAAAATTAGCTAGGCATGGTGGCGGGCGCCTATAATCCCAGCTACTAGGGAGGCTGAGGCAAGAGAATCACTTGAACCCGGGAGGCGGAGGTTGCGGTGAGCCAAGGTCACCTGGGCAACAGAGAGAGACTTTGTCTCAAAATAAAATAAAATAGGCCGGGCACGGTGGCTCATGCCTATAATCCCAGCAATTTGGGAGGCCAAGGTGGGTGGGTCACAAGGTCAGGAGATCAAGACCATCCTGGCTAACACGGTGAAACCCTGTCTCTACTAAAAATACAAAAAATTAGCCGGGTGTGGCGGCGGGTGCATGTAGTCCCAGCTACTGGGGAGGCTGAGGCAGGAGAATGGTGTGAACCCGGGAGACGGAGCTTGCAGTGAGCCGAGATCGCGCCACTGCACTCCAGCCTGGGCAACAGAGCGAGACTCTGTCTCAAAAACAAACAAACAAAAAAACACAAAAAACAAACAAAAATAATTATTAATTTAATTTAATTTAATTAGATAAATGTGGAAGGGGAAGACCCAGGAAGGGTAAGTTTTGGGAGTAAGAAGGATATTATTATTAGTATTAGTATTAGTATTAGTATTAGTATTAGTATTAGTATTAGTATTTTGATGCTCTGTCACCCAGGATGGAGTGCAGTGTTGTGATCTCAGCTCACTGCAACCTCCATCTCCTGGGTTCAAGTGATTCTCGTGCCAAGAGTAGACGCAGGGTTTCACCATGTTGGCCAGGCTGGTCTCGAACTCTTGGCCTCAAGTGATCCGCGTGCCTCGGCCTCCCAACGTGCTGGGATTACAGGCGTGAGTCACCATGCCCGGCCAAAATTTTTTAAGTATTATTATTATTTTTTTTTTACTTTTTAAAAAATGTATAGAGATGAGGTCTCACTGTGTTGACCAGGCTGGTCTCAAACTCCTGGCCCCAAGCAGTCCTCCCATCTCAGCCTCCCAAAGTGCTGAGATTACAAGCATGAGCCACTGCATCTGGCCAGGTATAGATGACGCTTAAAGCTCTGGGGCTGAGGCCAGGTCAAAGCACCCCAGTGTTTAGACAAGTGCTTCTCAACTGGGGGCAACTGTGCTGCTGCTGCACCCCCAGGAGACACATGGCAATCCCTGGAGACATGTTGTTGTAACTGGAAGGTGCTAGTCGGATGTCGTGGGTGGGGGCCAGGGATGCTCCTAAACACCTTAAAATGCACAGGATCCATCGTTTTTGTTTATTTTACAGCTCAAGTGCAGTGGCGTGATCTCGGCTCACTGCAACCTCTCCCTCCCAGGTTCAAGCAATCCTCCTGTCTCAGCCCCCCTAGTAGCTGGGATTATAGGCACGTGCTACCATGACAGACTAATCTTTGTATTTTTAGCCTCCCAAAGTGCTGGGATTACAGGTGCCAGCCATTGCACCCAGCCTCCGCACTCTTGAAGAACCAGAAAGCCAATGGTCCTCCCTTCTCAAGAAAACAAGAGTTGGCCAGGTGCAATGGCTGACATCTGTAATTCCAGTATTTTGGGAGGCCAAGGTGAGAGGATCACTTAAGCTCAGGAGTTCGAGACCAGCCAGGTCAACATAGCAAGACTCCATCTTTACAAAGAAAAAAAAAGAGGCTGGGCGCGGTGGCTCAGACCTGTAATCCCAGCACTTTGGGAGGCCAAGGTGGGTGGATCACAAGGTCAGGAGATCGAGACCATCCTGGCCAACGTGGTGAAACCCCATCTCTACTAAAAATACAAAAATGGCTGGGTGCAGTGGCTCACGCCTGTAATCCCAGCACTTTGGTAGGCCACGGCGGGTGGATCACAAGGTCAAGAGATTGAGAGCATCCTGGCCAACATGGTGAAACCCCGTCTTTACCAGAAATACAAAAATTAGCCTGGCATGGTGGTGGGCACCTGTAGTCCCAGCTGCTCGGGAGGCTGAGGCAGGAGAATCACTTGAACCCGGGAGGCAGAGGTTGCAGTGAGCCGAGATTGCGCCACTGCACTCCAGCATGGGCGGCAGAGCGAGACTCCGTCTGAACAACAACAACAAAAAATACAGAAATTAGCTGAGTTTGGTGGCGCTTGCCTGTAATCCCAGCTACTTGGGAGGCTGAGGCATAAGAATCGCTTGAATCCAAGAGGCAGAGGCTGCAGTGAGCCTTGTCGTGTGGCAACAGAGCGAGACTCTGTCTCCAAAAAAATAAAAAGAGTGAGGAAAGATGGTGCTGGGCCTTGGAGGAAGAGGAACATATCTCCTGGGCCCAGAATAAGGAAGGACCACAGGCCAGGGACTTCTGGATCTTCATGAGCCAGGCAGGAGTTGTCAAATGTTAACAGGCATCAGAGTCACTGGAGGACTTGTTAACTTGGAAGACTTCTCCTGGGCCCCACCCCCAGGGCTTCTGGTGCAAAAGGGGTGGGGACAAGGATTTGTATGTCTCACAAGTTCTCAGGTGATGCTGATGCCAGACCTGGGACCCCAGGTTAAGAACCACCGGGCTGCCCGGGTGTGGTGTCTGACACCTGTGATCCCAGCACTTTGGGAGGCCAAGGCGGGCAGATCACGAGGTCAGGAGATCGAGACCATCCTGGCTAACACGGTGAAACCCCGTCTCTACTAAAAATAGAAAAGAAAATTAGCCGGGCGTGGTGGCGGGCGCCTGTAGTCCCAGCTACTCGGGAGGCTGAGGCAGGAGAATGGCGTGAACCTGGGAGGCGGAGCTTGCAGTGAGCCAAGATCGCGCCACTGCACTCTAGCCTGGGCGACAGAGCGAGACTCTGTCTCAAAAAAAAAAAAAAAAAACCACTGGGCTGAAGAATTAAGACTTGTTGGTCCTGGGAGAGGAAGGGCAGTGGAATATAAAATGTTAAATCTTTAAAGAAGAAGAGGGTCTTGATAGGACTGAGTGTGTATGGAAGGCTGCGAGCTCCTGGATCCCTGAAGGAGACAGAGGCCTGTAGCCTCCTCCGCCTTCCGGAGCTAGGGTCATGGGTCTGAGTGGGGAGGGCCTGGGGCCTGGTCTCCTGGATCTGAGGGAGGAGGGAGGTGGGGTCTGGTCTCCTGGATCTGAGGGAGGAGGGAAGTGGGGTCTGGACTCCTGGATCTGAGGGAGGAGGGAGGTGGGGTCTGGTCTCCTGGGTCTGAGGGAGGAGGGACTGGGGCCTGATCTCCTGGGTCTGAGGGAGGAAGGGGTGGGGTCTGGACTCCTGGGTCTGAGGGAGGAGGGGCTGGGCCTGCACTTCTCGGTCTGAGGGAGGAGGGGCTGGGGTCCTGGACTCCTGGATCTGGGGGCAGTGGGCACTGGGGACCTGGACTCGTAGGTCCTGACTCCCAGCCTCCTCCTCAGGAGCGCCTGGACCATGCTGCTGAGCGCCTACTGGCACGGCCTCCACCCGGGCTACTACCTGAGCTTCCTGACCATCCCGCTGTGCCTGGCTGCCGAGGGCCGGCTGGAGTCAGCCCTGCGGGGGCGGCTGAGCCCAGGGGGCCAGAAGGCCTGGGACTGGGTGCACTGGTTCCTGAAGATGCGCGCCTATGACTACATGTGCATGGGCTTCGTGCTGCTCTCCTTGGCCGACACCCTTCGGTACTGGGCCTCCATCTACTTCTGTATCCACTTCCTGGCCCTGGCAGCCCTGGGGCTGGGGCTGGCTTTAGGTGGGGGCAGCCCCAGCCGGCGGAAGGCAGCATCCCAGCCCACCAGCCTTGCCCCAGAGAAGCTCCGGGAGGAGTAAGCTGTCACGACGCTCCCTCTGCCAGCTGGTCCCGGGAATTCTGTGAACCAGGCTGCTGTCTCCTCCCCAGAAAGAGTCCTTACCTTGGAGAGGGTCCTGGAGAGAATTTCCTCTTCCCCAGCTAAATACCCTGCCTGCAACTGAAGCAGACCCGGGGGTGTCCTCCCTGCCCTCTGCCCAGAGGCCACCTCCACTCCTACAAAATCAAAGTATTGTCCAGACAAGAGTCACTGGCCCCTGCTCCAGCTTCTGGGTATCCAGAGAGCACTGCACTTCCCCAAAACGGAAGGGGCCCCTGGGCAGTGGGTTTTGGGCAAATTCCCTTTCTTTGCATCCACAATGTGGGGTCGGAGCTTGGGGGCAGGTCCTGGGAGTGGGAAGCCTCTTCCTTGTGTCTTTCGCTCCACTTTTAGCTCATCGCACCAATATTGCAGACTTGGAAGGAAGCATAAGCTTCCCATTTCACAAAGGGGAAACTGAGGTGCGGGTGCGCGGGCCTGGGGACGGCCGTCCCATGGCTTCCATCTGAGCCACCTCGGGACCCCAGCGCTCCTGGCGCCCTCTTCTCATCGCTTGGCCTATGACAGGTCACCGTGTGTAAATCTTTCCCAATAAAGTGTTGCACAAAGGCATCCTGTCCGTGCAGGTATCTGGGTGATAAACGGTGGGAAGGACTTAGTCCACCAAGTCCCAGGGTGAGGTACAGCCCCCCCGCCCAGCCCAGGAACCAAACTGTCAGGCCCGGGGCACCACGGGGACTTCAGCTCCCAGGAGACCTTTCGCATCAGCGGCCCTGAGAAACCACAGGAAGTGTACCTTACTCCCTCCGGGCCACCTGCTGGCCAGGTACACACCTGCCCCTGGCCCCTCCCTTACCTGGGGCAGTGTCTGCCTGGTGGCCACTAGAGACAGCCCAGCCTGGGCCATGGAAGAAAACCCGACCTTGGAATCAGAAGCCTGGGGCTCCTCTAGGGGGTGGCTGGCCCCCCGGGAGGCCAGAGGAGGTAGGGAATGCCAGGAGAAGCTCAGATCCATCCGACCTTCAGGCTAGGTGGGAGTCCTGCTGGAGGAGGAAAGGGGAGGCCTGGCCTCCTGAGTCTGAGGGCTAAAGAGAGAAGGTTCCACTTCCTGATATTATGGGGGAGAAGGGAACTGGAGGCTGGAACTCCAGGGTCTGAGGAGGAGGAGCCTGGAGAACCAGGCTAGTCTGGGAGGAGGGGAGGGCTAAGGGCTGGGAGTTTGGGTGTCTTGGGAATAGGAGAGGCTGGGTTCCCACACTCCTGAGCTAGAGGGAAAAGGAAGTTGAAGCCTGGACTCCACTGCCCTGGAGTAGGAGGGTTCCACGCTTGGGGATGGAGTTGAGGGCTGTGGACCCCTGGGTCCAGGGGAAGTAGAGGCTGGCACCCGGACTCCTGGGCCTGAGGGAGGAGGGGCTGGGAACCTGGTTTCCTGGTCTGAGGGAGGAGGGGCTGGGTGCCTGGATTCCTATGTCTGAGGGAGGAGGAGCCGGGGGCCTGGACTCCTGGGTCTGAGGGAGGAGGGGCCGGGGGCCTGTTCTCCTGGGTCTGAGGGAGGAGGAGCCGGGGGCCTGGACTCCTGGGTCTGAGGGAGGAGGGGCCGGGGGCCTGTTCTCCTGGGTCTGAGGGAGGAGGGGCCGGGGGCCTGTTCTCCTGGGTCTGAGGGAGGAGGAGCCGGGGGCCTGGACTCCTGGGTCTGAGGGAGGAGGAGCCGGGGGCCTGGACTCCTGGGTCTGAGGGAGGAGGAGCCGGGGGCCTGGACTCCTGGGTCTGAGGGAGGAGGGGCCGGGGACCTGGTTTCCTGGTCTGAGGGAGGAGGAATTAGGGCCCAGACTCCCGGGTCTTCCCAGCCCCCTGCTCCTCCCCAGGCCCATCGCTGTCTTCTGTGCTGAACGAGCTGCCCAGTGCTGCCACCCTTCGGTACCGAGACCCTGGGGTGCTGCCTTGGGGGGCGCTGGAGGAGGAGGAGGAGGATGGAGGAAGGAGCAGAAAGGCCTTCACAGAAGTCACCCAGACAGAGCTGCAGGACCCTCACCCTTCCCGGGAACTGCCCTGGCCCATGCAGGCCAGACGGGCACACAGGTGAGGCCCCACCTCCAGCTGGGACCCGCACAGCCCGGACCGGGCCCTTCTCCCATACCCTGGACTCGGTCTCCTCCCTCTGTCCTCTGCCGCTCCTGGCTTCTGGGGCCTCTCTCTGCCCCGCTCAGAGCTGCCTCTCTTGGTTTCTTTCTTCCCCTCATCTTTGTCTCTACTTCGGACTCCAGGTGAGTGCTGCCTTTCGATGGCTCTGGGGTCTCTTCTCTCTGGGATTTGCCGTCTCCCTGGTCTCCACCAATCCTGTCTCTGCCTCAGTTTCTCTCTGTGTGTGTGTCCAAAATCTGTTAATATTTATTTCTCTCTGCTTTATACCTTCCTTCATCTTTGCCTCCTCTTCCAAGCCTCCCTCTCTTTAACTTCTTTCTTTTCCCATTCTCACTGCATAATTTGCAGGGCCTGGTGAACAATGAAAATGCAGGTGCCCTCCTTCAAAAATGATTATGGGCCCATTGCAGTGGCTCACACCTGTAATCCCAGCACTTTGGGAGGCCCAGGCGAGTGGATCACCTGTGGTCAGGAGTTCAAGACCAGCCTGGCCAACATGGCAAAACCCCAACTCTACTAAAAATACAAACATTAGCTGGGTGTGGTGGCGGGTGCCTGTAATCCCAGCTACTCGGGAGGCTGAAGCAGGAGAATCGCTTGAACCAGGGAGATAGAGGTTGCAGTGAGCCAAGATCGTGCCATTGGACTCCGGCCTGGGTGATAGAGCGGGACTCCATCTCAAATATATATATACGCGTATATACGCGTATATATATACGCATATATGCGTATATATATGCATATGTGTGTATATATATACACATATATATGTATATATATGTGTATATATATGGAAAAAACAATAAAAAATAACAATGTATCAACACTCCCACGCCGATCAGTAGTGGGATCATGCCTGTGAATATAGCCACTATACTGCGGCCTGAGTAACATAGCGAGACCCCCATCTCTATTTTTTAAAAGTAATAATCAAAGTAACAATATGACAAAAAATAATACAAGTTAAAAGAACAGCTATCTATATAACATTTACCTTGTACCGGGTGTTATAAGTAATCTAGAGGTGATTTAAAGTGCATTGGAGGGCTGGGTGTCGTGGCCCATACCTGTAGCCCCAGCGCTTTGGGAGGCTGAGGCGGGAGAATTGCTTGAGCCTGGAAGTTTGAGGCTGCATTGAGCTATGATTGCACCACCGCACTCCAGCCTGGACAACAAAACGAGACATTTGTCTGTAAAAATCAGATAAAAATTAAAATAAAATAAAACAAACACAGGAGGATGTGTGTAGCCTGTATGCAAATACTATACCGTTTTATATAAGGAATTTGGGCATCTACAGATTTCAGTATTCTTGGGGAGTCCTTGAACCAACCCCCATGGATACTGAGGGATGGCTGTATTCATAAAGTGAGAGCCCAGATAAACTCCAGCTAGGGCAAGTGACACGGCATGACAGCACCCTGTGCGTCCCTCCCCTGACACCCCCTTTTTCCTCACAAATACAAGGTAACCTCTTCTCCCTAACCTTTTTTTTTTTTTTTTTGACAGAGTCTTGCTCTGATGCCCAGGCTGGAGTGCAGTGGTGCAGTCTCAGCTCACTGCAGCCTCCGACACCTGGGCTCAAGCGATCCTCCCACTCCAGCCTCCTGCTTTTCTGTAGAGCTTTGCAAGCTGTGCTCTGCAACGTTGTGCAAATAGAATCATACAGTCTTCAGTCTTTTGTGCTGGCTTCTTCTGCCTAGCATTAGGTTTCTTTCTTTTCTTTCTTTCTTTCCTTTCTTGGAATCTCACTCCGTCACCCAGGCTGGAATGCAATGGCGCCATCTCAGCTCACTGCAACCTCCACCTCCCAGGTTCAAGCAATTTTCCTGCCTCAGCCTCTCGTGTAGCTGGGATTACAGGCACCCGCCACCAGGCCCAGCTAATTTTTTTTTTTTTTTGGTATTTTTAGTAGAGACAGGATTTCACCATGTTGGTCAGGCTGGTCTCGAACTCCTGACCTCAGGTGATTCACCCACCTCGGCCTCCCAAAGTGCTGGGATTACAGGCCTGAGCCACTGTACCCAGCTGGTTTCTTTTTTATTGCTACAGAGTATTCTATCTTATGTATAGGCCACAATTTACTTCTCCATTCTACTGTTGGATTGTGTCTACATTCAGATGGTTCCCAGTCTGGGGCTGCGAAACCCCTCATTTTCTGCCTGTTTCCCTCCCAGGCAAAGAAATGCCAGCAGGGACCAGGTGGTCTATGGCTCTGGAACTAAGACGGACCGATGGGCGCGGCTACTTCGGAGGTCCAAGGAGAAAACAAAGGAAGGCTTGCGAAGCCTGCAGCCCTGGGCGTGGACACTGAAGAGGATCGGGGGTGCGGTGGGGTTTGGGTGGTGTCCTGGGGGCAGGGCCTGGACTCCTGGGTCTGAGGGAGGAGGGGCTGGGGACGGACTCCTGGGTTTGAGGGAGGAGGGGCTTGGGCCTGGATTTTTGGGTCTGAGGGAGGAGGGGCTGGGGGTCTGGACTCTTGGGTCTGAGAAAGGCACGGCTGGGCCTGGCGCGGTGGCTCACGCCTGTAATCCCAACAGTTTGGGAGGCCGAGGTGGGTGGATCACCTGAGGTCAAGAATTCGAGACCAGCCTGACCAACATGGTGAAACCCCCGTCTCTACCAAAAATACAAAAACTAGCTGAGCATGGTGGCGCACGCCTGTAATCCCAGCTACTCGTGAGGCTGAGACAGGAGAATTGCTTGAACCCAGGAGGCGGAGGTTGCAGTGAGCCGAGATCGCGCCACTGCACTCCATGCTGGGCGGCAGAGCGAAACTCCGTCTCAAAAAAAAAAA
The DNA here is from genome assembly GCF_000001405.40 of Homo sapiens. Classification (NCBI taxonomy): domain Eukaryota; kingdom Metazoa; phylum Chordata; class Mammalia; order Primates; family Hominidae; genus Homo; species Homo sapiens. The sequence goes on along the minus strand of NT_187693.1, from coordinate 143,892 downwards.
AAGAAAAGAAAAGAAAAGAAAAATATATATATATATATATAGAGAGAGAGAGAGAGAGAAAGAAAGGAAGGAAGGAAGGAAGGAAGGAAGGAAGGAAGGAAGGAAGGAAGGAAGGAAGGAAAGAAAAGAAAGAAAGGAAGAAAGAAAGAAAGAAAGAAAGAAAAGAAAGAAAGAAAGAAAGAAAGAAAGAAAGAAAGAAAGAAAGAAAGAAAGAAAGAAAGAAAGAAAAAGAAAGAAAGAAAAGAAAGAAAGAAAGAAAAGAAAGAAAAGAAAGAAAGAAAGGAAGGCGCGGCTGGACCCCAGTCCAGGGGTAGGAGGGGCTGGTCCTGCTCCCGGGAAGGAACCTGAGCCTCTCTCTGCTGCCCCCTGCAGGCCAGTTTGGCGCCGGCACGGAGTCCTACTTCTCCCTGCTGCGCTTCCTGCTCCTTCTTAACGTGCTGGCCTCTGTGCTCATGGCCTGCATGACGCTGCTGCCCACCTGGTTGGGAGGCGCTCCCCCAGGCCCTCCCGGCCCCGACATCTCCTCGCCCTGCGGCTCCTATAACCCCCACTCCCAGGGCCTGGTCACCTTTGCCACCCAGCTCTTCAACTTGCTCTCGGGTGAGGTAGGTGCCTGGGTCCCTGGGGGATTCCCCGCCCACCTGTGACCCCAGTGCCTTCAATGACACGAACCTCAAACCCTGACCCCAGACCCTGACTGTGCAGCTCCAGGAGCCCCGCCTCCTCCCACAGTGGCCCCTGCGCCGCCTTCCCCCCACAGGGTTACCTGGAATGGTCCCCTCTCTTCTATGGCTTCTACCCGCCCCGCCCACGCCTGGCGGTCACCTACCTGTGCTGGGCCTTTGCCGTTGGCCTCATCTGCCTCCTGCTCATCCTGCATCGGTCAGTGGCACCTGCACCCCTGACCCCTGACGGGACGGGTTGGGGTGGGGGAGCAAGTGGTGGTGGCAGAAACCCCCTCCCCAAGAATCCTCAGTCTTTTTTTTTTTGAGACGGAGTTTTGCTCTTATTGCCCAGGCTAGAGTGTAGTGGCGCAATCTCGGCTCACTGCAACCTCCGCCTTCCGGTTTCAAGCGATTCTCCTGCCTCAGCCTCCCAAGTTGCTGGGATTACAGGCGCCCGCCACCACGCCCAGCTAACTTTTTTGTATTTTTAGTAGAGATGGGGTTTCACCATGTTGGTCAGGCTGGTCTTGAACTGCTGACCTCGTGATCCACCCGCCTCGGCCTCCCACAGTGCTGGGATTACAGGCGTGAGCCACCGCGCCCGGCCCCAGAATCCTCGGTCTTGCTGTGTAACCCTTTATTCTGTGTGAGTTAAAATCAAGGTTTTGGGCCAGGAGCGGTGGCCCAGGAGGCGGAGCTTGCAGTGAGCCGAGTTTGCGCCACTGCACTCCAGCCTGGGCGACAGAGCGAAACTCCATCTAAAAAAAAAAAAAAGATCAAGGTTTTGGGATTTGTTTTTGTTTTTCATTTGTTTTGTTTGTTTGTTTTTGAGACAGAGTCTTACTCTGTCGCCCAGGCTGGAGTGCAATGGCACGATCTTGGCTCACTGCAACCTCCACCTCCCGGGTTCAAGCGATTCTACTGCCTCACCCTCCCAAGTAGCTGGGTTTACAGGCTCCGGCCACCACGCCCAGCTAATTTTTTGTATTTTTAGTAGAGACGGGGTATCGCCATGTTGGCCAGGCTGGTCTCGAACTCCTGATCTCAGGTGATCCACCTGCCTCGGCCTCCCAAAGTGCTGGGATTACAGGTGTGAGCCACCGCACCCAGTCTGTTTTGTTTTTTGAGACAGGGTCTCACTCTGTCACCCGGCTAGCGTGCGGTGGTGCAATCATAGCTCACCGGAAGCCTGGGCCTCCGGAACTCAACTGATCCGCCTACCTCAGCCTCGGGAGCAGCTGGGACCACAGGGGTGCACCACCATGTCTTGCTAAAATTTTTTTTTTAATGTTATAGAGACAGGGTCTTGCTATGTTGCCCAGGCTGCGCTCAAACTCCTAGGCTCAAGAGATCTGCTCACCTCAGCCTCCCAAGGTGCTGGAATTACAGGCATGAGCCAATGTGCCTGGCCAAAAGTCAACTTTTTTTTTTTTTGAGACGGAGTCTCGCTCTGTCACCCAGGCTAGAGTGCAGTGGTGCGATCTCAGCTCACTGCAACCTCCGCCGCCCGGGTTCAAGCAATTTTCCTGCCTCAACCTCCCAAGTAGCTGGGATTACAGGCATGTGCCACCATGCCCGGCTAATTTTGTATTTTTAGTAGAAATGGGGTTTCACCATGTTTGTCAGGCTGGTCTCGAACTCCTGACCTCAGGTGATGCACCCGCCTCGGTCTCCCAAAGTGCTGGGATTACAGGCGTGAGCCACCACGCCCGGCAAAGAGCCTCGATTTTAAGAGAAGGGAAAAGCCCTGGAATAGGTCTTAAACAGGGGAATACGGTCTGAGTTGCATCAAAAGAAGGTCCCACTGGCTCAAGAACTGAGAATGGATTATATGCGGGCACAAGTGGAAGCAAGGAGACCATGTGAGGGCCCTCTGTGGTTGTTCACATGAGAGATGATGGGGGCCGGGGCCAGGGCAGTGAAGGTGCACATGGTCTCTTTGTCCAGTTCTGTTTCTGCCCCTGCTGGGGTTCTCTATCTCCTTCCTGGGTCTTTGCCCCCCTCTCTTGAGTCTCTTTACCTGCCCGTCTTCTCTGGGTCTTTTTTTTTTTTTTTTGGAGGCGACCTCCACCTCCTGGGTTCAAGTGATCCTCCCACCTCAGCCTCCCAAGTAGTTGGGATTACAGGCATGCACCACCACGCCTGGCTAATTTTTGTATTTTTAGTAGAGACGGGGTTTCACCACATTGGCCAGGCTGGTCTCAAACTCCTGACCTCAGGTGATCCTCCCCCCTCGGCCTCCCAAAGTGCTGGGATTACAGGCGTGAGCCATGGCGCCTGGCCTGCCCCCTCTCTTGAGTCTTTACCTGCCATCTTCTCTGGGTCTCTGTCTTCTTCTCGGCTCTTCCCGCCGCAGCTCCCTTCTCTGTGTGCCTGTACTTCTTATGGGTCTTTGACCCCCATCTTTTGTAGATGTAGTTTCCCCTTTCTCACTGTCTTTTTCTCCCTTTCTCCGAATCTCCCTCTGGGGCCTCTGTCCCTCCTCCACATCTCTGTCTTCCTCAGGGCCTCTGTTTCTCTCACTCTGGGTTTCTGCCCCCTTCGCTCCGAGGCTCTGTCCCTGTCTCCTAGGTTTCTGCCTCTCTTTGGGGTGCCTGCACCCCAGAACTGTCTCTGAATCTCCCTTGGACTTTGCCTTCAATGACTGTGTCTCCGCCTCTTTGACTCTTTCCCCATCTGGTCTGGTGGGAACTCGCCTAGTACCCAAGGCCTTAGGGTTCATCTTCCCCATTTGTCCCAATATGAGGGGTCTCCCCATAACCCCCGTTCCTGGCTGTCCTTTCACTTCCCGTCTCCCGGGTCTCCCCTCTCAGCTCGGTGTCTGGGCTGAAGCAGACACTGCTGGCGGAGTCCGAGGCTCTGACCAGCTACAGCCACCGGGTGTTCTCGGCCTGGGACTTCGGTCTCTGCGGGGACGTCCACGTGCGGCTGCGCCAGCGCATCATCTTGTACGAATTAAAGGTGCGATTAGGGAGCGGGGTCTGCAACTGGGTAGGGACCAGACAGGACCGGGCTGAGATAACGCACAGGGCCTAACTCGGTGATGGGGCCTCCGGAGAGATGCTAAGCAGCTCCTTCTCCAAGAAAGGCAGGTCCTGGGGAATGAGAAGGTTGAGAGGAGGCCGAGATAGGGCTGCCCGAGCTCCAAGCGTGTAGGAAAAGGATGCGCCAGGGCTGGGATCGGTGGCTAATGCTTGTAACCCCAGCACTTTGGGAGACCGAGACAGGTGGATCGCTTCAGTCTAGGAGTTCGAGACCAGCCTGGGCAACATAGGGAGGCTCCCTCTCTACCAAAAAAAAAAAAAAAAAGTTTGTTTTTTTTTAAGTAAGCACAAGAAGCGGGCGGGGCCTAAGGCAATTTGGTTCAAAGTTAAGTGATGGGAGCGGCCAGCAGGGCGTCTTGATACAGCTGAACTGGAACTTCAGGCCAGGAATAAAGCGCAGGGCCACCTGGGGGCGGAGCCTCTGATGGGCAGGGCTGACCAGGGGCGGGTCTTGGGATGCTGGGCGGAGCCTCAGGGGCGGGGCCTGGGGTGCTGAGATTGACCGCGGAGGGATGGGGGCTTGGGTTGCTGGATCCGGCCGCGAAGGGGCGGGGCTGTAAAGGGCCGCTGGTTTCCTGGAGCGGGTGGAACCAGGACTGCAGAGGTTGTTAGCGGGTGGGGAGACGGCTGCATCAGTTCACGTTAAGGAGGATCTCTGGAGAGCCAGACCTGGGGAACCGGGAGGCCCGCGCCTTGGGAAATGGAGTCCAAGCGGGCATCTCTCCTGCCTTCAGGTGGAGCTGGAGGAGACAGTGGTGCGGCGCCAGGCTGCGGTGCGGACGCTGGGCCAGCAAGCCAGGGTTTGGTTGGTGCGGGTGCTGCTCAACCTGCTGGTGGTCGCGCTCCTGGGGGCAGCCTTCTATGGCGTCTACTGGGCTACGGGGTGCACCGTGGAGCTGCAGGTGCGGACGGTCTTGGAAGAGGAAGCCAGGGGGTCCTGGAACCTACATTTCCAACGGTGGAGGGAGGGGACGGAAGTTTGGGATGCCAGAGATCTTAGAGAGGAAGTATGGGAGAGGGTATGTTCGGACCCTGGACTTAGGGATTTTAAAGGAAAAAGAGAGGCTGGGCGCGGTGGCTTACACCTGTAATCCCAGCACTTTGGGAGGCTGAGGCGGGCGGATCACGATGTCAGGAGTTCCAGACCAGCCTGACCAACATGGTGAAAAACAGTCTCTACTAAAAATACAAAAATTAGACGGGCGTGGTGGTGGGCGCCTGTAATCCCAGCTACTCAGGAGGCTGAGGCAGGAGAATCACTTGAACCCGGGAGGCAGAGGTTGCAGCGAGCCGAGATCGCACCGCTGCATTCTAGGCTGGGCAACAGAGCGAGACTCTGTCTCAAAAAAAAAAAAAAAAAGAAGAAGAAGAAGAAGAGGCCGGGGGGAGGACCTTAAGCTTGGCTCCTCCAGGACCCCAAGCCTCTACTCATGGTCCATCCCGCTCCCAGGAGATGCCCCTTGTCCAGGAGTTGCCACTGCTGAAGCTTGGGGTGAATTACCTTCCGTCCATCTTCATCGCTGGGGTCAATTTTGTGCTGCCGCCCGTGTTCAAGCTCATTGCTCCACTGGAGGGCTACACTCGGAGTCGCCAGATCGTTTTTATCCTGCTCAGGTTCCAGCCTCACGGGGATGGCTGGGAATGATGAAGGGTGGGGGCGGTCAGAGGGATGTTGGCGCTGACAGGTAAGACACGGAAATCCTGCTGATACCGAATCCAGGGATTCAAATCCTGACTCTGTTGGCCAGGTGCAGTGGCTCACACCTGTAATCCCAGCACTTTGGGAGGCCGAGGCTGAGGTCAGGAGTTCGAGACCAGCCTGACAAACATGATGAAACCCCGTCTGTAGTAAAAATACGAATATTAGCCCGGCGGTAGTGGCTTCTGTAGTCCCAGCTACTCGGGAGGCTGAGGCAGGAGAATGGCTCGAGCCTGGGAGGTGGAGGTTGCAGTGAGCTGAGATCGCGCCACTGCACTCCAGTCCGGGTGACAGAGTGAGACCCTGTCTCAAAAAAAAAAAAAAAAAAAGAAAGAAAGAAAGAAAGAAATCCTGATTCTGTCACTGGGCCTCAGCTTCATCTGTGAGATGGGTTGAATGCGGGCGCGTTCCACTGAGAAGGGAACTGCCACATGGTGGGTACCGGGTCAGGGCCCATTCTCTGCCTTCCCCCCTTCAGGACCGTGTTTCTTCGCCTCGCCTCCCTGGTGGTCCTGCTCTTCTCTCTCTGGAATCAGATCACTTGTGGGGGCGACTCCGAGGCTGAGGACTGCAAAACCTGTGGCTACAATTACAAACAACTTCCGGTGAGAACGGCATGGGTGTGCGTGGGACTCTTGGGTCCCTGAAGGAAAGATGGAGCTGGGTGGGTCCAGACTCTTGGTTTGGGCGGAGAGGGGAGCTTGGGGTGCTGGAACACTCTCCCAAGGGTATGAAAGTTTGAAAAACGAGGACCCCCAGAGAAAGTATTGACAGGGTCTCATAGGCTTGCGATGTGGAGACTCGGACGCGTGGGCCTCCAGGTGCCCGGGTCCCGAGTTCTTTCTGATATATTTCTTCCTTCTTCAGTGCTGGGAGACTGTCCTGGGCCAGGAAATGTACAAACTTCTGCTCTTTGATCTGCTGACTGTCTTGGCAGTCGCGCTGCTCATCCAGTTTCCTAGAAAGTGAGAGCCCCGCCCCTTGCTGTGGCCCCGCCCCTCTAGGACGAGGCCGTGCCCCATCGCGCTGTTCTTTTCACCGCGCACCTTTTTACCATTCCCGCCTCTGCCTGCTCCCTTTGCTTGCCCTAGGTCCGCAGATCTCCCCGCTCCCCGCCCTTGTTTTAGTGGGTTACTTCCCTCTGGCCCCGACGGCGGCGACATCTGGGTCCCTTCTAGTCCTCAGGACCCGCCCTCTGGACACACCCCCTCCACGTGGAGTCCTGAAAGTCCCGCCCCCCCCCCCCCAACCAATACGCATGCTTCCTATTGGCGGGCGGGGCGGTGGAGGCGGGGAAACTCCAGGCCGCCACTCCCCTGACTCCGGCCCGGCCCCGCCCCGTCCTTCAGGCTCCTCTGTGGCCTCTGTCCTGGGGCGCTGGGTCGTCTGGCGGGGACCCAGGAGTTCCAGGTGCCCGACGAGGTGCTGGGGCTCATCTACGCGCAGACGGTGGTCTGGGTGGGGAGTTTTTTCTGCCCTTTACTGCCCCTGCTTAACACGGTCAAGTTCCTGCTGCTTTTCTACCTGAAGAAGGTAAGGGGTAGGGGGGACCCTTGGGTCTGAGGCAGGAGGTATTGGGGCCCGCACTCCTGGGTCAAGGGCAAGGAAGATCCTGGGGGCCTGGATTACTCGGTCCTGAGAGAGGAGGGGGTTGGAGGACAGACTACTGCATCTGAGAGGAGGGGTCTAGGGCATTCTGACTTATATGTCTGAGGATCTGGGGACTCAGACTCCGGGGTCCTAGATGAGGAAGGGGCTCAGACTCCTGGTTCGGAAAAAAGGAGAGGCAGGTAGGCCGGGTGCAGTGGCTCACGCCTGTAATCCCAGCACTTCGGGAGACTAAGGCGGGTGGATCACCTGAGGTCAGGAGTTTGAGACCAGCCTGGCTAACATGGCAAAACCCCGTCTCTACTAAAAATACAAAAAAAATTAGCCGGGCTTAGTGGCAGGCGCCTGTAATCCCAGCTACTCAGGAGGCTGAGGCAGGGGAATTGCTTGAACCAGGGAGGTGAAGGTCGAAGTGAGCCAAGATCGTGCCACTGCACTCCAGCCTGGGCGACAGAGCGAGACTCCGTCTCAAAAAGAGAAAACAAACAAACAACAACAACAGCAAAACAAATTAGCCGGGAGTGGTGGTGCACACCTGTAATCCCAGCTACTCGGGAGGCTGAGACACGAGAATAGCTTGAACCCGGGAGGGGAGGCTGCAGTGAGAGCCACTGCACTCCAGCCTGGGCGACAGAGCGAGACTCTGTCTCAAAAAAAAAAGCCTGGGCGACAGAGCGAGACTCTGTCTCAAAAAAAAAAAAAAAAAAAATGGAGGCACAGACTCTTGTGTTTCAGAGCCCTTTTCTCCGTGCCTTCCCCCACCAGCTTACCCTCTTCTCCACCTGCTCCCCGGCTGCCCGCACCTTCCGGGCCTCCGCGGCGAATTTCTTTTTCCCCTTGGTCCTTCTCCTGGGTCTGGCCATCTCCAGCGTTCCCCTGCTTTACAGCATCTTCCTGTAAGTGCGAGAGGCTCCCGCCTCTCTCCCTCCCTCTCTCCCCATTCAGTGTTCAGACTCCTGGCACTATGTGAGCCCAGCCTGTCTTGACTTCAGGATCCCGCCTTCTAAGCTTTGTGGTCCATTCCGGGGGCAGTCGTCCATCTGGGCCCAGATCCCTGAGTCTATTTCCAGCCTCCCTGAGACCACCCAGAATTTCCTCTTCTTCCTGGGGACCCAGGCTTTTGCTGTGCCCCTTCTGCTGATCTCCAGGTGAGACGGCCCAGACTTCTGGGTCTGGGTTTGAATGCGTGTGATCTGGGGGCCACCACCTGCGTCCAAGAGAGGAGAGGCTTGGGCGTGGGAGCAGGCAACGTACTGAGTCTGAGGGAGGAGGCCTAGGCTCCTGGACTGCTGGGTCCGAAGGAGGAGGTGGGCGGGACGTAGGACTCCTGGATCTGAAGGCGGAGGGGCTGGGAGACTGAACTCCTTGAGCCCAGACGAGGAGGGGCTTAGGCGTCCACATCCCTGGCTTCGAAGGAGCCAGACGTTTGGATATAATGGAAGAGCGTGTCAGGAGTGGCTTCCGTTCCTGTCTCCTTCAGCATCCTGATGGCGTACACTGTGGCTCTGGCTAACTCCTACGGACGCCTCATCTCTGAGCTCAAACGTCAGAGACAGACGGTGAGCCAGGCGGGTCCCTGAGAGGGCCCCTGGGGAACATGGAAAGGGGTTGGGGAAGAGGATTGTCTCACCTCCACCTCTCTTTGCCCCAGGAGGCGCAGAATAAAGTCTTCCTGGCACGGCGCGCTGTGGCGCTGACCTCCACCAAACCGGCTCTTTGACCCCCGCAGCCCACGTCCCGCTTTCAGACCCCAGGCCCATTGTAAGCCTAGGTCACAACATCTGTAAACTAGGAGAACTGGAGAAGACTCCACGCCCTTCCAGCTTTGGTATCTGGAGATTTCCAGGGCCCCTCGCCGCCACGTCCCTGACTCTCGGGTGATCTTCCTTGTATCAATAAATACAGCCGAGGTTGCTGAGCGCGCTTTGAAATCTGCGTCCTGAAGGTGGGGGCAGGGCTACAGCGGGGCAGGAGCCAATCAAATGTACGGGCATGTTTGTCGGTGCAGAGCGCTCTTCCGCAAGGAGACTTGTCGGTCATGTCGGCCAATCGACGGCCGCATCTGGTAGCATCAGGGGCGGGCCAACTTATGATTGGTTCAGATCTGTGACAAGAGGCGGTTGCTAGGGGATACCACGAGCCGAACGCCTAGCATTCGCTGTGATAAAGGGCGTCTCAGCCAATCACCTGTCGCTACAGGCCAGGGGGCCGTACCAACTAATTCGGAACCAATCCGCGGTCGAAGTAGGGACAAGAAAAAGGGGGGCATCCTCTCGCCAATCGGAAGTGCAAAGAGGCGGGCGTGCCAGTCCCTGGACAGCTACGACGCCATGAATATCTTGCCCAAGAAGAGCTGGCACGTCCGGAACAAGGACAATGTCGCCCGCGTGCGGCGTGACGAGGCCCAGGCCCGGGAGGAGGAGAAGGAGCGTGAGCGGAGGGTGCTGCTGGCTCAGCAAGAGGTAAGCTCGGAAGCCGGCAGGGCGGCGCTCCGGGGCCCAGCGCGCAGGCGCCGCGGTTGGGGGCCGGAAGCGGAGGCGTTGCGCAGGCTCAATGTGCCCCGTGTGAAATTCGGGACCAGGCGCCGATCCCACTTTCGAGGACGTTGCCCCGCAAACCTTGTGCCCACTTCCACGAAACCTTCCTTGATCTCGCCCTCGTCTTAGTTTTTCCCCCACTGATGTATTTCACATGGCTGGAACAGTGTCTAGCACAAAAGAGAAGCTTAACATTTAATGAATCCGTGAACCCTTGGACAGTTCAAGGAAATTCGGATCACTTTTTAGTTTGCCTGCACAGCCTATTTATTGAGCATCTACTGTATGCTAACTACATGCCGTGCACCTGACTTGCGGAATCCCCAATAAGCACTGTTCGTTCTTAGAGGGGCACTGTCATCTCTGTTGCACGAAGTGAGATGGCTTCAGTGAGGGGAAGGCACATTTTAAGGAGAGGCGGACAGCCAGGCTCCACGCCATCGGGCGAGCCCTTTCGTGCACCGCCCCCTAGACACATACACACAAACACGGGCTTTCCGTATGGCTCTTTAAATCTGTTTGGTGTACACCCAACTTTCATTTCCTTAGCTAGTCTGATCCTCCGCCGTGGGTGGGAGGTAGTCTAGGTTTTTAGAATCTCAGTAGGCTGCTGAGCGCTGTTTGAAATCCGCGTCCTGAAGGCAGGGGACAGGGCTTCAGCAGACTTGGGGTAGTCACTTGGAGCCATGGCTAGAATTCAGATCGTCTGGCCTAATGCATACCTTTATGGCTGTTTTAATTGTCTCACTTGAGGTTAGGAACCCCTTTGGTTTAGGCCAGGGACCTCCTCCCATACATCCTTGATGACCCGTGGTTTACTATTTGAAAGGGAGTTTACAAAACCCAGGCGTTGCCTCATCTGCCTACCCTCACCCCCAGCTAGGACAGGTGCCTCTTTTAGGCGCCTAGTGCTCCCTTTCTCATAACCCCAGCACCCTGGACTGCCATTTTCTGTGGTGGGCACCAGACTCACAGTTCTTGAATTACCTCTAGGTTCTGAATGTCCTGCCTATAACTTTCTCCCCAGGCCCGTACAGAATTCCTACGGAAGAAAGCCAGACATCAGAACTCACTGCCTGAGCTTGAAGCAGCAGAGGCGGGAGCCCCAGGTTCTGGCCCTGTGGACCTGTTTCGGGAGCTGCTGGAGGAAGGGAAAGGAGTGATCAGAGGCAATAAAGAGTACGAGGAAGAAAAGCGACAGGAGAAAGTAAGCTGGCCTCACCCACTTCATCAGAGGGGCCATGAATCGAGTTGGAGGGAGGGGGCACTTTAGCCATTGGTTGTGACCAAGGTCAAACAAGAGTGAACACACAGAATTTAGGACCATACCAAGGCATGACACTCAAAAAGCGTTGGCTATTGCCGTCTGGGCGCCCACAGGGGTTGGAGGTAGATGCTAGAGGTCCCCAGCTGCTGGGCAAACCGCTCAGTTCTCCAAACTGGAGGAGTCTCAAACCTGATGGGCTTTTAAAAATTTAAATCAGCCGGCTGTGGCTCACGCCTGTAATCCCACCACCTTGGGAGGCTGAGGCGGGTGGATCACCTGAGGTCAGGAGTTCAAGACCAGCCTGGTCAACATGGTATCTCTAAAAATACAAAAAAAATTAGCCGGGCATGGTGGTGCGCGCCTGTAATCCCAGGGAAGCTGAAGCAGGAGAATCGCTTGACCCAGGAGGTGGAAGCTGCAGTAAGCCGAGATTGCGCCACTGCACTCCAGCCTGGGTGACAGAGCGAGACCCCATCTCAAAACAATCAAACAAAAAGTGAATCAATCGCCTCTTGCTTTTTGGCTAAGATCAAGTGTAAAAGGTACATCAGTGGCTGTGCATGGTGGCTCACGCCTGTAATCCCAGCACTTTGGGAGGCCAACGTGGGTGGATCACCTGAGGTCAGAAGTTCAAGACCAGCCTGGCCAAACATGGCAAAACCCCGTCTCTACTAAAAATACAAAAATTAGCTGGGCATGGTGGTGTGTGCCTGTAATCCCAGCTACTCGGGGGGCTGAGGTAGGAGGATTGCTTGAACCTGGGAAGCAGAGGTTGCAGTGAGCCGAGATCGTGCCACTGCACTCGAGTCTGGGCAACAGAGCGAGACTCCATCTCAAAAAAAAGAGGTACATCAGCTCTTGTCATTTATCTGCTGTCTCTGGACTTGCTGACCCCACCCATCGCTCCTCTGCTTTGCTTGATCCCTTCAGGCTTCTCTTCAAGTCTCTCTGCAAAGATGCCTGCCTCTGAACACTCAAGTGGCTCCACTTGTCCCCTCCTTCCCCTGCTGTTACTGTACCTGCTACTGTCCCCCCAGGGGGAGCTTTGCCTCTGTTTGTCTTCCATCCCCAGCACCTGGTCCAACTGGTTCATAACAAGCCTTAGATACCTGTTCGCTTAGATACCTGTGTCAGGGAGACACACCTGACACCTTGAAAGATTATATCACATCTCTTGTATTTCCTGGCCCCCTCAGGAGAGGCAAGAGAAAGCTCTGGGCATCCTGACATACCTGGGCCAGAGTGCAGCGGAGGCACAGACTCAACCCCCTTGGTACCAGCTACCCCCAGGGCGAGGGGGCCCCCCGCCCGGCCCAGCCCCAGATGAGAAGATCAAGAGCCGTCTGGACCCTCTGCGGGAGATGCAGAAGCATCTGGGGAAGAAGAGACAGCACGGCGGTGATGAAGGCAGTCGCAGCAGAAAGGAAAAGGAGGGGTCTGAGAAGCAGCGACCCAAGGAGTAAGAAGACCCCACCTCGGCAGACCAGGGCCCAGACCTTCAGGGCTTGGCAGCAGCCCAGCATGGGCACTGCAGCGTCTCTGGTCAGGACAGCCAGGGACTCCGTGAAGGGCTGGCTAGGTGGAGAAGTGGTTCTCAGCATGTGGTCCAGGGAGCCCTAGGGGTCCTGACACCCTTTCCCGGGGTGCTGTGGTGTCAAGCCTATTTTCCTGACACTGGTGGACTTTTCCACTCGTGTTCTCAGGCATGTAGTGCAGGTTTCCAGAGGCTGTGTGATGGGGAGACACCCTCACTCTGATGGCCAATGGCAGATGCTTGTGTCCAAACTTTCTTAGTTTTCACTAATGATTTGCAGCATATTAAGAGAACCCATTTAAACAAAAGCTCTTGGGGTCCTTGGTTTTTAAGAGTATAAAGGGGTCCTGAGACCAAAGAGTTTGAGAGCTGCTGGGTTAGAGAGTAAAAGCAGGCTTCTGTCTCCAGGATGCTGCACCCCTGGTCTAGAGGGGGTACACTGCCTGTAGTCTTCTTTCCTCTAGAAAGGGAAACTGAGGGCCAGGGGGCTGCTAAGTGTGCTTTCTTGACCTGGAGAAGCATCAGATTTTAAAGACTGGGGAGGACCAAAGCCCACAGAAGGGAAGGCCAGAGACGTGCCCATGGCGTCCCAGCACCAAGTGGCTGCTTCCAGCAGGCCTAAGGAGCTGAGGCTGGGGTGTGCTGGATGCAGCGGGGCTTCCAGGCGGCAGCTCCCTCTATGGGAGAGGTTGGGGGAATGGCCTCCTAGGGGCTACCAGCTTTCTGACCTCACTCCTCTCCCCACAGGCCTCCATCCCTGGACCAGCTTCGAGCTGAACGTCTGCGGAGGGAAGCAGCTGAGAGGTCTCGGGCAGAGGCCCTGCTGGCCCGGGTCCAAGGCCGGGCACTACAGGAGGGTCAGCCGGAAGAAGACGAGACGGATGACCGGCGGCGGCGGTACAACTCCCAATTCAACCCCCAGCTGGCCCGGCGCCCCCGCCAGCAGGACCCTCACCTTACTCACTGACTCCTGAGGGGGTACAGGAGAGGCCGCTGCTGCCAGCCGTCATATAAAACTATTTATTCATAAATATTTTCCAAAATGAAAATAGGTTTACCAAAAAATGTCCCTCACTGGGGAGGGGAGGAGGGGGCAGCCCTCGCCCCCGGGCCCCCAGGGTGGGGCTGAGAGGAAAACCTCCCGGCCCCCTCCCTGCTTCCTGGGAGAGGGGGATGCCCCGTGGCTTGGGGCCTCCCTCCAGTCTTCCAGGGCAGGGCCCTCACCTGGGCAGGGGGATCAGCATGCGGGGGAAGGGGGTGGGTAGAGGGAGGGGCCGGTGTCACTGGAGGTCCCGGTCCTCCAGGTAGCGGTACTCAAAGGTGAAGCCTTCCTTCTTCCGCTGGCCCCACTTCTCGTAGTCAAAGTAGATGTAGGTGCCCTGGCCGGGGGAGAAGGCGGTCAGTGAGTGGACGAGGAGGTGGTCTGGGATCTGGGCCGGACCAACAGACAAAGGGGACAATTCTTAGGGCTGTGGATGTGTCAGGCACCGGGCCAGCTGCCCTGCACGCACACACTCTCATCCATCCTCACAAGGTTCTTCTTGGGTAGGAAATGTTATCATGCCACTTCAGCGAGGAGGAAACGGAGGGGGCCGCAGAGGTTCCACCGAAGCCAGCTGCCAGAACGGGGCCCCAGCCCCAGGTGTGAGTGCACAGCCTTCGTTTCCTCGAGGGCTGTGGCTTTTGAGCACCTCTCACGTGAGTACAGGATGCACAGCCTAGCATTTAATCTTCACAAAGACCTCGAGGCAGTGGGTACTGTCACCCTTGTTCTAGAGAATGGAACAGTCTCAGAGTCTAAATCCAAGCACTCTGCAGGGACATTTTATTGGTGACGGAAGTGGTGTGGGAATTTCTGAATGACTGGATGCCCTGAAATGTACTAACTTGGAGGATGGTTTTGGGCCAAACCAGGAAAGGACAGGAAGTCTGTGGTTAACATCTGAGGACACAATGGGAGAGGACCTAGGTTCTAAATGAATGTCTTAAGTGCTTCAAAGATGGCAACCTGGGAGAACCAGGAGAGGGGACTGAGTTCTCTGAGGACAAGGACCTTGTACTACTTCATCCCCATGAAGGGGCTCGGCATCAGGGAAGTATTTGGTGGAAAAAAACATCACTGTAGAACACACCAACTGAAAGTAATTTGAAAAAAAAAATCCATGACACTGACTATGTAGCAGTCACCATTAAGTACTTACATGTTATTAACTCATTTAATCTTCATAACAACTGCATTAGGTAGGTGGTCTTCCCCCCATTTTTACAGATAAGTTAATTGAGACACAGAGGTTCGAGTGACTTGCCTAGAGTCGCCCAGCTGGACTGGGCTGAAACCCAGGTAGGTTGGTTCCAGAGTGTTTGCAAGCAGCAGGAATTTCCCAGTATTAGAACTTGAGAAGCCCATTCAAAAAAAATAGTTTCGGCACTGAGCCCCTGCCCTGCTGAGTGCTGGGACCTGGAGGTGAAGTGGGGGCCATCAAGGTCCCTCGGCAGCAGAGCCCACAGCCTGGTGCAGGGACACATACTGGGAAAATCCCACACCCCAAGCGAGTGTGCCCAGCACTGCAAAGGGGAGGCACTGGGCTGGGTGGCTCCAGGAAGGTTTCTTTGAGGAAGGGACATTTGGGCTGAGACCTACAGGAGGCCTAGGAGCTGGCCAAGTGGAGGATGAGAGGGCGGTGTTCCAGGCTGAGCAGACAGCCAGAGGGAGGAGTACTTGGTCAGGCTGAGGGACTGCGCCAGCTGAAAGGTGGAGGCAAGGGAGCAGAGGCCAGCAGGGGCTGCCTGGAGCCTGGGGACTCTACCCCAACCCTAGCAGCGGGAAGAGAGGGGGCGGGGCCCTCACCTGCTCAAACTCGTCAGTGATGGTCTTGGGCTCCTCGTGCCTCTGGAACCACATCATGTACTTGGTGTGGAATCGCCATGACTGCTTCTTTAGGGCCTTGGCTGCCAGATACTGTGCCTTAGTGCCCTGGGGGAGGAACAGTGGAGAGGGGGATCAGGGGGCCCCCAAACTGGGTGGGGAGCCAGGGGAATGGGGCAGGACATCAGGGCTGAACCCCGGCCCCCGCCACAGACCACAGTTGGGCTGGACAATCCTCTTGGAGATGGGGCTGGGGGCACAGAACATACCAATGCTGATCAGGAGAAGGAAAATGAGACAGGAGGTGAAAATTGCTTTCAGAGAAGCTTTGAGAAGGAAGAAAAACTAATGTGTGATGAGAGCTGAGAGAGGAGGCAATTTAGAAAATTTCCCAAGTGGGGATGAGGGTGGAGGTCACTCATGACTCACTGGGGTTGGGAGGGGGCTGGACAGCTCCCCAGTGGTCTCCAGGGAGGCCTGAGAATGTGCCGATGAGCAGAGTGGGGTCGGCCTAGACTGGGGCTGCTGGAGCAGGGCTGGGGAGGGGCCGCGGGTGAGCCAGTGGGCAACTGGAAGCGGGGCTGAGGTGTGCCTCAGTGGACCAGCCTCGCTGTCAACCCAAGCAGTTCTAACATCTCTGGGCTGGAAGGCGGGGACGGGGACAGGTGGATTTGGGGCAGGGGCCCAGGAGTGGGAATAGGGAGGGGGTGCGGTCCCAGTGGCCGCAGTGGGGCACCCACCTCACCCCTCCAGCCCGAGGGGGGACGGCGGCGGTGGCGGCGAAGCCGGGGGGCCCGAGGCTGCCCCGGGGGCCCTGCTGTACCTCCAGATAGTAGAAGATGAAGAAGAGTGTCTCGGTCGACAGGCGCTGGTAGAATTCCACAGTGTCCGAGTGTGGGGGTGGCATCTGGTGGTGGTAGGGGGGCGTCGGACAGGGGTTCCGGGGGAGGTACTGCCTGTGAGAGCAACAGGAAGGTCAGTGCCAGCTGCCTACTAGTCCTGTCGTGATCAAAAGGGTGCTCAGACATGCATCCCTGCGGGGGGAGGTGGTACAGAAAGACCCAGGGCGGTGCTGACCTTCAGTGGAGAGCCCAAGTCAGGGGCCTGGTGCTCTACCCACAGCCTCACAGGTTCAGCCACTGCCTCCTCCGTAAGACTCAAGTCCCAGACCATCCCCCTTCCCTGTGGCCCCTCACCGAATACGCTCAGAGTCAGAGGGGTGAGGCATGTGGTGCCAGGCGGCCTCTTCCATGGCCTGCTGATAGAGCTGCTCCTTGGTGAGGGGCACAGGGCCCAGTGGACAGACACCCAGCGACAGCGGTATGTTCACCTCTGACAGCTGCAGGGGCGGCTGGGCTGAGGCCGGAGGTGCTGATGTACTGCTCAGGATGATGTCTGTGGGGAGGGTGGGGGTCCGGCCCCCTCAGTGGTGAGGATGGGTCAGGGGCAGCCCCTCCTCTTTGGCCCGCTGCTTCCCCACCATCCTGGGTCCCTCACCTCGCTCGGTCAGGTGCAGCGTTGGCACAGGGTCCTCAATGCCAGAGCTGATGGCTGCCCGTTCCGCCATGGACTTCAAGGAGCTCAGAGGCTCAGGGGCCTGGGGAGGAAACAAGAGGCCTGGCCTGAGCACTTGGGCTGCAGGAGCAAGTGCAGCCTGACACAGGCCCCAGATGCTCTCACCTGCCCTGTTTGGGGGCCGTGGAGGGCCAACGACCCACTCCCCACAATCTACCCATGACAGGTAAAAGCATCAAACTGTAGGGAAACAATCGGAGACCACGACGCATTCATCAGCAGAGGAACGTCTCGTGAGTGGGACTCTGCAGCATGGAATACTACGCCGAGATTTTCAAAATACAAGTTCGTGACATACTACAGAAGTAAACGCCAACCTGCAGAATATGTACAGTGCGCTACCATTTTTGTCAAAGGATGTGCCAATAGTACACGCTCCTTCACTAGGGACACCTACACGCTGGGAGAGCTCCCGCCTGTCTTGAAGGAGGCAGGAGGTCTACATGCTCAGCTGTCTGCCTGTGACTGGCATGGGGTGACTGGAATCGGGGTGGGCCCAGCCCGGCTAGGCTTCAGTCTCCTTGCTGGAAACAGGTAGGTTGGGTCTCCAGCCCCGCAGCCACAGCCTCGTTTCCTATTACAAAGGTTACAGCAGGCTTCTGTTCCCCAAAGTCAGGGCTGGTTCCTCCCATCTCCTCCAGCCACGTGCAGCTGTCCCAAACCCCAGCCCTGTGCTGGACTCTCCACAACGAGTCAGTCGCCAAGGCTTATCCATTCTGTCTCGCTATATCGCCCAGGCAGGTCTCAAACTCCTGGGCTCAAGCTATCCTCCCGCCTCTGCCTCCCTAAGAGCTGGGATTACAGGTGTGAGCCACCACGCCCAGCTATCCGTCCTGCTTCTAAACCCCACTGGATGGCTCCCTTCCCTGTCGTGCCACCATGTCCCACACAGCCCAGGCCTGTCCTCTCCTGCCCAGACCACCCTCCCTCTATCCTGTCCTCACCAGCCCCAGGGGACCTTTCCAATGAAGTCATGTTGTTCCTTCTCTACTCCAAACCTTGCCATGGTTCCCGACCACCCACCCCAGCGATTCATTTTTGTTGTTGGTGGTGTTAAAAGATATGGACCCCTTCTGAAAATCTCAAAGCTGCTGTTTCCCTTTTTCCAGAAAAATGCACGCACTATAAATATCCTGTCCACCTACTTCTAAAATTTGGGCCGGGCACGGTGGCTCACACCTGTAATCCCAGCACTTTGGGAGGTCGAGGTGGGTGGATCACCTGAGGTTCGGAGTTCAAGACCTGCCTGACCAACATGGCAAAACCCCATCTCTATTAAAAATATAAAAATTAGCCTGGCGTGGTGGCAGGCGCCTGTAATCCCAGCTACTCAGTAGGCTGCGGCAGGAGAATCGCTTGAACCCAGGAGGCGGATGTTGCATTCAGCTGAGATTGCACCACTGCACTCCAGCCTGGGTGACAGAGCAAGACTCTGTCTCAAAAAAGAAAAAAAAAAAAAATTAATGCTTCTGTTGGGCCAGAAACTGTTCCAAGAGCTTTATGAGGATGATTTAGTCTTCCAAATAACCCTACATAGTAGGTATAATCGTGACTATTGCCGTTTCCCAGATGAAGGCACAGAAAGGACAATGCCAAGACTTGGACCTGGACAGCCTGGGCGCGCACACTGCCTCCTGGACAGCCTGGGCGCGCACACTGCCTCCTGGACAGCCTGGGCATACACACTGGTCCCCCCATGGAAGCTGCGCTACAGTATACTGGCTCACAAGCCAAGCCCCAGCTCCTGACCCTCGATGATCAGGACCCCACCGTCCTATCCTGCTACACCCACTATCTCAGCCCTGCAGCTGGTGGCACTGTCTCCTGCAGAGTGGACACCTCTCTCCTCTCTGCTGCATCCTGCCCAGCTTCCTAAGCACACAGGCAGATGCATGCTCCTCCTAAAGCACCTCCTGAAGCCCTTCCTGCAGCTGTTAGCCCCCCTGCCTGGTCCAGGTCTCAGCTTAAACATCACCCCCTCTCAGACCTTCCTGGGCCTGTCTCCCAGGTCAGGTCAGATGCCCCTCGGTGGGCCCACCGCAACCTTCCCTGCAGCTGCCCCAGCAGGGAAGCTTCCTAAAGGGTGGAACCAGGCTGCATTCACCCAACCAGTCTTTCTACTTGTGCAGAAAGTACACCAGTCTATGCCTTGTGAGGACAAACGGGGACAGAAACTGAGGGCCTGCGGGGGGGATGAAGATGGAGACCCAGAGAGAGCAAGCAACAAGTGCAACCAAGAGAAAGGAAAAGAGACCCAGAGAAACAGAGCTTTGGAGGGAACAAGAGAGGAGGTATGAGAGCCCCCAGAGATCAAGGTCACGGGGAGGGTGGTACAGAAAGACCTGGAGAAAGAGCAAGTGTGAGAAGGGGACAGAAAGCCAGAGAAAGAGATCCAGAAAGAGGGTGGGGGCAGGGGGTGCAGCTAGAGACCTGGAGGAAAGAAACAACAGAGTCAGGACACAGAGGCTCGGGGGATGTCCGAGGAGCCCACCTTGATTTCTGGGGCGGTGCTGAACTGTGGAGGCCCATTGAGCAGGGCACCGGCTGCCTTGGCATCACTGAAGCTGGGCGTTGGGGAGCTGGGAGGATTCACAGGCAGTGGCACCAGGAGGCTGGGTCCCCCTGAGTTGTTCCCTGAGCCTGGGGCCACGCCCCCAGCCCCCGTTGGGGCTGCCGCACTGGGTTCCTTCCTGGAGAGAGAGCATGGAAGAGGGGGTTGAGAGGAGGGTCCCTGAGGGTGGGATGGGCAGAGAGGCCTGGCTGGAGAGAGGGGAGACTGCACAGATCAGATGGGATCTGAGAGGGGCAGGTGAGGGCAGACAGATGGGAGAAAGAAGTGGTTCTCTGGGCAAACAAAGGCAGAGCCCAATCTTTGGAATGGTTTCTCATCAGCAGAGCAGAGCTGTGGGGGTGGGGGTGAGGATTCTCGGGTGCTCCACCAGGCCACAGGCTGATCAAAACCACTTGCCCTGGGCAGGTGTTCACAGGGCCCACTCCCCCTTGGGCAGGCCAGCTGGAGCTGGGGTGAGGGGGCAGGAAGCAGGCCTTTCCTTTGTGCACACTGATCTTTCTTAGGGCATTCTTCGGGAAACAGGCAGACCCAGTGGAATGGTCTGAGCTAAGATTTGAAGGAGTGGCTGCAGAGGAATAAGGACTTCGGGACAATTCACTTTGAAAAGTGAAACAGTGACCCTCCGGTGGCAGTCAATTGGCCTCAGGCAGGTAACAGAAATGGGGAGGAAAGGGTATGGGGCTCTTGAGAAAACTTCCACTTAGATGAGAACGTATTTTAGAATGTTCTGAAGGGCAAAGCAGGGAGGCTGATGTAGTTTCCTTGCTGGAAAGAAGTGGGGGTGTAACACCCGAGGGAGATGGAGGATAGCGCTTGGCCATTCCCAGCAGCAAGGGCGGGGGGTTCAGAACCCACCGATGCGGGGGTGAGGCGCCTGCGCCTCTCTGTTTCAAAAGGCTGCCATCCCAACCCTGCCGATGGCCGAGACACTCACGAGGTGCTGGGAGGTGGGTTGTGGGGGCCGGAAGGGGGGCCCAAGGCCTGGCTGCTGGCATTGTTGCCCCCACTGCTGCTCAAAGCCACCTCTGCCGGGCTGTCTGCCACAACTGAGCTGTAACCTGGGAACAAAGAGTAAATGGAAAGGGCTGCTGCCTGCTGCCCAGCCCCGCCCACGCCCCCCACCCCGCTGCCTCCTCACTCACTGGTGGCGCCATTCTGCTTGCCAGCCCCTCCACCGGCACTGCTGTTACTACTGCTGCTGCTCCCTCCACCTCCGCTGCCGCCGCCTCCGCCTCCGCTAGGCTGGACGCTGGGGGGCCGGGGCTGGGTCGTGCTGGGCCCACTGGGAGCTGGTGGGGCCACAGCCTGGGCATAGGGAGCAGGGGTGCCCGAGTTGTGGCTGGGAGCTGGACTGGCCTTGGGGCCCAGGGCACTTGGGGGTGCTGCGGGGGCGGGGACCCCATTGTTGCCAGGAGTGGTGCTCAAGGCAGAGGCAGCAGGCGGGGGGCCGGAGGGGTAGGTGGGCGGCACAGCTGGGGACTGAGGGTGCTGGTTGCTGTGGACAGGCTTGGAGCCGTTTTTGGCTGGAGACTGCGGGTGGGAGAGAGCAGAGGGTCAGGACCCAGTGGGCCAGCTGGTCTCCCTCACCACCCCCACCTCAGGCTCCATCTTTGTCCCAGCAGCCTCCTCTCTGGCCTCGCTGCCCCCACCTGCTCCTGCCCTCTTGGGGACCTGGGTGACCTTACTCACCCTCATGGCTTCAATCACCTTCATGCTTAAAACACTCACACTGATTTCCAGCCTGCCCAGCTTCCCAAGTCCTGCCTGGACACCGCCCCATGGACACCCCCACAGGGATCTGACACACAACTTAGGTTGTCAGCCAGAGAAGATCCATCTGTTGGAAGCCAGAGGACTAGTGGGAAACACTTAAGTGTTCTCAATATGAGATTAGCTGGAGCCGCCTAATGTCCAAGAGTAGAAGGAAAAACAGCTGGAAATTGGATAGTAATTCTGAATGTCACCTGAAGGGTCACAGAAGCTACTCACAGGGCTGGAAGTTACCAGCACTCCAGAAAGTGGTGGGAGGGTAAATGTGCTCATGGTATCCCTACCGCAGGCAATCTGTGGACAGCACTCCGGCTGCTGAGCCTAACCACCTCCTGGGCTTCTTTCCAGCCACCCCACAGGCACCTTGCGCTTACCAAGCGCCCAACAGGACTGACTACCCACTTCTCTCCTGGGCATCGCTGCTTGGCAGTGGGGGCCTGGGAAGGTGGCAGAGCCCAGCCTGGCCCCTGGAGTACCTGCCTCAGTGTCTCTCCTCATCACCTCCTGGCCCTGTTGCCCGCCCTCACTACTACCTGCGGGTCCCCTTAGTCTCCACACCAGCCTCCTCAATGCCCACTCAGGGTGTCCCCTTGGAACCATCCATCCCGTTAGCCCACAGAGGGGCCTCAGGCCCATGCTGCTCCTGCCTAACATTGTTCTGTAGCAGCGTTTCCGAAAGCGTGCTCCTGTCCTGGGAGATGTTAAAGGAGTTGAAGAAGCACTGCCCGCCACCGTCTCCTCTCAGAAATTTGCAGTGTGTATTATCAGCACAGCAAAGGCCCCATCGCTTCCTAGGCTTATTGGACTCTGGAGGCCACTCAGGTCCACAAAGCCTGAGCCCCTCAGCCTGACAGTCCCAGTCCCTGTGCTCACAGTTGGGCCCTGGCCCTGCAGACCTGGCCAGACTCATCTCTCCTCACTTCCAAACTTTCTGTCACAACTTGCCCATGTTACTGGCTGCCACCTCTCCCTGCCAGGCAAACTCACCTGACTGTGAAGCCCAGGGCACTCCACAGCAGCATCTCCTGACTGCCTGGCCAGGCCAAGGGTGACCTGTGTGCTACCCCCTTGACCACAGCACCAGTCACCTGTCCACTTGCCCTGCCCACCTGCCCTCAGGGCAGCACTGATTTCTGAGCCACCTGTGTCCACCAGCCCAGCACAGTGGCCGGCGCTCAGGCCTCAAGATGCCTTTGGGAAGCAACAGAGGAGTGAATGGCGTGCCCACCCGGTCCAGGCTCACACCCACCTGGCTGACTTCACTGTCTGTGGAACGTCCCCTCTTCTTATCATCTTCAGAGTTTTCCTGAGGTAGGGGAGGCAGAATAGAAACCTGTGTGACCTCTGGGGCTCTGATGGAGAACCGCCAATCTCTGAATGCCCCGGGGACCTGGGCCCAATTGACTGCCATTGCGGCCCCAGAGCTGGTCAAATGGCTGTCCTTAATCTGCCTGGAGAAACCATCTCAATTCAGGCTCTCCAGTCTTCTTGTTTTCTGGGAGCCAGCACTGACCCACCAGCCTCTTAAGGATCTGGGAACCTGCTCTCCACAGGGAAGCCAACCCTTGGATCCCTGCCCAAGGTGGCCAGCTACCCAGCCTCCTCAGGCAGCCCAGGCACCGGCCCCTCCCACTTCCCAGATCCAGGACCTAAACTGGCGCGGGATGCACCCTATTGCTCTTTATGTCCTTTAGGGACCCAGATATAGGACCTTAGCGTGTGCTCCAAGAGCCTAGACCCTGGATACCTAGATCTGTGTTTCCTCAATTACGCTCCCATAGCCACTTTGGAGTGACCCAGATTTGTCTCCTCGAGTCCTGCCCTGCTGGAAACACAAGGTACTAGTGTCCCGTGGGGCCTCACCGTGGTACAGTTGGCTGGGCTGGGCGGGATGGGAGAGCTGGAGGTGGTTGAGGTGGGCGTGCTGCTGGACTGGTTGAAGATCTCATCCTCCATGTGGCTGTGGCTGGGAGGGGAGGTGGCGACCAGCGCCTGTGCTGTGGGGGCAGAAGAAGGGCATGCTTAGCTGGCTCACACAGCCCATTCTGGGCCCTCACTTCCTGTGCCACGATCAGCCCCAGGGCCTCACGAATGTCCTCGAGGTCCAGGTCATCGTAGAGAAACTCGTTCTCCTCGAAGTCGGGGTCCTGGGATGAGTCAACATAGTACTCAACGTCGTCCTTGATCTTGCGGATGGCGTCAACGAGGATGGAGTCATTGTCCAGCATGCGCAGGATGGTCTCTAGCATGCGCACGTGGTAGCGGTGCTTCTCGATGTGCCGCTTCAAGCCCTCAATCCGGTCCTGCTTCTGCTGGCGAGCCCAGGGCCAGGCTCAGGGGCTGCAGAGCACCTGCTTGGCCCCTCCTGCCCCCACAGAACCTGTCCTCAGTCCCTGACCCCTGTGGAGACCCAAAGCCTCCACGCCATCCCCTTCGGGGTGGGGCAGTATGGGGTCCACCCACCCTCTGAGCCCTGTGGGGACCAATCTTAGCCTTGACATCTTGGGATCCCACTGCTCCCTCCTCTCCCCACACCTTTCTGGCTCCAGGAGTCCTTGGAAACCTCTAAAAGACCCAGAGGTCCTTGTGCCATCCCACGACTTGGCCTCCATCTGCACCTCACCTGACAGCCCAGATTTCTCAACTGAGCCCGCCCACCACTGTGACTGCCTCTGGCATACAGATACCCTCCGACCTGCTCCAGCAGTAACAATGATAACCCCCATTTGTGAGGAGCTTGCTGTTTAGAATTGTGATATCTGTCATCACTAGGCCCCCAACCCTACCCATTTATCCCTGAGAGAGCCCAGATTCCTAAGCCTCGCTCCTGCCCTCCCCTCAAGGCCCCTTTAGGATTTAACATCTTAGCCTTGGTTCCAAATCTCTGCTCTGTTCAAGGACCCATCATCTCCCCGAAAGCCCCTGGTTCCCAAACCCCTCAGAGTCTGACACCCAACCCTGTCATCTTCCACTTCCTGACCCTCTCCCACCCACAGCTTCCCTGAGGACCCGGCTCTCCCCTCCCTGTCTTTCTGGTTTCAGCAAGTCTGTACAGTTTGTATCCCTTTGAACTCATACCCCACAATCCCGGATTTTAGAACCTGGGACCCCAACATCCAGCTTTGTCCCAGACTCCTGTCTTCCTTCAGGCCTGGTTCTCTGCCTTCTCCATGTTCTGCCTTGTCTCTACCCACTGTGCTCTCCCTAGGACCAGGGCCCTCTGGGTGCCAGGAGGCCTCTTGCCATGGGTGTCCTTCAGGTCTCACTTTTACTCTGTGGCCCAAGCTCAACCTGCACTCACCTTCCCCCAAGTCGCTCCTCTTCACAAAGGCCCCACGGTCTACCCAGACACCCAGGGGACCCTGAGATTCTGTCTGACCTCCTTCCTGCCCCACGCGTGCAGCTGCTAAGCCCTCCCAATCCTGTCTCTCAAATCCCTAATCCCGGCTGTTGGCCCTGTCCGCCTGAGGAATCCAGGCCCCAACTCCCAGGAGCATAAATGACTGGCCTCCTGCTGGCCAGCCCATTCCCATGCCCATCCCCATCCCAAAGGTGTCGGGTCTCCCTCACTCACATCCTTGTCGCCCTTCTTCTTGCGTGTCTGCACTGACAGTGACTCCACTTCACTCTCAAACTGGTCCACCTGCATGTTGAGCGTGTCGATGGTATTCTAGGGGAGGGAGAGGAAGAGGAAGCCCATCAGCTAGGGTTCCGCCTACACCCAGGGCTCAGGATCCTCAGAGTTCACCTCCTCTTCTCTACCCCAACTCACCGTGAGCCACTGGCCAACCTCTTCCTTCTCCTTCTGGGCAGGATCTACCTTCTGGGCCAGGCCCAGGCCCTCTTTGCTGTAAGCTTTGGTTTTGGTCTCTCGTTCCACAACTTTGAACCGTTCCATTTGCTGTAGAGAGTGCAGTTGGCAGGGGGGCTCTCAAAGGTGGGAAAGGAGCTGACTAAGGGCCAGCAGACACTCCGACCTGAGCCTCGTGACCCTACTTTCTGAGCTCTGAGTCCGCTGCCTCTTCACTTCCCTTAGGTGCAGAAACCTTACTTCTCTTGAGGACCTCTGGGGTCTGGCCGCTCTGCCTCCGCCCCTTGGGATCTCAAGAATCTGGTGACCTTCCCACCTCTCTGGGACTCAGGCTCTGGGCTCCTACCGTCTCAATGAGCTTGCGGTTGTCTATAAGCTGCCTCTTGTCCTTGATCTCGTTGGACGCTACCCATGTCTTGATTTGGTCCCTCAGCCGCTGCAGATGGGAAAAGCAAGAAAGTCAGACCTCAGGACCCAGGAACTGGGGCCCACAGCTCCTTCTCCCTGGGACCCAGCAGTCCACTCTCCCAGTTCCCTCTACCCTCAGGACAAAGGCGTCCAGGCCCCCAGCCCCCTCACTTGTAGCTTCTTAATCTCCTTCTTTAGGTCAGCCTCATACTTTTCTTTCTGGTTCGCGTTGGCTGCATTGTGGAGCTGAGGGATGGAGAGAATTGAGAAGTCAGTGTGGGAGGGGATGTCCCAGTACCCACTCCAGTGATTCTTCCTTATGCTAGGGACTCGAGGACCCCCCCCAACCCCTACCCCCAATCCATCTTAGAGCTGATTCTCTTAGGTCCTCAGCATCTGCATATGTAGCCCCTCCCGCTGGTCAACACCCAGAGGTCCTGAGCCGCCTTCCTGTGCCCTCCTCTCTGAAGACCCAGATTATTAGGGTCTCAGCCCCTGTACCTTCTGCCAAATATCTTCAAACTGCTCCACGCCCTCGGACACCTTCTTGAGGCAGCGATCAATCTCACCTGGCCAGGGAGGAACAAGGCTGTGAGAATCCTGCCCAGGTGGCAGGTATCTAAAGAGCAGTCCTCAGAAGAGGGAGCATGTGGCTACAGGTGCAGCAGGAAGTCAGTCTAGTACCTTGGAGTTTGCGCTTGTCCGCCATCTTCCCTGCCCTACAGACGCACTCTCTTCATACTCTCTTGGAGACGGACGCTGCTAGGAGAGATTGGAGAGGAATTAACACGTATTCCCTGGCTGGTAAAAACCCAGAGACATGGACCTAGTCAGCATAGTGAGGTAGGTGGGACTGGTAAAGAGAAGAAGCATTTGCTATCTGACAAGAGACCAGCCCCAGTTCTCCTGATGCTCGCTTGACTGCCCAGCATAGTGTCTGGCCAACAGGGGACCCCATAAGTTTGTTGAAACAAGAAAAGTTACATACTTTTTTGTGTGCCTCTGACTCAGGAAGTGGAAAATTCCTAGAGCATGGAGTACCTTCTCCCCAGAATACACTCAAAAAGGTTTTTCAGAGCAGGACAGTCATGCTGCACACAGCTGATGACTGGGATGGAGGCATTAGCCCTGGAAATCACACTTCCTACTCAGAGGGGCTGGGCAGAGGTGGCTAGGAGAGGTCATCCCTCAGACAAGTCAGGAGACAAATGAAACTGGCAGCTCACAGAGAAGGGCGTGTGTGTGTGTGTGTGTGTGTGTGTG
Source organism: Homo sapiens (assembly GCF_000001405.40). NCBI lineage: Eukaryota > Metazoa > Chordata > Mammalia > Primates > Hominidae > Homo > Homo sapiens. Next base: position 117,273 of record NT_187693.1, on the reverse strand, counting down.
TGTGTGTGTGTAAGCTGTAGGTAGGAGAAGAAAGATTGGGGGTGGGGGAAAACGACGGCGAGCAGAGATGCCGAAAGCTGTGAAGAGCTGAACCCGCTCATGCAGACAGGGCTGAATGCCAAGTAGAAGGGACTCAAACCACCAAGACATTTATTCCAGAGCAGGATCCTTAAACCAAAAGGAAATAACACTCCTAACCCAAAGAAGCTAATACCAAGAAGGCTTAGAGATTTGGGGGCAGAAGGCAGTACCCAAGAGAGACCTGGGAGAAGACAGAAATCTTACTAAGATAAGAGGGTGCAAAGGTACCGCAGCTGTGAGGGAGCCGATCTGCACTCATGGAGGAATCCCATAGCAAGTGGATTGGTAATTTAGAGTCAGGGAGACATAGACCATCAGGGCAGGAACCCAAAACTTCAAGAGAGGAGCGTCTTTATTTTAAAGGAAGTTACCTGGAACCCAGAGAAGACTGAGGTCAAAAGGGAGTTCCAAGGAGCTTTAGTCCAAGGGAAGACATACCTTAGGGCCTGACAGCGAGACCAGGGGAGCCCTGGGAAGAGAGGCTTATGCCTCAGAAGAAGACTTCTGAGATACCAGCGGAGATTGCCCTCTTCCCCTCCAGGGAGGGGGCCTACAATGAAAAGCACAGTTCCCTGGGATCCACGGGCCGCTCCCACTCTACGTGTGCAGGGCAGGGAACCCTGGAGTAGTCACTTACTGTAAAGACAGAAACAGCCCCATACTGAGGAACAAGAGCCTCAATACAGAGGGAAGTCACACCAAAAGAGTCCTCACCCACAAAGAAGGGAACATCTGGCAAACAGTGCTATCCAACAGAACTTTGCAATGCTGGAAACACTCTATTTGCGCATATCTGTTGGCCACTGAACATCTGAAATGTGGCAAGTGTAATGGAGGAACTGAATTTTTCATTTTTAACTAGTTACTAATCACCACATGTGACTAGCAGCAACCATATGGGACGGATATGCTTTAGAACAAGAAGCCCATAAAGGACAGGGCTGGTACCTTACCCCCAGGGAGAATTTTCCCAACACCGCAGGGACCCATTCTGGGTGATAATAGGTAGGGGTGCTACCTTACACTTGAGGGAATTTAAATCTCCTCAGTAAAAGGCCCAACCTAAAGAAAGCCGCAGCAGCCCCCGCCCAGGTCAGCTATCACGCCCTACCTGGGGAATCTCTAAGAAGGCAAAGCAACCAACAAAAGGACCCAGGAGAAGGTGCCACAGTGGGGATTCAGGCTGAGGAGGGGAAAGCCCCTTTGACCCAGGGAGCTCACACAAGGCAAGGGCCTGGACACCAGAGCTCAGGTGTGCAGGGATCCTCACCAAAGTCCAACACCCCAACACAGAAAAGCCTCTTACTGCATAGGGGGAACAAGAATGTGAAACGAGAGTTTACACTCCCTCTTTCCATCCCAAGAACCCAACAGAGGGTCATGGGCAGGTGCTCCAGCCCAGAGAGAGAAGAGGTCTCATGGTCTACACCCCTAAACAAGGCAATCAACACCTTAGGCAGGTGACGCCCTCCCTGTGTCTCCACACGGAAAGGACTGGTATCCTAGTGCAGAGGAAGAATACCCACAGAGAGGAGACCACACTGTGGCAGCAAGAGAAGGAAGTCCTGGAGGGGTCACAAGCCAGAAGGAGGGGAACAAGAGCGCTAACCCAGGGAGGTGATGTTTCAGACAGAACAGTGTGACATCGAAGTCGGCTACAGCTGAGACCCAGTGAGGAGGCAGCTCCTCCACAGAGAAGGGGCAAGTGCCAGAGGCCCAGGGTACTTGTCCCCTAGAGAGGCTGGAGCCTTAGCCACAGTAGAGACAACACCTTCCCCGCTAAGAAAATCCTTATATCATGAGGGTATCTGTACCTCTGGTCCCCCCAGCAAAGGACCAGAGAGAAGGGAAGCTGGAGCCTGAGTCTCGAAGCAGAGACGCCGCCAGAGAAGAAAGAGCCCCATTTGCTGTAGTCAGGGGGGCATCCACCAAGATCCTCCAAGGAAGGTGGTGATCGCAGGTCCACTCTCAGGCGTGAAGAACCTGTGCTCCAGCAGCAAAGGCTCTCCAAGAGCACTGAGGAATCTGGGAACCTCGGCCCAGGAGGAGACTTACCCAAGAGGAACACACATCCCCACAGGGAAGGGACCCACAAGGCGGGTGGCGGGGCGGGGGGAGGTGAGCAGGACACCAGCCTCACAGGAGCCAACACGCTAAAATCAGAGCCAAAACCAGTAAAGAAGAGCCCCCCAGACTTCATCTCAGGGAAGATGATACCACCACACAAAGACTCGAGGAGGGAGGGGCAGGAGGTCAGCCCTGGGAAACTAACACCGGGTGGTCCTTAACCTTGGGGGCCGTCATGTGCCCACAGAGTGGTCTTTGTCATGAGGCACCTTTGATCTGGGAGAGCTTCCGCCTCTGCAGCAAGGAGCTCTGAGAAGTGATGTTGAAGGGTGATCCTTAACCCAGGTGGCTGCTGACGTGGCCACACAGAGGCTCTGAGACTCCAGAAGAAGGATGCGTTAGGGCCTGGGGTAGAGGTAGTCATCTCCACTGAGATGCCCCATGCCAAGGGTGGGGGGCTGGAATCTCCCACCTTGGAAAGTCTACACCAGAGAAGTCTCTGGTCCCAGGGACAGGGTCTACAGTGGAGTCTCCCGCTTGAGACTCAGGTATCTTACATCCACACAGCCAGGAAACTATGCCTTACCCCATACAGTGACAAATCAAGAGGGGGTTTTGGAAGCATGAGCCGGGGGCACCTGCATCCGAGAGGGGTCCTCAGCCTTACGGTGGGGACACATGCAGAGGCGTGGACACCTCAAATCCAGAAAAGCAGCCATACCAATACCAAGGATGGCAAGAACCTTATCCCTGGGGGAGGTGACACCAAGAAAGGGTCCTTACCCTGGAGAGAAGGCACAGCCCCAGAGGGAAGAGCCCCCACCTCGCAGTACAGGAACCCGGGTCTAGGAAGCTTCCTACTCTCATGGGGTACCAGCAGCGGGGCCAGAAGGCGAAACCCTTGTTCTCCAACTGCTGACACCCAGCGTAAGGGTAGATGGGAAGTCAACAAACCCACAGTGTGGGATCTGATGCAAATATCAAGGGCAGTGGGCTTCTTGGTCCTTGGAGAGCTGACACCCTAAAGGAGGAGACTGGTGTGAAGATGGAAGAAGCCTCATACTCAGGCAGGGGTGAAGGGAGGGAGGGGAGACATCAAAACCCCTCACCAAAAGGACAGGAGAGCTCACCCCGGGGTGGGTGGCCGCCCTGCACTGAGAGGCAGGGACTGCTCAGAAAGAGGGGCTGGTGCTGCCCGCAGTGGGAGCTCACTAACATGGACAGCGTGGCGGCTTAGTGTCTTTCACCAGGCACCTGAGCGCCAGGGGATCCCAGCAGCCCCCAGCAACAAGACCACAGTGGTCCTGATATCACTGGGAGACGCCCACACCCAGAAGGTCGGAGAGTCACGATGCAGGGGAGTTCAAGGCTGCAAAGCCAGGGGCAGACGCCAGGATCAAAGAAGTGTGAGAGCTGAGACCAGACGTGGGCCACACTGAGGACGGTCCTGTACCCCAGGTGGGGGAAAGCCAAACTCCCCCAAAAAGGCAGGCGCCCAGTGCAGCGGGATGGCGAGGCTGGAGCCACCCAGGGCGCTACTCGCTATGAGAGGGAAGAGCTGCAGACTACAGAGGTGGAAACTTCGGCAAAGGCTCCAACTAACGGGGAGTTTCTCCTCCACTCCTCTCCCAAGAGGCTCCCATCCGATACAGACGGGCAGCTGGAACCTGAGATCCAGGGGAGGCTGCGCTCCCGGGAGCAGTGAGGAGGGATGCGGAGGGCGGCCTCGGTCCTGGGAAGGGTGACTCCCCCACCCAGCTGGGGTCCTCGTCCCGACCACCACCCCCCCTCCCCGCCACCGTCGAGGGAGAAGCCCCGGCGCGGAGGCTGCCCCACAACGCGAAGGACCGAGGCCGAGGGGGGCAGGCACCTGAGCCCCGAGAGGGCGGGCACCTGGGACCAGGGGCGCCTCCATCCTTCCAGCCAGGAGCCAATACCGACGCGGAGAGGGGCGGGCACCTCGCGCCCGGGAGGCTTCGCACCCTCACACCCCTACCGGGGGGCCCGACGCGATGCCACGCGGGGAGGCGGCGGCGGGCGGGGCCCGGGGTCCGGGTCGCGGAAGGACCCCCGGGAGGCGCTGAGGAACGTGAAAGAGGCGCAGGAACGGGAGGGCGAGAGGGAGGGAGCCGCCCCCCGCCGGGAGCCCCGCGCTGCAGAGGCGGCGGCAGGGGGCAGGCGAGGGGAGGCCATGTCGCGACAGACGGCGGTGTCGCCAGGGCGGGAGGCGGCGGGGAGGGCGGCCGATGGCGCCGGGGGGAGGAAGGGAAGGGGTCCGGCCCAGTCGAGCCTGACGCTCTCACCACAGGAGCTGGCGCCGCCGCTGAGGAGCGTATCGCGACAGGCGGGGGAGGCGAGCGCCCGCCGCCTTTTTCTCGCGCCCCGGGCCCGGGCGCTATCGCGATAGCGGCGCGAAGCGGAAGTGGGGTTGGGGGAGTGGGCCCGGGGTTGTTCTGACGACGGGGGTCGGGGCTCAAGGGAGGCCGCGGCGTCTGCCGATGGCTCCGCGGAAGCTGACCGGGCCCGGTCCAAGATGGCGGCGGCGGAGGAGGCCTCCCCTCCTCTCTTCTCGTCTCTGGCGCCGACCCGCCCCCGAGTCCCGAATATAGGCCAGTCATTGCTCCTGCTGAACGTCGCTCCTGACCCTTGGAGGCTTTCTATTGGTTCCTGGCAGGGATGCGCCCTGCCCCCTTTCGCGGATTGGGTGATCGCTCCAAGGCGCGGCGTTCGATTGGCCTCCCGCGCAGGCTGCTAGGATTGGCTCAGGTTTTCCTCCCCGCTCCTCCTCCTCCTCCCGCCTCAGGGCACAACACGCCAGCGCGAGGACCCGAACGTCAATCAAGAGACCTGTGTCGTGCTGATTGGATGTATCCGCCCCCCTCTCTTAAAACAATTGGTCTGGGGGAGGAGCTACGACAGTCCAGGGGCGGGAAGTCGTCCGTCAAGTTTAGAGCTCTTTTTAATTGGTTGCGGGGGCATATTCTGCCTTGAAGTCATTGGTTGGTCCTGGAAGTGGGTGGGGAAAGCGGAGGAAGGCATGGAGTGTGGGCGTTAGGGGCCGCGTACCTAATGGGAGACAGACAGGTGCCTTTAAAGCGGGGGCCGAGCCGAAGTCATCTGCCAATCAAAACAGCCACAGGGCCAAGTGGGAGGAGCTGGGCAAGAAAGTCCACCCCTTTTTCTTCGTTGGCCCTAAAAGTTATCATTCATGCTAGTTTGACCAATAGCGTGGCGAGTGGGCGGTAGCTGCTCGTAGAGCGTGTGAAAGAGGGTGTATGTAGCTGGCAGAAGTGGGACTTGGTCGCAACCGTTGCGTCCCGGCCAGGTAAGCAGCTTCCCTCTCAGCTGCCTCGTCTTTCTCCAAGTGCCTCTATGTTGGCACATCTCTGAAATTCATTATTTGCTGAGTGAAAGAAGAAAGGGACCAGAGACACTGCTTTAAGTCTCTGGCACCGTGCATAGCAGAATTGGTTGGGAAGCGTGAGGCATGGAGTTTTTGTCCTGCCCCTGCCTGGTTAGGCGACCAGATGGTAGGACAGTCATTCTCCTCTGCGTCTCCGCTTCCTTAGTGTGTTGAGGACGCTGCAGAAGGTACAGAGGAGACGGGTGGCTCCCTAATGCCTGCTCGTTTCAGGTCTCAGCTCTGTTGTCTTCTTGGAGAGAAAACTTCCCTGACCTCCCTCCCGGGCGGAGCGCTCCTGCGCGCCTTGTTCGTTAGGATTTATTTTTGTACGTCTACCGTCATTTTCGTAATTATTCGGTTTCCCTGTCTGGATTTTGCATCTCCAGCACTTAGCACGCAGGAAGTAGTCAGTAACCATTTGTCAAAGGAATAGATGAATGAATGTGAGGAATGACTTGTGATTGAAAACTTACTAGACACTGAGACTTCCACGAACTGGGAGGCATTTGCCCAGGGTCACACAACCGAGATGGGAAGCCAGATTCGCCCCTTCCTGTCTAGGTGGTGGAAAGTAAGATAAATCCCAGGGAGAGGTGAACGTGAAGGAGGATGGAGCCGTTCAGCACCACCCGCATCAGAATGGTCTGAGGCAAGGGGGAGGAGGAATGCTTGCGAAAATGCATATTCGTAGGCCCACACACAGACAACGGGAATGAAGCCTAGAGTTATTGTTCTAGAGCTCTGCTATTCAAACTGTGGCCCCTGGACAAAGTATCGCTTCTCAGACATCTCCGGAATCACCTAGGAATGTGTTAAAATGCAAATTCTGCTTTTCTAACAAGTGCCGCAGTCCACGGTCCGCAGTTCACTTTGCACACCGCGGATCTAGCGATGACTTTCCAACTTGGCTGCACATCAGAGTCACCTGAGGAACTTGTTGTTATTGTTGTTGTTGTTGAGACGAAGACTTGCTCTTGTCCCCCAGGCTGGAGAGCAGTGGCACAATCTAGGCTCACTGCAGCCTCTGCCTCCCGGGGTTCAAGTGATTCTCCCGCCTCAGCCTCCCGAGTAGCTGGGATTACAGGCGCCCGCCACCACGCCCGACTAATTTTTGTATTTTTAGTAGAGACGGGGTTTCACCATGTTGGCCAGGCTGGTGTCGAACTCCTGACCTCAGGTGATCCGCTCGCCTCAGTCTCCCAAAGTGCTGGGATTACAGGCGTGACGACTGCGCCTGGCCTACCTGAGGAACTTTAAAAAAAAAAAATTTTTTTTAAATTAGAGGCCAGGCCGGGCCGGGAGAATCACTTGAACCCGGGAGGCAGAGGCTGCAGTGAGCCTAGATTGCGCCATTGCACCTGTAATCCCAGCACTCTCAGAGGCCGAGGTGGGCGGATCACCTGAGGTAGGGAGTTCAAAACCAGCCTGGCCAACATGGTGAAACCCCGTCTCTACTAAAAATACAAAAATTAGCTGGGCATGGTGGCATGTGCCTGTAATCCCAGCTACTCGGGAGGCTGAGGCGGGAGAATCACTTGAACCTGGGAGGCAGAGGTTGCAGTGACCCGAGATTGCGCCATTGCACTCCAGCCTGGGTGACAGAGCAAGACGCCGTCTCAAAAAATAAAAATAAAAAATAAAAAAGTCCAGATACCCAGGCTTACACTGGACCAACTAAAACGATCTTGAGGTGGGAGCCAGTGTCTCTCTCACCCAGGCTGGAGTGCAGGGGCGCCATCTCGGCTCACTGCAACCTCTGCCTCCCAGGTTCAAGCCATTCTCCCACCTCAGCCTCCCAAGTAGCTGGGATTACAGGCGTGAGCCACCGCGCCCAGCGTAAGAGCCGCTTACAGAGTCTTCTTTTCTAGAGCAGTGCTTCTGAAATGTGGCCTTGGGTCAGGCACGTACCCATCACCTGGGAACTTGTTTGAAAGGCACATTTTTGAGCCCCACCCTAGACTGAATCAGAAACTCTGGGCCCAGCAACTATGTTTTAACAAGTCCTCAGTGTAATTCTGAAGCGCATTAAATTCTGAGAACCTCTGTTCTGAAAGTACGAGGGCTGCAGGCCCAGGCGACTCAAGATTCCTTTCCTGAGATTGACACCCTCATGCCACAGCCCCATTGGTAGATGCCGGATATTTTGGCCAAGGGAGATGGGGGATTCTGAACAGGGTTGTGGACCACGGGTCCTTCCCTGGCAGACCAGTATGTAGAGATCAGCAAAGGTTGTCATTTTCAAACAGGGTTGACCCAGAGGGTCAGGGATAACATTGAGAAAACAGACTTGAGTTATACAACCTGGGGTAGTTCAGCCACTCAAGGGAACCTCCTGAGTGTGTCGACTTTTTGACTTGAGGAAGGAGAGAGATTTAGAGATTGCCACTGAGGTCCAGAGACAGAGCTCTGGGTTGAAGGACAGGGATCCAGAGATACACAGAGTGGTGACGGGGAGGCCCAGAGAGGGGAACAGAAAGAGCAAAATCTCAGACAGGACCTAGAAAGTCAGAGGGAGACCCAGATAGCATGAGCTGGAGAGAGGGAGGGAGAGAGAGAGAGGGAAGGTGGAGAGAGGGAGGGAGAGAGGGAAGGTGGAGAGAGGGAGGGAGGGAGGGAGAGAGGGGAGGTGGAGAGAGGGAGGGAGAGGGGAGGAGAGAGGGAAGGTGGAGAGGGAGGGAGAGGGAAGGTGGAGGGAGGGAGAGGGAAGGTGGAGGGAGGGAGAGGGAAGGTGGAGAGAGGGAGGGAGGGAGGGAGAGAGGGAGGGGAGGTGGAGAGAGGGAGGGGAGGTGGAGGGAGGGAGAGGGGAGGAGAGAGAGGGAGAGAGAGGGAAGGTGGAGTGAGGGGAGGTGGAGAGAGGGGAGGTGGAGAGGGAGGGAGAGAGAGAGGGGAGGTGGAGAGAGGGAGGGACAGAGAGAGGGGAGGTGGAGAGAGGGAGGGAGAGAGAGGGGAGGTGGAGAGAGGGAGGGAGAGAGAGGGGAGGTGGAGAGAGGGAGGGACAGAGAGAGGGGAGGTGGAGAGAGGGAGGGACAGAGAGAGGGGAGGTGGAGAGAGGGAGGGACAGAGGGAGGGGAGGTGGAGACAGGGGAGGTGGAGAGAGGGAGGGAGAGAGGGGAGGTGGAGAGGGAGGAAGAGAGAGAGGGGAGGTGGAGAGGGAGGAAGAGAGAGAGGGGAGGTGGAGAGAGGGAGGGAGAGAGAGGGGAGGTGGAGAGAGGGAGGGACAGAGGGAGGGGAGGTGGAGAGAGGGAGGGACAGAGGGAGGGGAGGTGGAGACAGGGGAGGTGGAGAGAGGGAGGGAGAGAGAGAGGGGAGGTGGAGAGAGGGAGGGAGAGAGAGGGGAGGTGGAGAGAGGGAGGGAGAGAGAGGGGAGGTGGAGAGGGAGGAAGAGAGAGAGGGGAGGTGGAGAGAGGGAGGGAGAGAGAGGGGAGGTGGAGAGAAGGAGGGAGAGAGAGAGGAGGTAGAGACCTGGAGGCATCATCTTCCCACCAGGCTGCTGCTTGTCCTGGTAACATCTCTTAGGTAACTAACAGAAGCCCGACCTTGTAGGTCAGGTGACTAGCGCTGCCTCCTTAGTACCACCGTGTAGCCCAGCTCCGGAGCACATAGTAAATGGAACCCCTGGAGTTGCTCTTCCTTAACCTCTCCAGGGAGACGGTTTCATGCCACCCGCTAGGACAGCCCCTGCTGTCCCCTGGAAACTCTCCTGACTGTCTGCAGGCCACATTCCCCTCAGTCCAAGTAAAGGCGCTCCTGGCCGAGCCCCGGTTCCCGAGACTCAGTGACTGGAGGTCAGGGGAGGGGAAGTGTGCTCCTTCTGCTCACCTGGCAGGACTTTTATAGCAACCAGGTCCTACCAGGGCAGGAAGCCTGCCTGCTTCGCCTGTGCCCGGCTCCACACAGTCCCTCAACACTGGTTATAAATAAGAGGCTGGGCCAGGCACAGGGTAATCCCAGCACTTTGGGAGACGAGGCAGGCGGATTATTTGAGGTCAGGAGTTCGAGACCAGCCTGGCCAACATGGTAAAACCCCATCTCGGCCGGGCGCGGTGGGTCACACCTGTAATCCCAGCACTTTGGGAGGCCGAGGCGGGCAGATCACAAGGTCAGCAATTCAAGACCAGCCTGGCCCAAATGGTGAAACCCCGTCTCTGCTAAAAATACAAAATTAGCCAGGCGTGGTGGCGGGCGCCTGTAATCCCAGCTATTCGGGAGGCTGAGGCAGGAGAATCACTTCAACCTGGGAGGCGGAGTTTGCAGTGAGCCAAGACCATGTCATTGCACTCCAGCCTGGGTGACAGAGCAAGACTCCGTCTGAAAAACAAACAAACAAACAAACAAACAAACAAAACCCATGGGCGCCTGTAATCCCAGCTACTCAGGAGACTGAGGCAGGAGAATCACCTGGACCCGGGAGGTGGAGGTTGCCATGAGCCAGGATCATCCCACTGCACTCCAGCCTGGGCAACAGAGTGAGATTCTGTCTCAAAAAAAAAAATAATAATAATAATAAGAGGCCAGACACAGCGGCTCAAGCCTGTAATCTCAACACTTAGGGAGGCTGAGGTGGAAAGCTCACTTGAGCACAGGAGTTCAAGCCCAGCCTGGGTAATAGAGCACGACCCTGTCTATAAACAATTTAAAAATGGGGCTGGGGTGGTGGCTCACACCTGTAATCCTGGCACTTTGGGAGGCTGAGGTGGGCATATCATGAGGTCAGGAGTTCGAGAACAGCCTGACCAACATGGCGAAACCCTGTCTCTACTAAAAACTATAAAAATTAGCGGGACATGGTGGCACATGCCTGTAATCCCAGCTACTCAGGAGGCTGAGGCAGGAGAATTGCTTGAACCCGGGAGGTAGAGGTTGCAGTGAGCCAAGATTGCACCACTGTACTCTAGCCTGGGCAACAGAGCGAGACTCCACCTCAGAAAAAAAAAAAAAATTTAAATTAACCAGGAGGCCAGCTGTGCTGGTTCATGCCTGTAATCCCAGCCCAGGAGTTTGAGGCTTTAGTGAGCTTCATCGCATCACTGTACTCCAACCTGGGCAACAGAGACCCCGTCTCTAAAAAACCCAATCATAACAGGACCTGGTTATAGGGCGCTGATGGCAAGTCCCATGCTAAGTGCTTTCTGTGCATTCTTTCCAGTCCTGGGCACCTGGGCGTAGGTGTGGAGGCTTGGAAAGGTGAGGAGGCTGGCCTGAGGTGGACAGCAATCCCGGTCGGCCTGCGCTGAGATCTGCGGCTGTTGGCAGCCACATCATTTGCTATCAAAGTGACTGCGGCTCTCCAGGGGGTTGGAGAGGGCTTTTTCCTTCTGGGATCCCATGACGAGAAAGTAACGGGGAAGGGAGTGGGCCTAGACACCGCTTGGACCCGAGGGCCAAGCTCTTTTCTCAAAGCTCCACAGCTCTGATTCTTCTAGTTGCCCCGGCTGTTTGAAAAATGATCACTCCCCAAGGACAGATCTTGACAATGTCCTTTTAATTGTACTCTTTTCAAAAAATCTCCTTTCTCAGTTAAAAAAGACAAGGCATGATGAAGACCTGCTCTAGCCCATACTGGGCGGTGATCTCGGTCCTGGGGGAGGCCAGGCCGGACTCTTCCAAGGCCTCCTCCCTGGGCAGTCCCAGCAATGGGGCCAGTGGCAGGGCAGGTTCTCCCTGCCAGAACCCGATCCTAGCCCTTCAGAAGGACTGGACCTCTGTGTCCCTTCAGTGGGAAGCCACCTTGGACACACGCAGTCATTCAGGTGGACATAAGGCCACTCTTCTCGCCCTTGACCTTGAGGAACTCAGCCATGCTGGAGAAATACTTCTGGTTGGCCTCAGCCACCTTCTTCTCTGCCGCCTGTGGGTTCACAATCTCCAGGCCCTGGGCAGGTGAGGGAGAGAGGATGATGGGTTAGGTGAGGAGAAGGCCCCAACTGTGACCCATCAGAGCCCCCCAGGCCCTTCCCCATGGCACTCAGGCCTTGGTGGGCATGAGACAGTTTGCCTGTCCCTGGAGTTGCCCTGTCTTGGGAGATTCTGACTCAGTGGGTCTAGAGGGAGAGGGTGGGGAGGAACCAGGGCGCCTGGATTTGTACGAAGTTCCTCAGGGGTGCTAAAAACAACCAATGCTTGAGGACAGCCAATCCTGCCCAGTTTCTGCATAAGGAAACTGAGTCCCTGGGGGACATGGCTGGCCCGAGGTCCTAGCACAAATCACACCAACACCACTGACGATCATAGTGGCAGCAATGGGAGCCAACACCTGGCTGGCACTTCCTAAATATTTTCAAGGCAACAGAGCGAGCCCCCGTCTCTAAAAATAATAACAGGACCCAGTCATTGGGCTCTAATGGTGAGCCCAGTGCCAAGTGCTTCCTGTGCGTTCTTTTCAGTCCTGAGCACCTCATGATGGAGGAGGGGAGGCTTGGAAAGGCACAGCCACTGGCCTCATCTTCTCAAAGAGGCCCTCCCTGGCTGCTCCGAAACGAGAGCCTCCCCTGTCCCACCTCCTACCTTCCACCTCCTCCCCTCCCTGGCATTTCTGCCTTCTTTTTTTTTTTTTTGAGACAGAGTCTGGCTCTGTCGCCCAGGCTGAAGTGCAGTGGCGCGATCTCGGCTCACTGCAAGCTCCGCCTCCCGGGTTCACGCCATTCTCCTGCCTCAGCCTCCCAAGTAGCTGGGACTACAGGCGCCCGCCACCACGCCCGGCTAAGTTTTTGTATTTTTAGTAGAGACGGGGTTTCACCGTGTTAGCCAGGATGGTCTCGATCTCCTGACCTCATGATCCACCTGCCTCGGCCTCCCAAAGTGCTGGGATTACAGGCGTGAGCCACCGCGCCCGGCCTGGCATTTCTGCCTTCTACTACACTGGGCATCTTACTGAGCTGTCTGCGCCCAGCCTGGCATTTCTGCCTTCTCCTACACTGGACATCTTACTGAGCTGTCTGCGCCCGGCCTGGCATTTCTGCCTTCTCCTACACTGGACATCTTACTGAGCTGTCTGCGCCCGGCCTGGCATTTCTGCCTTCTCCTACACTGGACATCTTACTGAGCTGTCTGCGCCCGGCCTGGCATTTCTGCCTTCTCCTACACTGGACATCTTACTGAGCTGTCTGCGCCCAGCCTGGCATTTCTGCCTTCTCCTACACTGGACATCTTACTGAGCTGTCTGCGCCCGGCCTGGCATTTCTGCCTTCTCCTACACTGGACATCTTACTGAGCTGTCTGCGCCCGGCCACCCACTGGCTCCAAGAAGGTAAGACTTGTCTCTCATTCGTTGCTTCATCCCCAGAGCCGGGAACACTGACAGAACTCAGCAGGTGCTGCGTAGACACCCGCTGACTGGGCAGATGAGCTCGCTGCTGTCTCGCCTCCGTGGTGCAGGCTCGCCCTGCTCTGTGGATGGTAAACCGAGGCTCCGACGATGCGGTGACTGCCATGCTCCACGCTGCTCACTGCTGACTGGCTGGGGCCTGGACCCACACTTGACATCCAAGCCCGCCTAGCCGGGAACTTTCTCGAGTGGGGTCCTGAGGTTACCTTAACCGTCCTGGCCGTTTTGAACTGGAGGGCCTGGAGGCTGAGCAGTGTTACCCGCTCACAGCCCGACAGAGGAACTGGGTGCCCTGAACACAGCTGTGGGCCTGGTTCTAAAGCAGTGCGTGCTCACGAGGACTGCTCAGCGCTGGGCTCTCGTCTCTGCTAACCTCTTCCTGTGTGCCAGGAGCTGTCTACGTCCTCTGCATACCTCGTCACCACACCCTCCACAACAGCCCCATGAGGAGACTCATCCTGGCCTTCTTCACAGGGGCAGAGGGCAAGGGGCCTTGCCAAGGTCTCAGGGCTGGGGACAGAGCCGGCCCAGGGGAGGTACCTGGAGTGGGGTGAAGGCCACGCTGGAGGCCGTGCCCGAGGAGCGGTCGCGGATGGTGGACTTCCCGCCATATACGACGCTCTGCTTCTGCAGGGTCCGCTGTGGGGAGGACAGGGAGGCTGCGATCTGGGCTCCCCCCACCTTGTGTCCCTCGGTCCCCAGCCCCACCTGGGTCTGGCCCATACCTGCAGCGTCTTGGAGATCCTGGCCTTGGTGGCCTCGTTTACCTGTGTCTGCCGCACACGCCCACTGCCCGACTTGCCCAGGTGGCCCAGGCTGAATCCCAGGTCCTCCTGGTAGGCGTCCTCCTCGATCTAGGGGGAAGAGGAGGCGCCCTGCAGTTCAGCGACCAGGCCCTGCCCTCCAGCCACCGAGGCACCCCCTCCACCAGCCGGAAGCCCAGCGGTCACCAGCCGGCCGGTCCCACGGGCACCTGCTCCGGTACCCACTCGGCCCGGCTGAGGCCTGGGGGCCCACACACGCGGGGGATGCCGGGGAGCCTGAGAGGGGCCCGGTCCCAGCACTGCTCTGTGAGCTCAGAGTTGGGAGGCCATTCCTTCCTTACTCGTGTGGGTCGGGGGATGTCAGGAACCAGAACAGGTTTAATAGGATGAGGTGGCCTCTGAGTTCGGTCCTGCAGGACCAAGGGGATGACGCTGGGATAACAGAGGAGACTGGCGGGGCCCAGGGACGGGGCGGCCGTGCAGCAGGGCACTAAGGAGCCTCTGGGCAGGGAGGAACCGGCCAAGGAGCCCGGGGCGATGGGAAGCCGCGGGGGCTCTAAGCAGCGGAGACACAGGCTCCAAGGGCCGCGAGGGTCGCTTTGGGGCTGAATGGATGGAAACGAGAATAGAGGCCGGGGGGGAGGAGGCTGGGGCAGCGCCCTAGACATGAGCCAGGGCCACAGGACGAGAGGAGGGGCGGTGGCAGGAGGCAGAGGGCGGTGGCGGCTGGCTGGCTGTGGGGTTGAGGAGGGCGCTCTGGGAGTCTGACCTCTCCGAAGCTCATACGGTTGGCCTGCTTCCGGATCTCCGTCAGCCCCAGCCGCTCCTTCATCTTGCGGTACCTGGGGACGGGTGGGTGGGCGGCGCCAGGGAGTCGGCTGGGAGGAGGACGCCGGCTTCTCCCCTCCATGACCCCCATGCCTACCGGACCCCCAGGGCCCCTCACCTGCGGCCGCCTCGCTTCTTCCGCTGTCCATCCAGGGGCGCAGGCAGCGGCTTCACCTGCTTCACAGGCGGCGGCTCCTGCCACTTGTCGAATTTGCGCTCGATCTCATCCTTCAGTTCGTAGCCCACCTGGGGAGGGCGAGGGGGAGGTCCTGCAGCTGCTCGCGTGGGCTGCCCACCCAGGCCTCCTCTGAGCGGACCCCCCGAGTATCCACGTGCCTTAGTTAAATCAGCACCTAATGCTGCCTCACCGCCACCCCCTTTCTTTTTCTTCTTGGTGTTGACTTAGCACCGCTAGACGCAGGACAGAGTTCACCTGTTGACTGTCTCTTTGACCCGGCCCCAACAAGAATGTCCACGCCACGGGGCAGGGGTCCTGTCTGTGCTACTCACAGCTGCACCCCCACACCCAGACCAGGGGTGAGATGGGGAGAGGGAAAGGAGAAGGGGACACGGAACACCTGAACGCTGTGCCAGGCCGGGTGCTTGGCAAACGACAGTTCACAAGACAGAAAACGTCTCCTCTCCCGAGTACATCTACCAAGGAAGACAGAAGGTAACTGAATAATTACTTGAATAACATCCCCTGTTGCAGCGGGGACAGATCCTGGTGTGGAAGGCAAATTACGCCCCCACCAACACACACATGCCCAAAGAGGCCCATGTTCTAATTCCCAGAATCACAGGGCAAAAGGGACGTGAAGAGGTTAAGAAGGATTTTAAGGATTGTGAGCTGGGAAGACTATCCTGGACCATCTGAGTAGGCTCAGTATAGCCACAGGGGCCCTTAAAATAGAAGAGGGGAACAAAAACAGAGGCCGAGATATGAAGACAGAAGCAGAGTCAGAGAGAGGTCTGAGGGTGCTATGTGGCTGGCTCCGCAGACAGAGGGAGGGCCACGAGCTAAGGGGTGCCAGTGACCCCTAGAAGCTGGAAAAGACAAGGGAATGGATTATCCCTTGAATCCCCCAGAAGGAACGCTCCAGGATGACACCCTGACTTCAGCCCAGTGAAACTCATTTTGGACTTCTGACCTACAGGACCACAGATAATAAACCTGTACTGTTTTTTGTTTTTGTTTTTAGATGGAGTCTCGCTATGTCACCCAAGCTGGAGTGCAATGATGCAATCTCAGTTCACTGCAACCTCCGTCTCCCAGGTTCAAGCAATTCTCCTGCCTCAGCCTCCTGAGTAACTGGGATTACAGGTGCGTGCCACCACACCCGGCTAATTTTGGTAGAGATGGGGTTTCACCATGTTGGCCAGGCTGGTCTCAAACTCCTGACCTTGTGACCCGCCCACCCTGGCCTCCCAAAGTGCTGGGATTACAGGCGTGAGCTACTGCACCCGGCCACACCTGCACTGTTTGAAGCCAGTAGGTTCATGCTACCTTCCAACAGCAGACCTAGGAAACCCCACTGGGGAAGGGGGTGCCTGACCCCAGGGAGGGTGGGCAGAAGCACTGCCTCCGCCTTGGTAGGACAGTGCTCGCTGGGGTGGGCTCCCTGCTGAGGGTCTCCCTGCAGAGACACCCCAGGCCCAGAGGAAAAGACGCCCGGCCGCCCCTCACCTTTCCCTCCTCACCTTCCCTTCTGTGCTCTCGTGGAAACTGTCCACACGGGCTGCCAGTGTGCACTTGGCGGCCACCAGCCGGGCCGCTTTCCGCCGCAGATCCTGGAGCAACGGAAAACGGGGGTGGAATCTGTGTGAGACAGACAGACAGAGGTAACAGCAAAGCAACCGCGCGCGCTCCTCCTCTGGCTCTACCTGGGGTCCTGGAAGGGGGCTTTCCACCCTTGGGCTCTAGAGGTGTGTGCTCTCAGCTCCTACTTCACAGGAAGAGGGGATGAGGGCAGGGCACAGAGCCATGTCCCAGCTGATAAGTGGCCATCAGGTAAGGATGACAGTAAGGCACGCTGACAACGAGGACGGTGGTGACTGTGGAGACGCCGGGGGGAGTGCACTCGGCCTGGATGCCAGCCCCATGCTAAGCACGCCCCTCGGATCATCTCATCAAATATTCAAATATTGGGCTGGTGTGATCATTGCACCCCCTTTTCAGATGTGGAAACCAAGGCTTCAAGTCATGTGGCCAGGGAGACAGCCAGCAGGTGATGGAGCCAGGGTTCCAATCCAAACTGCAAACAGAGCCCAGCTGTCAGCCACAGTGAAGCGATGGCCAGCCCTGGCCTCCCTTACAGGCCTGTGGTGTCTACGGCCTGTGCCTGGACCGATGTGAGATGGCCAAATGAAGAGGCAGAGGCCTGGGTGACAAGACATCAGGCTCCCTGGGGCAGGTTTAACCCATATGCCCAGGGCTGTGAGGCGGTGGCGATGGCAGGGGTGCAGTGAGGCAGCTGGAGCCCCGAGCCCCAGGCCCACCCGTCCTGGGTTCTATCGCCCACTCTCTCTCCTCCCAGGATGGGGTGACCTGCCAGCCTCCCTGGGTGTGTTCCAGTAGCAGTGCCTGACCTAAAGGGTCGCAGAAAAGACCACAAAAAAAACCCCACACAGGGCTGGGGGGTGGGGCCAGGAAGTGCCTGCCCAGCCTTGGCCATCAGTGCTATTGTTCTCCCCATCCCTGGGGGAGGCCAGGCAGGGCACAGGGCCGTGAGCCTGAGGTAACTCGCCACAGTCGGACAGAGCAGGGTCTGGACCCAGGCCTGTCTGTCCCAGAACCTGTCTTGTTTTTTTTTTTTTTTGAGACAGAGTCTCACTCTGTCACCCAGGCTGGAGGGCAGTGGTATGATCTTAGCTCACTGCAACCTCCACCTCCTGGGTTCAAGCGATTCTCCTGCCTCAGCCTCCCAAGTAGCTGGGATTATAAGTGTGTGCCACTATACCCAGCTAGTTTTTTGTATTTTTGGTAGAGATGGGGTTTCACCATGTTGGCCAGGCTGGTCTCGAACACCTGACCTCAGGTGATCTGCCCGCCTCGGCCTCCCAAAGTGCTGGGATGACAGGCACGAGCCACTGCGCCCCGCCAGGCTAGCGGGCCTGTGTGTGTGCTGTCAGGCGTCGATGCTGGGATGGTGATGTGTCCCGACTGCAGGGAGAGGACCCGGGAAGCTCCGAGGTTGGTGACCTCTCCTGCCCCTCCTGTGTGTCTCTCCCCATGGCTGATGTGCAGCCCTCAGTGGATTCTGTGAGTCTTTCTAGTGAATGGTCAAACCTGAGGGTGGTCTTCGGAGCAGTTGCACGCTAACCCGACGCTGCTTGTCGTGAGCTAGGCCTGAACTGTAAGTGCTTCATGTGCACTGAGCCCTCGTCCCAACTCATGAAGCAGGCGCTGTGCTCCCATTTGATAGGGGAGGAGACTGAGGCACAGGGCGCTCATGCCTCTTGCCCACAGTCACCTGACTGGTGGGTGCTGGAGCTGGTCTGCTGCAGAGCCCTGGCTCTCACGTCCCATGCCACCCTGTTCCCAGCTCCTGAGTGCTACCGTCAGCTGGGCCAGATGGTGGGTGGCTGCTCAGGCTGTCTGGGCACAGCGGAAGGCTCCAGGGGGGCCGGGGGAGGGGCCATGACGCAGTGGGCTCACCGGTGGCAGGGACTGCACGATGTCACTGTGGTAGATGTAGCCGGTGTGGGGCAGCACTGAGGTAGACGAGAAGCCCGACAGCGTCTTGCGCTGGGCCCCGAGCAGCATGATGTTGCAGGCGGGCATCTTGGAGAGGTTGGTCAGGCCGCCGGCCACACCTGCGGTGGGAGGGAGGGAGGAAGGGGGGGCGGTCAGAAGAAAGCAGAGAGGTGGGGGTGAGTAAATCTGCCTGGGGGCTCGACGTGTGCTGGGCACCTTTACATGAAGTTCTGGTTGGATTCCTCGATGGCCCTGCCAGGCGGGCGACCTGGCCCATTCCGCAAGGGGCAGATGCAAAGGAGGCTCAGAGAGGGAGGGCAGCTGGCCTGGGGGTGCAGGGAGGAGGCCCCCAACAGGAAGCTGACCACCACGTTTGTGCTAAGCCACACTAACGCCGTTCCAGGGATGGCTGTGTTTTGGAACCATTTTCACCAAACCAGGAGCTCCCTGACAACAGGGCCTGGGTGTGGTCATCTCTGGGTTTCCGGCACAGGGGAGGGAGAAGGAGCTGTGGGTGAGTGTTTTTCCCACAGACGAGGCTTTGCTGTGTGCCAGGCTGGCTGACCTCTGTGATGTCCAGGGAGACGGGGTGCTGAGGTCCAGGTGCCAAAGCCCCCATTCTACAGAAAAGGATGTAGCTTTCCCAAGGTCACAGTGTCAGCAGACCCCCGCTCCATGGGACCCAGCCCGGGGACTCACCCATGATCTTGGCGGCCGTGGATGCCCCGATAATGATGGACAGGTTGGGTGCGATGAAGGACATCCGGGACTCCACATACTCGTAGATGCGGTGCTTGGAGGCGTTCAGCTCCAGCGCCATGTCGCAGGCCTCCTCCAGCCGCTCCAGCTCCTCCTCCGACAGCTGCTGCCTGCAGGGGCGGGTGGGCCCAGCCTCCTGGATCTCCCGCCTGCCTGGTGTGCCCAGCCCCAGCCCTCTCGGTTCTGTGTGTGTGTGTGCATGTGTGTATGTGTGTGTGCGTGTGTACACCTGCGTGTGTAGCTCCAGCCTAATCCCCAATCCCATTAGGGCCCGGCGCCTCCCTCGAAGCGGACATACCCCTGGGTGGTGGAGGCGGTGACGCTGACGACCATGATGGTGGCATTGGTGAGGATCTGCTGCAGGTTCTCATTGTTCTTGCACTTGTCCAGGCTGTTGCCCAGCTCCTGGGGGCGAGCAGAGAAGATAGGGGAGGCTCGGGAACTCAGGAAGGCTCGAGAACCTCTCTTGCTCAGCACCTCCTCAGGTCTCTTCTTAGGGACACTGGGACAGTCAGGGTCTCTGCACTGGGGGCCTCTCCTGCCTCCACCGCCTGAAGCATCCACACCATTCCTGCCTCCACCACGTCAAGCATCCACACCATCTGCCCTGCTTTCGCTGACCTGGAAACGGAGCCCGGGCAGAGTGGCGTCTGGAAAGACTGTGGCCTCACAAGCCTCTGGCCTGCGTCAAGTCGGAGTGCAAATCCGCGGCCTCGCTTCCCTGCAGGGGCTTCCCCACCGCCATCCTAATCCTTTCCTGGACATGCGTGGGGACCTCCTCCTCTCCCCGCCCTCACGCACACCTGCCCCTCTTTTCCGAAACCCTTCCTTGGCTTTCTCCTAAGACCCAAAGGCTGGACGTGATCCGACCTCTTCCCCGTCCCCTCCTTCCCCGCCTCACTTCCTCCCCACTTGTTCCCTCTCCAGCTCTCTGCACTTAGACGTCTCTCTGCCCCAAATCTCCGTGTGCCTGCCCTGTGTCAACCTTCGGATGTCAACTCCAATGCCACCGGCTCCAACCACAGCGGGAGCAGCGTGGGTCAGGCCAGCGGGGAAGCCCTCTCGGGAGACTGGGGTTGGAGGGGAGCCCTGAGAAAGTCCTGTCCAGGCTCCGTCCCTCCCACGCTGGGCAGAGCAGACCACTGAGCCCTCGTCCACTCCTCTCCATCGTCTCCAGACCCTGAGGCCTCTGGGAGGGGGTCCGAGAGTGAGCCCCGCCTGCCCCTTCACGCCAGCAGAAGCACCCCACCTTCTCTGCGCTCACCTTGACCGTGCGGATGTAATCCAGTGCATTGGGGACCAAGGACTCCAGTTCAGGGAATCTCTTTGAGTACTTATCCCGGATGAACTTATGGATGATGTCTAGGGTAAACGGGACAGGAGGTTGTCGGGTGAGATGGAAGGTAGACTCTGCTGGTTGGCCCTAACACCCATGTCCCCTTCTTCCTTTAGTAACTGAAGCCCTGGCTTGTGGCCTGGCACACGGGCACCAGCATACAGCCTTTCTCAGCCGTCCTTACCGCTAGGTGTGACCAGGGGAATTAGTTCTGGTCTGTAAAACGTGAGCTGCAGTGACATGTTCTTAAAGAAAAGAAGCGCCTTGCTGGTGGGAATGCGGAGGTGATGGCTGGAGGTGGGGCAGTCACCTCGCACCGTGAGGCAGGTGGCCGACCAACAGGATGGAAAGAGCCGGGGCCCTACAGGCAGCCAAGCGGCCACACCATCCCCGAGTGCTCCTCAGACTCATACGCGAGAGAACGCACTTCCTTCTTATTTCAGCCACTCTGTGACAGCAGGTCAACCTCGATCTGAGCTTGGGCTTAGGGGCAGGACCCTGGGAAAGGCCAGTGGGGAAGGGAGAGGGGGCGTGAGGGACGTCACACGGGGCTGTCTCCGCCTGCCCCCCAGCACTCACTCAGCTCGTTTTCGATCTCCACGGTCAGGTTGTTGGCATCCACGATGACGCGGTATTCAGGCGCGGCCTCCACTGGTCCCATCACTGTGAGGACACGGAGGCATGGGTGTGAGTATCTAAATCCCTACCCCCTCTCGGGTCCCGCAGCTGGAGGAGGCGGAGGATGAAGTTGGGAGGGGTCAGGAAGGAGGGGCTGAAGAGTAAACCAGGGACAGGCTGATGTCTGCAGACATCCCTGAACTTGTGTTCCTGCCTTCAATCCCTCTCCCTCCACACCAGTCTAGACTTGACCCCATCTACCCCAGAACTGACCGTGTGAAACCTCCTACGGCTCCCCACAGCCCCAAGGCTAATGACCGAGTCCTCAGACTGACATTCAGGGCCTCCCCAACTCCGGAAGCTCTGCAGGGACCAGTGCTGTGCCTGCGTTGGCTGTACCCACAGCCGAGTACCCAGGACAGCACCTGGCACACAGGGAGTTCCCCCGTTCCTGTTTGCTGACTCAGCAGCTCTGCAGTCTGGCCTCCCGCCCTTCCCGCCCCATCCTCTCACCACACCTCATTTTATTCCACTCCAGCCATAAAGGAGTGATCACAGTGCCCCAGACACCCACTCCTCCTAGCCTTTTTTTTTTTTTTTGAGACATAATTTCGCTCTGGTTGCCCAGGCTAGAGTATAGTGGCATGATCTCAGCTCACTGCAACCTCCGCCTCCTGGGTTCAAGCGATTCTCCTGCCTCAGCCTCCTGAGTAGCTGGGATTACAGGCATGTGCCACCACGCCCGGCTAATTTTTTTTGTTTGTTTGTATTTTTAGTAGAGACGGGGTTTCACCATGTTGGGCAGGCTGGTCTCGAACTCCCGACCTCAGGTGATCCATCTGCCTTGACCACCCAAAGTGCTGGGATGACAGGCGTGAGCCACCGCGCCAGACCCCTCCTGGCCTCTGCATGTGCTGCTCCCTCTCCCCAGAGCATCCCTTACCCCACGTCTGTTTCTGGAAAACGCTTCTTTGTGCTTTAGTAATAAGAGGTCAGGCACAGTGGCTCATACCTGTAATCCCAGCACTTTGGGAGGCTGAGGCAGGAGAACTGCTTGAGCCCAGGAGTTGGAGAGCAACCTGGGCGACATAGGGAGACCCCATCTCTACACATAATTAAAGAAAAAAAATTAGCCAGGCATGGTGGTGTACACCTGTGGTCCCAGCTGCCTGGGAGGCTGAGGCAGGAACGCCTGAGCCCACAAGGTCAAGGCTGCAGTGAGCTGGGATCGTGCCACTGCATTCTGGCCTGGGTGACAGAGTGAGACCCTGTCTCAAAAAACAAACAAACAAAAAGATGTTGTGTTTAAAAGTCATGCAAATACTAACTGCCTGATGTCACAGCCAGTAGAAGGCAGAGCTCAGATCTGACACCAGGCAGGGCGGCGTCAGAGTCTGCACTCCTAACCCTGATGCTCAAATGGCTCTTTAAGTCCTTAAGACTCAGGCAGCGACTCAGAATCCTTCCCTCCCTTTCTGGAAGGATCAGACGCCTCCTCTGTGTACCCGCAGCACTTGTGCACCTCCAGTAAACAGGGACTGCCACAGCTTGTGAGATGTTTCACCTCTGCCTCCTCAACCAGACACCGGGTGTGACGGGGTCTGACTCCATCCCTGAGCCTGGCCTGACATCAGGAAATGTCACTTTCTGTGTCCCATAACCCTCTGGAGGGAGAAATTCCTTGGCCTGGCATCTGGAACTCTGCAGGATTCTCTCTCCGGATATCTGAGGCCCCGGGCCTGCCGCTGTCTTTCCCTGGGCCCCCTTCTCCCTTTCTTTGCCTGGCACATGCATTCATGCTCTACAGTCCAATTCAGCTATCGATTCTTCCTGACACCTGGGGCAGGGTCAGCCAGTCCCTCCTGTGGCTCCGGTGTCCCCAGCTTGGTACCACCACTGATAGCTGTCTGGAACCTGGCCTGCCTCTTCCACTAGACCTTGAGTACTTTGAGAGCAAAGACCTGGGCGATTCAACTGGGTGCCCAGGTAAACGTTAAAGAAAGCAAGCAGTGAGTCTCCCGAAACTCTGCCCTCTCACTACACTTCTTTCCCCAGAAACCTCCTATGGCTTCCTGTCATCAACAAATTCCATTCAAGAAGAATGGGAAGGCTGGGCGTAGTGGCTCATGCCTGTAATCCCAGCACTTTGGGAGGCCGAGGTGGGCGGATTACTTGAGGTCAGGAGTTCGAGACTAGCCTGGTCAACATGGTGAAACCCCATCTCTACTAAAAAATACAAAATAGCCAGGCATGGTGTTGCATACCTGTAATCCCAGCTATACATAAGGCTGAGGGAGGAGAATCGCTTGAACCCGGGAGGTGGAGGTTGCAATGAGCCAAGAACACATCACTGCACTCCAGCCTGGGCGACAGAGGGAGACTCTATCTCAAGGAAAAAAAAAAAAGAATAGGAATGGTAACAGGACTGCCCTCTTAAGAGTGAGTCTGAGCACTCATGAGATAAGCTAGTGTTCTCTCAATTTGGGCATGAGAAAAGGTTTTAGGTTATTTTTTTTTTTTTTGAGACGGAGTCTTGCTCTGTCGCCCAGGCTGGAGTGCAGTGGCACGATCTCGGCTCACTGCAAGCTCCGCCTCCCAGGTTCACGCCATTCTCCCGCCTCAGCCTCCTGAGTAGCTGGGACTACAGGCACCCGCCACCACGCCTGGCTAATTTTTTGTATTTTTAGTAGAGACGGGGTGTCACCGTGTTAGCCAGGATGGTCTCGATCTCCTGAACTCATGATCCACCTGCCTCCGCCTCCCAAAGTGCTGGGATTACAGGCGTGAGCCACGGCGCCCGGCCTTAGGTGGTTCCTAAATAATTATATATCTATTTTTATACAGTGACTTTGTCTTTGCCAAATGATACCAGTTTTCCATTCATGGTAGCAATTTGCTTCCTTCTCAGATAAATTTAAGAAAAAAAGTCCTAGACTCAAAGAATATGTTAAGCAAATAATAGGATAAGCGGCTTATAGATGTGGCAAAAACCCTGTAACCGGTCATGTGAATCAGTGAAGTCTGGGAAACCTCAAGCTGAGTCCTATCATGATCAGTAAGCTCAGCACACAGGAAGGACTTAAGAAGCATGAGCTTTACAATGCAATATATATTTAGTGGAAAAGGGAACGGGTTGGGGTGAAACAAAAAAAAAAGAAGGCTCTGGAAAAGGCTGAGAAGGAGATATACCCAGCCACAAGCAGCCAGGGAGCCAGGGGGCCTGGCAGGAGAGACAGGAGATGGGGAGGGGCACAGAGTGGGAGGAAGCACCTTCTGAAGCTTTGGCTTGCTTGCTGATATACTCCTCAATCTTCATCATAATCTCAGCAAACTGTAGGAAAGGAGAAGACAGTCAGAATCCAGCACTCTTCAAAAAGAAGCCTGTATCACCCCCTTCTGGGAGATTCTGTCTAGAGCCCCCTGCTAGGAACACCTCTTGTCCTCTTACCATCTTACTATCCCATAGCTTGGCGATGGTCTTGACTGAATCCCCGGAAAGATCCAGCTGTGTCTCCTCCTGCACATCCTCGATCGCTGGCTCCTCTTCTTCCTCCCCATAGCTTCCTCCTTCCTCCTCTTCTGCTGCCTCTTCGAGATCAGCTAAGAGCTCATCTGCCAGAGACATCCCGAGGCCTGGGGAGGGACAGCAGCGTTCCCTAAAAACTTGCCCCGACAAAGTCCCTCCTTATTACTGAGCGATGATTCTCCCCCAGAAGACCCTGGTCCTTCTTTATCAACCCCACTAGCATGCAGGCTCCACGACAACAGGTGCTTTAGTTTGTTTTGTTCACTGGCGAGTCTCCAGCTCCGACCTGTGCAAGACGCAGCACACCCCTATGACCGCCACCTTGCTAAGACTTACTGGAACCAAGTGGTGTAGATTCCAAATGCATTTGCAAACTTTCTTATTCCTTTCTTGCCTTTAGCCTTGAAAACATACTTTGAAATTCTTTGTTTCCCTCCTTTCCCACTAGATACTGTCTTGCACTGCTGGCTTATCTATGTGCTTACTTAGAAGTTCCAGGGGCTAATCTTTATTTATTTATTTTTTAAAGATGGAGTCTGGCTCTGACACCCAGGTTGGAGTGCAGTGGCGCAGTCTTGGCTCACTTGCAACCTCCACCTCCTGGGTTCAAGCGATTCTCCTGCCTCAGCCTCCTGAGTAGCTGGGACTACAGGCACCTGCCACCATGCCCAGCTAATTTTTTTTTTTTTTTTTTGTAGAGTCAAGGTTTCACTATGTAAGCCAGGCTGGTCTTGAACTCTTGACCTCAAGTGAGCGACCCACCTTGGCCTCCCAAACTGTTGGGATTACAGGCGTAAGCCACCGCGCCTCGCCGCAGGGGCTAATCTTGAAACAAACTAGGTATGGAAACCCAGCTGCAAAACTCCAGAGATCACCTCAAGGCGATCAATCTACAACGTGGCCATTGTTGACTTGACACCAGCCCATGCTCCAGGTGGCCCGTGACTCAAGACAGCCTTCGGAGCAAGACACACATACCTTGTACCCAGCACCACTCCTGTATGCCTCCCATTCAAAGTTCCCCTTTTTAAGCCCCTCTCCCCAGCCTAAAGCTTGAAATGGTCTTCTAAAGACATTAGCTTGGCCATTTCTCATCTGCGAGCATTTGATCAGTAAAGCTGCTTTACTTTCACCACCCCCCACTTCCTCTGCCTCTGAGTAGCAGAAACTTGAGTTGGTTACATTATCGGTCTCTTCCCGCCTCCAGGTCTTTGTACAGGAGTCCCTTGTAACTAAAGTGGCCCTTTCCTTCACTTTGTTTTTTCTTTTCTTTTCTTTTTTTTGAGACCATGTCTTGCTCTGTCACCTAGGCTGCAGTGCAGTGGCGCCATCATAGCTCACGGCAGCCTCGATCACCTGGGCTCAAGCGATTCTCCCGCCTCAGCCTCCCGATAGCTGAGATGACAGGCACGCACCAGCACGCCCGGCTAATTTTTAAATTTTTCTGTAGAGACAGGGTCTCACTGTGTTGCTCAGGCTGGTCTCAAACTCCTGGGCTCAAGCGATCCTTTCGCCTGGGCCACCCAAAGTGCTGGGATTACAGGAGTGAGCCATGGCGTCTGGCTCTCCTCACTTCTTAGTAGCCCAGCATCTCCTCAGCCTTCAGCTCTCACGTTCCACCTCCCTGACCCACACGCCCCACTCTAGACTACAGGAGGTTGCTTTGTGATAACGTGTCCCGCACGCTCTGCGTGTCTACAGTAAGGCACTTCACACATTTGTGATTAATGAAGTAATTATTTGATAAAGCCTGTCTGCCAGGCATCAACCAAAGCTCTAAGAGGGTAGCGAACAATTTTTGCTCCTTCCACATCCCCAGGGCCACACCATGGTAGGCGCATATTAAGACTTTTGGGTAAACAGGCTGTAAAAGGCCGGGAGCGGTGGCTCATGCCTGTAATCCCAGCACTTTGGGAGGCCCAGGCGGGTGGATCATCTGAGGTCAGGAGTTGGAGACCAGCCTGGCCAACATAGTGAAACCCCGTCTCTACTAAAAATACAAAAAACTAGCCGGGCGTGGTGGTGCGCGCCTGTAATCCCAGCTACTCGGGAGGCTGAGGCAGGAGAATCGCTTGAATCCGGGAGGCGGAGGTTGCAGTGAACCGAGATCGCGCCACTGCACTCCAGCCTGGGCAACAAGAGCGAAACTCCGTCTCAGACAAAACAAACAAACAACTGGCCAGGCGCGGTGGATCATGCCTGTAATCACAGCACTTTGGGAGGCCGAGGCGGGCGGATCACGAGATCAGGAGTTCGAGACCAGCCTGACCAACATGGGGAAACCCCGTCTCTACTAAAAATACAAAAATTAGTCAGGGGTGGTGGCGGGCGCCTGTAATCCCAGCTACTCTGGAGGCTGAGGCAGAAGAATCGTTTGAACCCGGGAGACGGAGGTTGCAATGAGCCGAGATCGCGCCACTGCTCTCCAACCTGGGCAACAGAACGAGACTCCGTCTCAAAACAAACAAACAACAAAAAAACAAAAACCAAGCTGTAAAGACCCGCCTTTTTCCTCACACACTTCTTCTCCCAGACCCAGGAGCCCAGCCTCCCGCTCCCCGTGGTCTCCATCACACTCACCTCTCCTCTCCGCGCACCACTGTTTCTAGCGTTAGTCGCTCACCGATGACGTCTCACTCTCGCGCCGTTATAGAGGCAAAGCTACTCTCTGATTGGTCCCCGCTCGCGATGTTCCTGGCCGCATTTGAAACAACAACTTTATTAGCACCTGGCACTAGGCGGAGAGAGGCGGTAAGCCGCGAGGAGGAAAGGGACTCACGTCCCGCTGTGGACCGATCCTGCTAAGCAGAGAATCGCTGTGGCCGGACGACGGGGCGTCGAGACAAGAAGAAAGACGTTGGCAACTCAGAGGACTGGTTGCGGCGTTAGACAAGAAAGCAAGGCCTTTAAGCAGGGATTCGGGGTGGACGTGGGGGTGGGCCGAAGCGAAGCCGGAAACAGGAAACTACAACTCCCACAAGGCCTAGGGCCACGTCCCGCCGTCCTCGGCTGCTGAGCCTGATGGGACAAGTAGTTTTGCGAACGGCTTAACCTACAGATTGAAGAGGTCGGAAGCTCTGAGGCCCGGGGCTTCCGGAGGTCGCGGAGATGGAATTGGAGCAGAGAGAAGGGTATGTGGCTGAGCCCTTGTGAAAAAGTGCGAATCCCAGAAAACAGTGCAGCTGCATTGTGTGCAACCATATGAGCTTTTACGCTGAGGTCTGATGGGGGTTGTAGTTCATGCAACTGCTTTACCTTAGAACCCTTTTATGGACTGGGGTCATCCTGAGGGAGGAGAAGGTTAGGGGTTTGGACTGCTGGATCTGACAGACTAGGAGGTTGGAAGCCAGGACTCTTGCGTCTGGTTGAGGGTTGGGGCTTGGACTCCCTGGGTCCTTGGAGAGAAAAAGTCTGGAGGTCTGGACTCTTGCATCCTGGGAGGAGGGGGTCAGGGCTTGAACCCTGTGGGTGCTGCGAAGGGTGGGTTGCGGACTTGGACTTCTGGGTCTGAGGGAGGAGGGCTGGGAGCTGGATTCTACGGTCTGAGGGAGGAGGGGCTGGGGGCCTGGATTCTAGGATCTCAGGGAGGAGGGGTTGGGGTCTGGGCTCCTGGTTCAGTGGGAGAAGGGGCTGGGGGTCCAGGATCCAGGGCCCCTGAGCCTTTCCCTGCCTCTCAGGACCATGGCAGCCGTGG
This sequence comes from Homo sapiens, assembly GCF_000001405.40. Taxonomy (NCBI): domain Eukaryota; kingdom Metazoa; phylum Chordata; class Mammalia; order Primates; family Hominidae; genus Homo; species Homo sapiens. The sequence goes on along the minus strand of NT_187693.1, from coordinate 89,176 downwards.
GCTTTGAGGAGTTCTCAGCGCCGCCAGGCTCAGAGTTGGCGTTGCCTCCCCTATTTGGTGGCCACATCCTGGAGAGCGAGCTGGAGACGGAAGTGGAGTTTGTGTCAGGTGGTCTGGGCGGCTCAGGGCTCCGGGAGCGAGATGAAGAGGAAGAGGCAGCCCGGGGTCGGCGGCGGCGCCAGCGGGAATTAAATCGCAGAAAGTACCAGGCACTAGGTCGGCGCTGCCGGGAGATCGAGCAGGTAGGTGAGTGCGGATCCCCCGGTTTTGGGGTCCCCTGGCCTAAACTACCGCCCCCCGCAATCTCTGCCTTTCCACATGCCCAGCCTTTCTTGGCTTGCTGATATATTCAGTCATTTAGCTTATATATTCAGTCATTTAGCATGCATTATGTGTCTGGCCCTGTGCCGGGCCCCTGGAAGGGCCATCTCCCGTGGAGCTTCCCTGACAACGCAGATGGGTTCTCTGATGTCTCCCGGGGGCCTCTCAATGCGTGGCACCGCTCACAGGTGAAAGCCCAAGCTCTTCACATCTCCCATACCCCTGCCAGGATTCACTCCTCTCGACTCATTCATTCCGCCTCTTGAGTGTCTCTGGACCCTTCTCCTCTCCTCCATCCCTATGGCTGCCATTGCAAACTCCAGCTGTCTGGGCTGAATGACTGCAATAGCCTCCTTGCTGAGAATAAGGATGGGCTGGGCATGGTGGCTCACGCTTGTAATCCTAGCACTGGGAGGCTGAGGCAGGCGGATCACCTGAGGTTAGGAGTTCGAGACCAGCCTGGCCAACATGGTGAAACCCCATCTCTACTAAAATACAAAAAAATTAGCCAGGTGTGGTGGTGCGCACCTGTAGTCGCAGCTACTAGGGAGGCTGAGGCATGAGAATTGCTTGAACCCGGAAGGCGGAGGTTGCAGTGAGCCAAGATCATGCTGCTGTACTCCAGCCTGGGTGACAGAGTGAGACTCCGTCTCAAAATCAATCAATCAATCAATGAGGATTAAACAGCAGGCAGGGCTCAGATCTTGGCAGGCCAGGAACACCAGGACAAGAAGTCTGGATATTTTTTTTTCCTTGAGAGTGAAGGAGCCACTGAAGGGTTTCAAATGGGGGAGGAACAGCATCAGGTCTGGATGCCTGAAACTCTGAAGACAGTTGTATTAGTCTGCTTGGACTCCCAGAACTTATCACAAATAGGGTCCCTCAAGCACAGAAATTCCTGTCTGACAGTTCTGGAGGCTAGACATCCAAGGCAAGGTGTCGACAGGGTTGTGAGAATCTTCCAGGCCTCTCCCCTGGCTTCTGGAGGTTTCTGGCAGTCATTGGCACGTACAAACATCACCCTGATCTCCGCCTTCATCTTCACATTGCTGCTCCCTGTGTGTGTGTCTGTGTCCCAATTTACCCTTTTTATAAGGACTCCAGTCATACTGGATTAGGGCCCACCCACTGGCTTCATTTGAACTTGATTACTTTTGTAACGACACTGTCTCCATATAAGGTGATCCTGAGGTACTGGGGGTTAAAGCCTCAACACCCTCTTTTGGGGGAAATAATTCAACTTTTTTTTTTTTTTTTTTTTTTTTTTTGAGGTGGAGTCTCGCTCTTGTCTCCCAGGCTGGAGTGCAATGGCACCATCTCAGCTCACTGTAACCTCCACCTCCTGGGTTCAAGTGATTCTCCTGACTCAGCCTCCCTAGTAGCTGGGATTACAGGCGCCCGCCACCACACCCAGCTAATTTTTCTATTTTTAGTAGAGACAGGGTTTCACCATGTTGGTCAGGCTGGTCTCAAACTCCTGACCTCAGGTGATCTGCCCACCTCAGCCTCCCAAGGTGCTGGGATTACAGGCTTGAGCCACCACGCCTGGCCTTCAACTCTTTTTCTCTTTCTTGAGACAGGTTCTCACTTTGTCACCAAAGCTGGAGTGCAGTGGCGCAATCTCAGCTCATTGCAGCCTCAGTCTCCCAGGTTCAAGCAGTCCTCCTGCCTCAGCCCCCAAAATAGCTGGGACTACAGGCACACACCACCACACCTGGCTAATTTTTGTACTTTTTGTAGAGATGGGGTTTTGCCATGTTGCCCAGGCTGGTCTTGAACTCCTGACCTCAAGTGATCCACTCGCCTTGACCTCCCAAAATGCTAGGATTACAGGCATGAGCCACCACATCTGGCCTCAATTCTTAATGACAGTATTGGGGAGTTCTGTAAGGAGGAAGGCTAGAGGCCAGGGGCATATTCCAAACCCTGTTTAACAGACAGACACCAAGGCCCAAACGGACTCAACTGGAGCCTCTGCCATTAATCCACCCCCAGGAATAGATTACTACTATTTTACAAGTATAGAAAATCAAGGCTCAGAGAGGTTAAGTAATGCACCCAAGCTCAGAGCTCAGCAGTGGCAGATCTGAGATTTTTTTTTTTTTTTGAGACAGGGTCTTTCTCTGTTGCCCAGGCTGGAGTGCAGTGGCATGACTGTGGCTCACTGCAGCCCCAACATCCTGGACTCTAGCAATCTCAGCCTCCGAAGGAGCTGGGACTACAGCCACCAAGCCCAGCTAATTTTTTTGGTTAGTTTTTGAGTGTTGGGGTCTCACTCTGTTGCCCAGGCTGGTGTCGAACTCCTGGCCTCTCAAAGTGCTGGGATTATAGGCATGAGCCACTGTGCCAAGCCAGAGCCAAAACTTGAACTCTTTTTTTTTAGATGGATTTTCGCTCTTGTTGTCCAGGCTGGAGTGCAATGCTGCAATCTCAGCTCACTGCAACCTCCGCCTCCTGGGTTCAAGCGATTCTCCTGCCTCAGCCTCCCGAGTAGCTGGGATTACAGGCATGCGCCACTACACCTGGCTAATTTTGTATTTTTAGTAGAGACAGGGTTTCACCACGTTAGGCTGGTCTCAAACTCCTGACCTCAGGTGATCCGCTCGCCTTGGCCTCTGAAAGTGCTGGGATTACAAGCGTGAGCCACCGTGCCTGGCACTTTTTTTTTTTTTTTTCTTTTGAGACAGAGTCTTACTCTGTCACCCAGGCTGGAGGGCAGTGGTGTGATCTCGGCTCACTGCAACCTCCAGCTCCTGGGTTCAAGCGATTCTCCTGCCTCAGCCTCCTGAGAAACTGGGATTACAGGCATGCGCCACCATACCCAGCTAATTTTTGTATTTTTCTTTTTTTTTTTTTTTTTTTAGTAGAGATGAGGTCTCATCATGTTGGCCGGGCTGGTCTGGAACTCCCGACCTCAAACTCTTGAGTAGCTGAGATTACAGGCATGTGCCACAACATCCGGCCAATTTTTGTATCTTTAGTAGAGACGGGGTTTCACCATGTTGGCCAGGCTGGTCTTGAACTCCTGACCTCAAGTGATCTGCCCGCCCCGGCCTCCCAAAGTGCTGGGATTACAGGCGTGAGCCACTGTGCCCCGCCCGGAACTCAGGTCTTTCTGACCCAGGAGCAGCACCTGCTTCAGCCACTGTCTTTGGGTCCCTGTTTGGCTGAGTCACATCTCTCCCTCCATGTCTAGGCTGGAGTCCTCAGAAGCTGCGTGCAGGGCTGTCCCCTCAGCCTGGCATACTTTCCTCCTGTCACCCCTTTGTCTCCTCCTTATTCAAGTCTGGGCCCACGGGCCTTCTCTGCAGGTCGTAACTAAAGTCGCACCTCCTGCCCTAACCTCCAGCATGTCTGACTCTTTGGTATTCACCAAGCACTTCTCACTTTGCAAAGTCATTGATTCTGCAAATGTTCATGGAGGATGTACTACGTGCCAGGCTCTGGTTAAGGCACGGGATGTAGAAACAAGTTGCTGTCGTTTTTCAGCTCATGCTCTGGCTGGAGAGGCGGTCAGTCAGCAGAATAAGCAAAGAGGCGGAGAGGCTGCGTCCTGCCTCCTCAGATGAGCACTAGGAGGAAATAAAGCCAGGAGTGAATGGCCGGGTGGGGTTCTGGCATGGGAAGGGGGGTCGGGTGTGTTGCAATTTTTTTTTTTGAAACAGAACCTCGCTCTGTTGCCCAGGCTGGAGTGCAGTGGGGTGATCTCAACTCACTTCACCCCTCCACCTCCCAGGTTCGTGCGACTATCCTGCAGGCACCTGCCACCACGCCCAGCTAATTTTTTGTATTTTTAGTAGAGATGGGGTTTCATCATGTTGGCCAGGCTGGTCTCGAACTCCTGACCTCAGGGGACCTACTCGCCTCGGCCTCCCAAAGTGCTGGGATTACAGGCGTGAGCCACCGCACCTGGCCTGGTGTGTTTCGACTTAATGGGAGGTTCAGGCTCTCTGAGCAGGTAACAGTTGACCTAAGACTTGGAGTGGGGAGTAAGTTGTGCGGATGACTGGGGAGAGGGTCCAGGTAGAGGAACAGCACGCGGAAGGCCCCCACTGGAGGGCACTCAGGACTGTGGCATGGTGAGAGGGGAGCCGGAGGGATGGGAAGGTGGAAGGACCTCAGGCCACGGGATGGTCTTTGGCCAGTCTCCAGAGTTTAGTGCGTGCCCCATTAAACATCCGTTAAACAAATGAACGGGAGCCGTGGGATCCAGCTGATGGGCGTTTCCCACCCCATAGGTGAACGAGCGGGTCCTGAACAGGCTCCATCAGGTGCAGAGGATAACTCGGAGGCTGCAGCAGGAACGGAGGTAACCCCTTCTCCGTCCCCTCTGGGCCTGTGAGCCTCAGCTCCCAAATGCTCCCAGCCCCTCTGTCTCTCCCACTTCCACATCCACCCAACCCTCACAAGCCACAAGGAGAAGCCGGAGATGAGGGCCGGGGGCTGAGGCAAACAAGGAGGAAGAGTGGGATTCGGTGTTGGAGGAGAGGGCTGAGCACTGGGACTGAGGGAGGGCCGGGTGGAGAGGGCTGAGCACTGGGACTGAGGGAGGGCCGGGTGGAAGGGGCTGTGCGCTGGGACTGAGGGAGGGCCGGGTGGAGAGGGCTGAGCACTGGGACTGAGGGAGGGCCGGGTGGAGGGCCTCCTCCCCCTGAAGGGAGGGAACAGCAGGATGGAAGGCACACGAGCACAGACCTGACTGCAAGTATTTTCTTTTTTTTTTGCTGTGTGACTCTAAGCAAGCAGTGTCCCTTCTCTGAGCTGTTTCCTATCAACTAAGGGCAGCACCAATATCATGAGGCTGCGGCAGGGTTGTCGGAGCTTGCAGGTGGTGAGCTGAGCTCAGAGCTTCCCACTGTGTGTCTCCACAGAACCTGCCCAGGTGGCTGCTGCCCCTGCCACTCGCAGTGTCCCTGTACCAGCAAAACTGGAGCAAGTTTTGTAGGAATGGCTCCACGTTGCTGAGTCAACCACAGTTCTCATCTCAGTCCTTGGCTCAGGCTCGGCACAGTGGCCCAGGGCTATGTGCTCTTCCCTGGAGCCCATTCTTGCCATCCTGGGCACCCAGCAACCTGGGGTCTCCTGCCTTTCCGGCTGTTCCTTCTTGGCTGCCTTTGCTAGTTCATCCTCCCTCCCCAAAGCTGAAACCTGCGGCTCCCAGGGTTCCTCTGTCCGTACCTGTGCTGTCCAGCACGGTAGCCGCTGGCCACAGGTGAGATTTTCACTTAAGTTGAAATAGGCCGGGCGCAGTGGCTCATCATGCCTGTAATCCCAGCACTTTGGGAGGCCGAGGCAGGCGGATCACGAGGTCAGGAGATCGGGACCATCCTGGCTAACACGGTGAAACTCCGTCTCTACTAAAAATACAAAAAAATTAGCCGGGTGTAGTGGCAGGCGCCTGTAGTCCCAGCTACTCGGGAGGCTGAGGCAGGAGAATCGCTGGTACCAGGGAGGTGGAGGTTGTGGTGAGCCAAATTCACGCCACTGCACTCCAGCCTGGGTGACAGAGTGAGATTCCGTCGCAAAACAACAACAACAAACCTGCCCAGGTGCTGGTGCAGAGGAGGCATTCCATCAATTGAACCTTAAGGAACTCTGGAGGCAGGGGCTGGGGAAAAAAGAGAAGGGGGTGTTTATAAGAGGTGAGGTCATTAGGAGGAGCGTTCTGTACTCCCCTCTCTTCAGTTATCAATAAAAATTATAACTCACATATGAATGTTTACTAAGTGCTGACATCACATTAAGTACAGAAATCGTCTGGTGTCACTACTTCAGTGTCACCGCTGCAACATCCAGCCGAGGGTGTCATGTCGTTTGCAGAGCAGGAAACTCAGCCTCAGAATGGTTGCCTTGTCTTGCTCGAGGTCTCAAGGCTGGTCAAGGGCATGGCTCCCAGGCCTCCAGTGCCAGAGCTCAGGACCGTCTGGCTCCAGGACAGCTTTGGCGTTGAGTGGAGTGGGAGCTGAGCTCTATCCTGTGGCCCTTTTCCCCAGCCGCTAGGAGATAAGTTATTCCGTTGGTGGCTTCTCCCCCTGAGCAGGTTCCTCATGAGAGTGCTGGACTCCTACGGGGATGACTACCGGGCCAGCCAGTTCACCATTGTGCTGGAGGTGAGTGTTGGGCCTCCAGGAGGGTCAGGAACTGGGAGCTCAGGACCCACCCATCACCTACCTCCCCCTCCTGCCTGCCAGGATGAGGGCAGCCAGGGCACGGATGCCCCCACCCCAGGCAATGCGGAGAATGAGCCTCCAGAGAAAGAGACACTGTCCCCGCCCAGAAGGACTCCTGCACCCCCAGAACCCGGCAGCCCAGCCCCCGGTGAGGGGCCCAGTGGGCGGAAGAGGCGGCGAGTGCCACGGGATGGACGCCGAGCAGGAAATGCGCTGACTCCAGAGCTGGCCCCGGTGCAGGTGAGGAAGGCGGGAACTCAAGGGGAGGGACTGGGGCTCCAGAGCCGGCGCCAGTGCAGGTAAGGAGGGGGGACTCAAGGGGAGGGGCCAGGGCTGGGGCTGAGTTAGGTTCAGGGCTCTTGGGTTTTGGTTCTGCACCCCGAGGGGCCCAGGGCTGGGGAAAGTTGGAGAAGGGAGGTGAACCAGGACATGTTGGAGGCCTAGGATCAGGCAGGGAAGTAGTTGGAAAAAGTGGGGTAAAGGCTTGGGTAAAAAGGAGGCAAAGTTGGAAAGGGAAAGAGGAAGACCTGGAGAAGGAAAAATAGCTAGAGAAGGCTGGGAGTAGAGGAGAAGGAAGGATCAGAGAAGACGGAGTGGAAGGGAAGGCCCAGTGTGGGGAGGAAAGCTGGAAGAACATCTGGACCCAGGAACACTGGGATTGCCTCTGAGGTGTAAGGAGGAAGGTGACTGGCCTGGGCAGACAAGAACTGTGAGGCTGGCCAGGTGCAGTGGCTCATGCCTGTAATCCCGGCACTTTGGGAGGCCTAGGTGGGAGGATCACTTGAGGCCAGGAGTCTGAGACCTGCCTGAGCAACATACTGAGACCCCATCTCTACCAAAAAGAAAAAACATGTTAGGCTTGGTTGGCAAGTGCCTGTAGTCCCAGCTACTTGGGAAGCTGAGGTGGGAGGATCACTTGAGCCTGGGAGGCAGAGGCTGCAGTGAACTATGATGGCACCACTGCACTCCAGCCTGGGCAACAGAGTGAGACCCTGTCTCTTTAAAAAGCAAAACAAAATGAAAACAAAAATGGTGAAGCTGATGGGATTTTCTAGATTCCCAGGCCTGTTAACACCTTGTTCCTTATCTCCTGCAGATTAAGGTTGAGGAAGACTTTGGCTTTGAAGCAGATGAGGCCCTGGATTCCAGTTGGGTTTCTCGGGGTCCAGACAAACTGCTGCCCTACCCGACCCTGGCCAGCCCAGCCTCTGACTGACGCATGCCCAATAAACTGACCCCACACTCACCCCGGCCACCGTCTACTTGTTCCCACCTCTGATCACACACATGCTCACGTTCGGGGGTTGGTTTTCACATTTTTATTGGGAGCCGTGGGAGGGGCCGCCTCTGTCAGTGGAGGTGCTCACAGTTTCTTCAGCCACTCCAGGCTGGGGCCCTGAGGGTCCTGGGGGTGGCTGGGCACGTCGGGCATGTTCCCATCATCACGGACGGGCACTGTGGGGCAGGAGGTGGGCCACTGAGACCAGCACGTCTCCAGGGCCCTGGAGAGAAGAGCTGGTCTGTCGCTTTATGTTCAGAGAGGGAAGGGGGACCCCAGGGGTGAGAGGGGAAGGGTCAGAGAATCAGTGATGCAGAAAGAGGCGGGAAATACAGAGACTGAGAGACACGGAAAACCAGAGAGATAGCGAGGGAGAGATCCCGCGCACTAGAGAGCTAGGGTCAAAAGAGATGGGGAAACAGGACAGAAACCTGAGAAGATGGAGACCAAGAAACCACCACAGATGGGAACCCAGAGAGAGACAGAAATCTGGAAAGGTAATAGAAACTCGAAGCACAGGCCAGGCGCGGTGGCTCACACCTGTAATCCCAGCACTTTGGGAGGCCGAGGTGAGTGGATCACAAGGTCAGGAGATCGAGACAATCCTGGCTAACACGGTGAAACCCCGCCTCTACTAAAAAAATACGAAAAAGTTTGCGTGTCGTGGTGGCGGGCACCTGTAGTCCCAGCTACTCGGGAGGCTGAGCTTGCAGTGAGCTGAGATCGCGCCACTGCACTCCAGCCTTGGCGACAGAGCGAGACTCTGTCTCAAAAAAACCCAAAAAAACAAAAACGAAGCACAAACACAGAATAGTATACGAATTATATCTCAATTCTTAAAAAATGGAACGGGGGGTCCGGGCACCACTGCAGAATCTCTGATAACTGCTTAGGAAAGACCTGCCCATAACTGCCCTTACGCCAGCACAGGGAGGCTGGGCCTATTCCGGGGATCCCTGCCTGGCCCCCACTCACCTGGGTAGTTGTAGGGCGTGGCCTTGTTGATCATGACGGAGTACTTGAAGTAGGGGCTCAATGGGGGCAGAATTACAGCTGTGGAGAGACACAGGGGTGAGGCCCAGGGGAAGGTGGCTCTGAAGAGAGGGGAAGAGAAGGTGAGCCTTGGCAAAGGGAAGATAAAGTGCGCAGGGGGAGGGCAGCAGGGAGGGCCAGCACGTCCAGGAGGATCCTTGGTACCTTGGGATCCCTACTTATAGACAGGAGGGTTTAAAACTCTTTTTTGGGGGGTTAAGTGGAGGTAGGGGTTGGAGCCTAACACTCACAGATACGTGGGGCCTGGAGGAGGCAGCAGTGGGGTTGGTCATGGAATGAGCACGTTTGAGTGTAGGGTCATCATGGAGCATCCTGGGGGTAGTGTCATGGGACTGTTCTGGAGAAATCAAGACTGTTACAAATTTGGCCGGGCACAGTGGCTCAAGCCTGTAATCCCAGCACTTTGGGCGGCCAATGTGGGCGGATCACCTGAGGTCAGGAGTTCGCGACCAGCCTGGACAACATGATGAAACCCCATCTCTACTAAAGATACGAAAATTAGCCGGGCGTGGTGGCAGGAGCCTGTAATCCCAGCTACTCAGGAGGCTGAGGCAGAAGAATCCCTTGAGCCTGGGAGGCAGAGGTTGCAGTGAGCCCAGATTGTGCCATTGCACTCCAGCCTGGGCAACAGAGAGAGACTCCATCACCAAAAAAAAAAAAAAAAAAAAGCCTTACAAACTGGAGGAGAAAGGGTTGCACAAACAACAGTCACTGACCACAGTCCATTTAGGGTGGGAGCCAGGAGTCCTGGGGGATGGGGTACAGTTCATAAAAGGAATGTTCTAGGCCAGTGCTGTCTGACAGATGGTAAGAGCCAGGTATATAATTTTATATCTTCTAGTAGCTACAGTAAAAATAAGAGATACAGATGAAACAAATTTTAAGAAACATACTTGGATGGGCGAGGTGGCTCATGCCTATAATCCCAGGACTTTAGGAGGCTGAGACGGGTGGATCACCTGAGGTCAGGAGTTCGAGACCAGCCTGACCAATATGATGAAACCCCGTCTCTACTGAAAATACAAAAACAGCCAGGTGTAGTGGCATGCGCCTGTAATCCCAGCTACTAAGGAGGCTGAGACAGGAGAATCGCTTGAACCCGGGAGGCGGAGGTTGCAGTGAGCCGAGATCAGGCCATTGCACTCTAGCCTGGACAAAAGCGAAACTCCGTCTCAAAAAAACAAAAACAAACAAACAAAAAAAACCATAGTACATCCAAAACATCACTTCGCCATGTAATCAACAAAAGATTATTGGTAGTTTACACACTCTGTTATACTAAGTTTTTGAAATCCAGTGTCTTATACCACCTCAATTCATACCAGCACCACTTCAAATGCTCAGTGGCCAGTTGTGGCTGGTGGCTGCCATACTGAATAAGTGTTCAGAACCTTAACCTAGTGCCTGGCTGGTGGACCAGCAGTACTGACAAGACCTGGGAACTCTTCAAAAATGCAGAATCCCATGCCCCACCCCAGACCTACAGAATCAGAACCTACAGTTTGGCCGGGCGCAGTGGCTCACCCCTGTAATCCCAGCACTTTGGGAAGGCAGATCACTTGCGGTCAGGAGTTCAAGACCAGCCTGGCCAACATGGTGAAACCTTGTCTCTACTAAAAATACAAAAATTAGCCGGGCGTGGTGGTGCTCGCCTGTAATCCCAGCTACTTGGGAGGCGGAGGCAGGAGAATCACTTGAACCCTAGAGGCGGAGGTTGCAGTGAGCCATGATCAAACCATTGCACTGTAGCCTGGAAGACAGAGCGAGACGCCATCTCAAAAAAAAAAAAAAAAAAAAGCTGGCCGGGCGCGGTGGCTCACGCCTGTAATCCCAGCACTTTGGGAGACCGAGTTGGGAGGATCACGAGGTTAGGAGATCGAGACCATCCTGGCTAACACGGTGAAACCCCGTCTCTATTGAACATACAAAAAATTAGCCGGGCATGGGGGCGGGCGCCTGTAGTCCCAGCTACTCGGGAGGCTGAGGCAGGAGAATGGCGTGAACCCGGAAGGCGGGGCTTGCACTGAACCGAGATCGCGCCACTGCACTCCAGCCTGGGCGACAGAGCGAGACTCAGTCTCAAAAACAAAAACAAAAAATTAGCTGGGCGCCTGTAATCCCAGCTACTCGGGAGGCTGAGGCAGGAGAATCCCTTGAACCCAGGAGGCCGAGGTTGCAGTGAGCCGGGATCGCGCCACTGCACTTCAGCCTGGGTGAGAGTGAGACTCCATCGCAAAAAAAAAAGCTACATTTTAACAATCCCCCGCCCCCATCCCTGCAGGAACTCCGGTGCTAATTAAAGTGTGAGTAGGGCAGTTCCAGGGCAGAGGGCAGAGATTTTCAATCAGCAAGGCACATTGGGATCATACGGGGATTTTCACAAGACACAGATTCCCCAGTCCCACCTCCACCCAAGCCAACTCAATTCAGAATGGGGGAGAGGAAAGATGAAAAGGAGGAGGAGGATCTGGACTTTTTTTTGGTGCTCAGGTGTTAAGGCATAAGCAGGGTTGAGAACGTCTCATTTAGAGGGGTTAAGAGCGTATTGGGTAGGTGGAGAGGAACGCGGGGGGCGATGGTGGAGAGGTTATAATGGGTATGGGGATAGATAAGGGGATGCCGTGGGGGTGCAGACACACTAGAGGGGACCCGAGGGCGGCGATAGGGCTTTAGGGGTACAAGATGGAGGGATGTAGGGGGACGGGGGTGGACGATGCAAGTTTGCGCCTGGAGCACTCACGCACCGAGGCCCCCGACGACGAAGGACACGACCAGCACTGGCTCCTTGTCCCAGGCATTCTTGAGGAAGGCGCCGACTCCTGAAGGGGTGGCAAGAAGCGTCACCCCTGCAAGTAGCTGCCCCCGGTGACCTCTAACCCTCTCGTGCCACCCCTGCCCTGGAGGAGCCCCCTCGTGACTTCTGCGTTCCCCTCCAGCACGGACCCCATCGCTTCCACCCCTGCCCTGCCGCACCTCAGTCCCAGGACCGCCCAGAGGTTCCCAGAACTACCCGAGCCCCGTGCGCCACCGGAACCTGCACTTACTCGCAGCCATCTTTGTCTCCGCGGCGGCGACAGCGGCGAGGACGCGGAGCACCCTGGGAGTTGTGGTCCCTATGCGCGAGAACCCGCTCCCAGGGCTGCGCGTGCGCCCTGGAGCACAAGTAGAGGCGAAAGCAAGGACGCGGAGCACTCTGGGAGTTGTGGTCCCTCTGTGCGACGGCCCGCTTTCGGAGCCTGCGCGTGCGCACTCGCGCAGAACAAAGATGGAGCCGTGGAGGTAAAGGAAGTGGTGTCAGGAGCAAGCGCAAGCCTGACTTTGCGGACCTGCGTGGAATCTCCTTAGTCTCAGCCTAGAAGTCGCTCCGGAGTGACTAGTCCTCCTGCTGCGACCCACCTAAGGCGGAACAAAATAGTCCCCATTTTATAGTTTATGTATGAAAGCCCATTTTACAGACGAAGAAACTGAGCCCGGGAGAAGGTGAATGACTAACCTGTCCTTCGAGGTCTCAGCTCAACATCGGCTCGTCCTGGAAGCGCTAGGTCTCATCCCAGATGGGTTAGGAGCTTTCTGCGGGCTCTCACAGTGCTCTGTTACCGCCATTATAGCTCAGATCACTTAAGAAACTGACCTGGTCTGGGCCGGGCGCGGTGGCTCACGCCTGTAATCCCAGCACTTTGGGAGGCCGAGGCGGGCGGATCACGAGGTCAGGAGATCTAGACCATCCTGGCTAACATGGTGAAACCCTGTCTCTACTTAAAAATACAACACAAATTAGCCGGGCGTGGTGGTGGGCGCCCGTAGTCCCAGCTACTGGGGAGGCTAAGGCAGGAGAATGGCGTGAACCCGGGAGGCGGAGCTTGCAGTGAGCCGAGATCACACCACTGCACTCCAGCCTGGGCGACAGAGCGAGACTCCGTCTCAAAAAAAAAGGAAACTGACCTGGTCTTGGTCTTTCAGTCGGACTGGTAGCTGCTGCTTGAGAGCAGTAACGGAGTCTGAGTTCCCTCTGTGCCTGCCAACATGGCACAGCGAGGGTCTGGCACGTAATAGGTTCTAATTTTTTTTTTTTTCTTCTGAGATTGAGTCTAGCTCTGTCGCCCAGGCTGGAGTGCAATGGCGCGATCTCGGCTCACAGCAACCTCCGACTCCCGAGTTCAAGCGATTCTCCTGCCTCAGCCTCCTGAATAGCTGGGATTACAGGCGCGCGCCTCCACAGCCGGCTAATTTTTCTTTTTTAGGAGAGACGGGGGTTTCTCCATGTTGGTCAGGCTGGTCTCGAACTTCCCGATCTCAGGTGATCCACCCGCCTTGGCCTCCCAAAGTGCTGGGATTACAGGCGTGAACAACCGCGCCCGGCCTAGAGGGGCTAATTTTTATCTATCTATCTATCTATCTATCTATCTATCTATCTATCTAACACAGTATCACACCAAGAGCCTGGCACATAATAGGTGCTAATTTTTCTCTGTCAACCAATCTATCAATCGATCAATTAATCACAGCAAGGGCCTGGCACATAATTGGTGTTAATTTTTATCTATCCATCAATCAATCACAGCAAGGGCCTGGCACTTAACAGGTGCTAATTTTTATCTATCTATCTATCTATCTATCTATCTATCCATCCATCCATCTATCTATCTTTCAATCACAGCAAGGGCCTGGCACATAATAGGTGCAAATTTTTATCTATCTGTCAATCAATGACAGCAAGAGTCTGGCACATAATAGGTTCTTATTTTTAAAACAGACAGATATCTTTCTATCTGTCTATCTATATTTAAAGACATGGTCTCACTCTATCACCCAGGCTGGAGTGCAGTGGCACAATTTATTTATTTTTTAGACAGGGTCTCGCTCTGTTGCCCAGGCTGCTCTTGAACTCTTGGGCTCAAGCGATCCTCCTGCCTCCACCTCCTGACTAGTATTTGTTTCTAGAGTTAAATAAATGAACACCACAGGTTATGACTGAACCCCCTGCTAATTTTTCCACAGTGCCATAGGGCTATGACACAGTCACCCACAGGCCCCCACCTCGATACTCTCTTCCGTAAATGAGGATCTGGGTCTGGTTTTCTGATGTTGCCTCATTTCCTGGGAGGGGAGAGGGTGCGACCAAGCCCTGGCTCCAGCTCTAGCGGGTATCTGCCCACCATGGCCCTGGTGCTGATCCTCCAGCTGCTGACCCTCTGTGAGTCACCCCTTTCTTCTCCCTGGGTTCCTGGCTGGGGTTGGGGGCAGAGAGAGAGGCAATGGAGACCCAGACACCCTGCAGGGGGACCAGGCAGCAGGTTTGGGATTCTAGGTTCAAATAAAGAACAGGGCTGGGGCCCAGACCCCTGGGTCCTAAAGCAAGAGAACACAGATTCCCGAAAGAGGAAGGAGGTGGGGACAGGTATCTCTGGTTCTTGAGGCAGGAAGAGGTCAGGAGACAGGGAGGACTCCCAGATTCTTATATGGGAGGGGGATGGAAGCCAGGACTCCTGATTCCCTGGGAAAAGGGGGCTGGGAACAGGGCTCTTAGCTCCTGAGAGAAGAGGGAAATGGGGACCCAGATTCCTGAACTCGTGAGAGGAGAAACTCTACGATCATTGTTCCCTGGAAAGGTGGAGTTCAAGGGCCTGAACTCTTGGTTGCCCAGGCCAGAGGGGTCTGCGTTCAGACTTCTTCGGTAGGTGGGCAATGGATGTCCAAATTTCTGCCTACTGAGACAGGAGGAGGGAGGGATAAGATTCTCATTTCCCAGAGGAGATAGGAGCTGGGAACTCAGATTCCTGGGTTACCAATGAGATGGGGCTGGCCACAAAGGGTTTTGAAAAGAACTCGCTGTTGGGCGCAGCGGCTCATGCCTGTGGGAGCCGAGGCCCAGCACTTTGGGAGGCCGAGGCGGGTGGATCACCTGAGGACAGGAGTTCAAGACCAGCCTGACCAACATGGCGAAACCCCTCTCTACTAAAAATACAAAGATTAGCCTGGTGTGGTGGCGGGCACTTGTAGTCCCAGCTACTACGGAGGCTGAGGCAGGAGAATCACTTGAACCTGGGAGGCAGAGGTTGCAGTGAGCTGAGATCACACCACTACACTCCAGCCTGGGCGACAGAGTGAGAGTCTGCCTCAGACAAAAAAAAAAAAAGGAAAAAGAAACTAGTCCCTCAACCTCCTACAGGGCCTCTGTGTCACACAGACATCACTCCGTCTGGTGAGTAGCCACCCCATCCACTCTCCTTTTGTTGCTGACACCCCTTTTCCAATTACTCAGATTTTATTTTGGTGCCCAATCCCATCCCAGATATCCTTATTTTCCTCCCTCCCTCCATTCCTTCCTTCTTTTCTCATTCCCCTTAGTGGCCATTATAGGTGAGTACTGAAGACCAGGAACTTCTGAGGCAGAGGCCTAAGCTAGGACCTCAGTTTCACCATCGTATTCATTTATATGTGACCATATGACCTAGAACAAGTCACAGCTTGCTAAGACTCCATTTCCTTCTCTGTAAAATGGGCCGCTGTGAGATCTCATCAAATCACATGTGCAAAACCCTGAGCCTGGCACAGTACAGGGCTTAAGAAATAGGATCTTGGGCTGGGCGCAATGGCCAACGTCTGTAATCCCAGCACTTTGGGAGGCAGAGGCGGGCGGATCACAAGGTCAGATCGAGATCATCCTGGCTAATGTGGTGAAACCCCGTCTCTACTAAAAAAAAAAAAAAAAAAAAAAAAAAATTAGCCGGGTGTGGTGGGACGCACCTGTAATCCCAGCTACTCAGGAGGCTGAGGCAAGAGAATCGCTTGAACCCAGGAGGCAGAGGTTGCAGTAAGCTGAGATCGCGCCACTGCACTCCAGCCTGGGTGACAGTGCAAGACTCCACTTCAAAAACAAACAAACAAACAAACAAACAAAAACTCTTTTGGAGATATTTCAGTGTCGCTATAGCTATCTCTACCTATTTATTTTATTTATTTATTTATTTATTTTGAGACCAGTTTCTCTCTGTCGCCCAGGCCGGAGTGCAGTGGTGCAATCTCGGCTCACTGCAACCACCTCCTGGGTTCAAGGGATTCTCCTGCCTCAGCCTCCTGAGTAGCTGGGACTACAGGCACACACCACAATGCCCGGATAATTTTTGTATTTTTAGTAGAGACAGGGTTTCCCCATGTTGGTCAGGCTGGTCTGGAACTCCTGACCTCAGGTGATCCCTCTGCCTCAGCCTCCCAAAGTGTTGGGATTACAAACATGAGCCCCCTCACCCGACCCTTATTTTTATTCATTTTTAGAGATGGGGTCTCATTGTGTCACCCGGGCTGGAGTACGGTGGCTCTATCATAGCTCACTGCAGCTTTGAATTCCTGGGCTCAGACAATCCTCCAGCCTCAGCCTCCCAAAGTGCATGCCACCATGGAGTTCTCACTCTGTTGCCCAGGCTGGAGTGCAGTGGCATGATCTCAGCTAACTGCAGCCTCCGACTCTAGGGTTCAAGTAATTCTCCTACTCAGCATCCCAAACAGCTGGAACTACAAGCTAGCACTACCACGCCTGGCTAATTTTTCTGTTTTTAGTAGAGATGGGATTTTACCATGTTGGTCAGGCTGGTCTTGAACTCCTGACCTCAGGTGATGCACCCACCTTGGCCTCCCAAAGTGCTGGGATTACAGCTGTGAGCCACCGGACCCAACAGCCTTCCTGTACTCTTAATTTGTGTGATTTGTGAATAAGTGATATCTGCCAGTACTATCATTTGTCCTCCAGTTTTGTCTTTTAGCATACACAACTTAAGAAATTTGAAGTGGTCAAATTAATTAATCTTCCATACAACTTTTTATTTTATATTTTAAGAAGCCTTCCTTACCCCAAGACAAATATATTTTCCTATAGTTTTTTGAATACTTTTATAGTTTAAAAAAAAAGAAACACAGGGTCTTTAATTAATCTGGAAGTTGTTTTGGGAAATGGTATGAGGTAGGGATCCAACATTTTTCTTTTCCAAATAGCAAGTTTTGGCAACTCTTGAAATACTATATTGCAAATATTCTGGAAAGCTATTTAAAATTAGAGTTCTGGCTGGGCGTGGTGGCTCACACCTGTAATCCCAGCACTTTGGGAGGCCGAGGTGGGAGGATTGCTCGAGCCCAAGAGTTCAAGAGTAGCCTGGGCAATATAGCGAATGCTCGTCTCTACTAAAAATTAAAAAAAAAAAATTAGCCTGGTGTAGTGGCATGTGCCTGTGGTCCCAGGTACTCAGGAGGCTGAGGTGGAGGACTGTTTGAGCCCAAGAGATTGAGGCTGCAGTGAGTTGAGAACATGCCACTGCACTCCTGCCTGAGCAACACAGCAAGACCCTGCCTCAAAAAAAAAAAAAAAAAAAAAAAAAGTCTGGGTGTGGTGGCACAAGCTTGTAAACTTAGCACTTTGGGAGGCCGAGGTGGGAGGATTGCTTGAGGCCAGTAGTTTAAGACCAACCTGCTCAACATAGGGAGACCGCCCCCTCCCATCTCATTACTTAAAAATAATAATAATAATAAAATTACAGAGTTCTGGGACCTGACCTTTTGAAACTGTGTTTACAAACTGTGGAGTAAAGCTCAGAAGTTTCTGTCCTGCCCCTCTGATTTGCACCTGGTTTTAACAAGGCTTGATTGTAGTCCAGTCTCTCCCTGATTTTACAAACAGGAAACTGAGGCTAAGAAAGGGGCAGTAATTGTCCAAGGTGATTTTCCTCCTTCCCCAACTTCCCTTTCATCTTCTGGGGCTCCCAGGAGGCCCGAGGACCCAGGCAGCCCCGTTTATTCAGTCCCCCCAGCTTCATACCACCCTAAGCCATGGCTGGGAGCTCAGCCGGCTACAGTTGTGACCCCTGGGGTCAACGTGACCTTGAGATGCCGGGCACCCCAACCCGCTTGGAGATTTGGACTTTTCAAGCCTGGAGAGATCGCTCCCCTTCTCTTCCGGGATGTGTCCTCCGAGCTGGCAGAATTCTTTCTGGAGGAGGTGACTCCAGCCCAAGGGGGAATTTACCGCTGCTGCTACCGAAGGCCAGACTGGGGGCCGGGTGTCTGGTCCCAGCCCAGCGATGTCCTGGAGCTGCTGGTGACAGGTGAGGTCCTGGGGTCGGGGAGGAGAAGTGGGTGGAACAAGGGAGTTGGGGGAGGGACAGAGAGATATAGGGAAAGAGAGACAGAGCGAGGCGGGCAAACAGATTCACAGACACAAGAAAAGACAGATACAGAGACACTAGGGGGAGAGAGAGAGACAGGGGAGCAGAGAGAGAGAGACAGGGGAGCAGAGAGAGAGAGAGGTACAGTGCGGGGGGAGAGAGAGAGAAAGAGGCAGAAGGAGAAAGGGAGGCAGAGAGAGAGGGAGGCAGAGAGAGAGGGAGGCAGAAAGAGAGGGAGGCAGAGAGAGAGGCAGGCAGAGAGAGAGGCAGGCAGAGAGAGAGGGAGGCAGAGAGAGAGGGAGGCAGAGAGAGAGGGAGGCAGAGAGAGAGGGAGGCAGAGAGAGAGGGAGGCAGAGAGAGGGAGGCAGAGAGAGAGGCAGGCAAAGAGAGAGGCAGGCAGAGAGAGAGGGAGGCAGAGAGAGAGGGAGGCAGAGAGAGAGGGAGGCAGAGAGAGAGGGAGGCAGAGAGAGAGGGAGGCAGAGAGAGGGAGGCAGAGAGAGAGGGAGGCAGAGAGAGAGGCAGACAGAGAGAGAGACAGGCAGAGAGAAAGAGAGGCAGAAAGAGAGAGAGAGGCACAGAGAAAGCGAGAGACAGAGGAGAAGGAGAAACAGAGCGAGCGAGCGAGCGGAAGACGCTCACGCGGCCCCGGACTCTCACCCCGTCTCTGCAGAGGAGCTGCCGCGGCCGTCGCTGGTGGCGCTGCCCGGGCCGGTGGTGGGTCCTGGCGCCAACGTGAGCCTGCGCTGCGCGGGCCGCCTGCGGAACATGAGCTTCGTGCTGTACCGCGAGGGCGTGGCGGCCCCGCTGCAGTACCGCCACTCCGCGCAGCCCTGGGCCGACTTCACGCTGCTGGGCGCCCGCGCCCCCGGCACCTACAGCTGCTACTATCACACGCCCTCCGCGCCCTACGTGCTGTCGCAGCGCAGCGAGGTGCTGGTCATCAGCTGGGAAGGTGAGGGCCCTGAGGCCCGGCCCGCCTCCTCCGCCCCAGGAATGCAGGCCCCAGGACCTCCGCCCTCAGACCCAGGAGCCCAGGCCCCCAGCCTCTCCTCCTTCAGACCCAGGGGTCTAGTCCTGCAGCCCCTCCTCCCTCAGACCCAGGATTCCTGGGACCCAGCCCCTCCTCCCTCAGATCCAGGAGTCTAGTCCTCCAGCTCCTCCTCCCTCAGACCCAGGATTCCCGGGCCCCAGTACCTCCTCCCTCAGACCCAGGACTCCAGGCCCCCAGCCCCTCCTTCCTGGACCCAGGACTCCAGGCCCCCAGCCCCTCCTTCCTGATCCAGCAGTCCAGGCCCCAGCCCCTTCTTCCTGGACCCAGGAGTTGAAGCCTCCATCGACTCCCCCTCAACTTTGAGACTGTAGAGTCAGGTCCCTAAGTCCACCCCAGGGGCTGGAAACCTGGAGTTCAGGGCCCAGACTTTGGGGTCCGGGAGCTGATGGCCCCTCTCTCCCGGCTCCGCCCGCAGACTCTGGCTCCTCCGACTACACCCGGGGGAACCTAGTCCGCCTGGGGCTGGCCGGGCTGGTCCTCATCTCCCTGGGCGCGCTGGTCACTTTTGACTGGCGCAGTCAGAACCGCGCTCCTGCTGGTATCCGCCCCTGAGCCCCAGGAGCACTGCAGCCCGAGACTTCCAACCTGAGTGGCGGAGAAGCTGGGACCCTGGGCTGGACTGTCCTTTCCTGCAGCCCCACAGTCCTGCTGGCTGAGCTCCGCGGAACGGTCCTTAGACCCCGCTGTGCCCTGTGCTGTAGCTTCTTTCCAGGCCTTTCCCAAGGAGTAGCTGAAAGGAAGACGCGATTAGTGGTTAAGACTTCCAAGCCAGAAGACAGAGGGTTCGAATCCCAGCACTGCCGTCTACTCACTGTAGTAGTAGCAGCTACAGAAAGGTAGTAGTGAGACGTGAAGCCAGCTGGACTTCCTGGGTTGAATGGGGACCTGGAGAACTTTTCTGTCTTACAAGAGGATTGTAAAATGGACCAATCAGCACTCTGTAAGATGGACCAATCAGCGCTCTGTAAAATGGACCAATCAGCAGGACATGGGCGGGGACAATAAGGGAATAAAAGCTGGCGAGCGCGGCACCCCACCAGAGTCTGCTTCCACGCTGTGGGAGCTTTGTTCTCTTGCTCTACACAATAAATCTTGCTGCTGCTAACTCTTTAGGTCCGTGCCATCTTTAAGCGCTGTAACACTCACCACGAAGGTCCCTGGCTCCATTCTTAAAGTCAGCGAGACCACAAACCCACAGGAAGGAACCAACTCTGGACACGGTAGCAGCATTCAGAAAGCGCCCTTCCCCAACTCTCTCTTGCCTTGACGGTAAAATGGATGCACTGATAAAACCCACTTCATAGGATTGTTGTAGGATTCAGTGGGTAATACACATAAAACATTTAAAGCAGTAACTGGCCCGTAGTAAGTGTTCAATAAATGTTAGCTACCCTGTAACACCGATTTCTACCAGACTCAGTGCCGAAAGGAAGGTCTCACCTTTTTGCCATCAAGCATAATCAAGCACGACTTTTTCTTTCTTTCTTTCTTTTTTTTTTTTGAGAGAAGATCTCACTCCACCCAGGCTGGAGTGCAGTGGCGTGATCTCGGTTCACTGCAACATCCGCCTCCCGGGTTCAAGTGATTCTCGTGCCTCAGTCTCCTGAGTAGCTGGGATTACAGGTGTGCGCTATCACGCCCAGCTAATTTTTGTATTTTTAGTAGAGATGGAGTTTTGCCAAATTGGCCAGGTGGTCTCGAACTCCTGACCTCAAGTGATCCACCTGCCTCGGCCTCCCGAATAGCTGGGATTACAGGTGCGTACCACCATGTCCGGCTAATGTTTGTATTTTTAGTAGAGACGGGGTTTCACCATGTTGACCAGACTGGTCTTGAACTCCTGACCTCAAGTGATCCGCCCGCCTCAAGAACTGAATTTTGAAGTCTAATTAGCCACCTGGGGGCGCTAACGTGTTGAAAAGACGGGAGGAGAGACTGAGCGGGTCTTCCGGGGTTTGATCTCAGTGCCAGAGGGGCCTTGGTAGAACATATGTGGGACAACCTCCCCGGCATATGTGGCTGTGGGAAATAATAACAATTTTAAAAAAGGAATAAGCCGGGGGTGCTGGCTCACACCTGTGATCCTAGCACTTTGGGAGGCCGAGGCAGGTGGATCACGAAGTCAGAAGTTCGAGACCAGCCTGGACAACATGGTGAAACCCCGTCTCTACTAAAAATACAAAAATTAGCCGGGCGTGGTGGCGGGCGCCTGTAATCCCAGCTACTCGGGAGGCTGAGGCAGGAGAATTGCTTGAACCCAGGAGGCGGAGGTTGTAGTGAGCCGAGATTGCATCACTGCACACTCCAGCCTGGGTGACAGAGCAAAACTCCGTCTCAAAAAAAAAAAAAAAAAAAAAAAGAATAAAGAAGAGACGCAGGTTATAAGGAAGGCACCAGACCTGGATGAGGCTGTGATGTCATCAAATCCAGTCTTCCCACTTTATAAATGGGAAAATGGTGGAAAGAGAGGTGATATTAAGTTTACCTAAACATGTACAGGAAGTCAGTGGCACATCAGGGAGTCTTTTTTTTTCCTTTTTCCCTCTTTTTTTATTTTATTTTATTTTATTTTATTTTTTTTGAGGTGGACTTTCGCTCTTGTTGCCCAGGCTGGAGTGCAATGGCGCCATCTCGGCTCACCACAACCTCCGCCTCCCAGGTTCAAGTGATTCTCCTGCCTCAGCCTCCCGAGTAGCTGGGATTACAGGTGTGAGCCACCACACCTGGCTAATTTTGTATTTTGAGTAGAAACAGGGTTTCTCTGTGTTGGTCAGGCTGGCCTCGAACTCCCAAACTCAGGTGATCCGCCCGCCTCAGCCTCCCAAAGTGCTGGGATTACAGGCATGAGCCACCGTGCCCGGCCCTCTTTTTTTAAAAATGTATTTCCACCCAAAGCAGAGAAAAAGAAGTCTTGGCCGAGTTTGTACTTCAACTTAACTCCATGTATTCATCCATTCAATCACTCCTTCATTCACCATTCACTCATTCATGTCTAGCATTGATTCTCATCCTTATTCATTTCTATTGAGCATCTCTTTTTCCTTTGCTTTCATTTGTACATTTGTCTATTTCATTTGTCCTTATCCATCATGCATTCATTCATATTTCCATCCATTTACCCATCCATTTCTTCATTAACCAGTTTTTAATCCACTGAACTATTTATTCATTCAATATCCATCTATCTACCTGTGCATTTATCTATCCAATAAGCTTGAGATTTTTTTTCTTTTTGAGATGGAGTCTTGCTCTGTTTCCCAGGTTGGAGTGCAGTGTTGTGATCTCAGCTCACTACAATCTCCACCTCCCGGGTTCAAACGATTCTCCTGCCTCAGCCTCCCAAGTAGCTGGGATTACAGGCACCTGCCACCATGCCCGGCTAATTTTGTGTTTTTAGTAGAGATGGGGTTTCACCATGTTGGCCAGGCTGTTCTCGAACGCTTGACCTAAAGTGATCCATCTGCCCACCTTGGTCTCCCTTTAAAGTGCTGGGATTACAAGCGTGAGCCACCGCACCCAGCTGAGATTTCTTCATAGCAGTTTACCAGTGACCAGTGTTCAATGAATGCTTATTGAGTGAGTTGTAGTCACAATGCTTATTTCATTTTCTACCACTGAACATCTTTTCATACTGGTCATTTTGCTGGGTGATCCACATAGGTTATTTCTGATCAACAGCCCCCAAGACACACAGAAGTGCCTAACTTGGGACTTGTCTGTGTGGTTAGACTGCTGGGTCTTTTCCCCCTGTTCCTGCCTCTTAAAGCAATGACAACACTGCCATCACCACGCCTGGCCAATTTATTATTACTATTATTATTATTTTTTTTTTGAGATGGAGTCTCGCTCTGTTGCCAGGCTGTAGTGCAATGACGCGATCTCGGCTCACTGCAACCTCCGCCTCTTGGGTTCAAGTGATTCTCCTGCCTCGCCCTCCCGAGTCGCTGGGATTACAGGCGTGTGCCACCACCATGCCCAGCTAACTTTTGTATTTTTAGTAGAGATGGGGTTTCACCATGTTGGCCAGGATGGTCTCGATCTATTGACCTCGTGATCCACCCCCCTCGGCCTCCCAAAGTGCTGGAATTACAGGCGTGAGCCACCGCGCCCGGCTAATTGTTTACTTTTTATAGCTATGGGATCTCACCATGTTGTCCAGGCTGGTCTTGAATGCCTGGCCTCAAGCCATCCTCCTTCCTTGGCCTCCCAAAGTGCTGGGATTCCAGGAGTGAGTCACTGTGCCAGGCCTAGGGCTTCCACTGATTTCCCCTAGTCTCATTCATCCTCGTATCACTCATGTATTCAATGTCTACCGTGCATGGCATTGTGCTAGAGTCCGGCGGTCCAGTGGGGAGCAATAGCAGACATAAACCCTGCACTCATGGAACTCACAAAGTATTAACCAAATCACTGCATAGTGTATTGGTTACAGAGCACTTTAAGCTGTTGTAAAAAAGAATCTCCCGGCCAGGTGCAGTGGCGCACACCTGTAATCCTAGCACTTTGGGAGGCCAAGGCAGGTGGATCACCTGAGGTCAGGAGTTCGAGAGCAGCCTGATTAACATGGTGAAACCCTGTCTCTACTAAATACAAAAAATTAGCCTGGTGTGGTGGTGCATGCCTGTAATCCCAGCTACTCGGGAGGCTGAGGCAGGAGAATCACTTGAACCCGGGAGGCGGAGGTTTCACTGAGCCGAGGTCGTGCCATTGCACTCCAGCCTGGGCAACAAGAGCCAAGCTCCATCTCATAAAAAAGAGAGAGAGAGAGAAAAAAAGAATCTCCTTCACCACCGGAAAAAAACTAGATATAAATGTACCTCTCTCTCACTTAACAGTAAATCACTGGGCAATCTCAACGATTTACTTGTTAAGGTGGGATGGTTTTGCTTTTATCAACATGTAGCTTTAATTTCTGGTTCTGAGCCCCAAGAAAGAGGAGAGGACAGAGAGAAAAGGGCTCACACAATTATTATTTTTTTTTTTTTCCGAGTTGGAGTCTTGCTCTGTCGCCCAGGCTGGAGTGCAGTGGCGCGATCTCGGCTCACTGCAAGCTCCGCCTCCCGGGTTCACGCCATTCTCCTGCCTCAGCCTCCCAAGTAGCTGGGACTACAGGCGTCCACCACCACACCCGGCTAAATTTTTTTGTATTTTTAGTAGAGACGGGGTTTCACCGTGTTATCCAGGATGGTCTCGATTTCCTGACCTCGTGATCCGCCTGCCTCAGCCTCCCAAAGTACTGGGATTACAGGCGTGAGCCACTGCGCCCGGCCCACACAATTATTTTTTAAGAGCAGGACCTAGAATTTGAGCATGTATCTTCCTATCGCATCCCATTGGCTAGAACTTAGTCTCATGGACAGGTCTAGCCGCAAAAGTGACTGATGGAAATATGGTCTCTAGCCTGTGCCCTTCTAAAAATGAGGGTGGGAGGGGGTGGGATAGGTGCAGTGGCTCACTCATAATCCCAGCATTTTGGGAAACTGAGGCAGGAGGATGGCTTGAGGCCAAGAGTTTGAGACTCCCTTCTCTATTCAAAAAAAAAAAAAAAAATACAGTAGGCCAGGTGCGGTGGTTCACGCCTGTAATCCCAGCACTTTGGGAGGCCAAGGCAGGCAGATCACCTGAGGTCAGGAGTTGGAGACCACCCTGGCCAATATAGTGAAACCCCGACTCTACTAAAAATACAAAGCTGTAATCCCAGCTACTCGGGAGGCTGAGGCAGGAGAATCACTTGAACCCTGGAGGCAGAGGTTGCAGTGAGCTGATACACGCCATTGCACTCCAGCCTGGGCCACAGAGCGAGACTCCGTCTCAAAAAAAAAAAAAAAAAAAAAAAACAACGAATAAAACAAAAAAACAAAAAACAAACAAAAAAAAGTTTAATGATTTTTCTTCTCTCTAGGAGAAAATATGGAAGTAAAACAGGACCCATCTGAAGATCGTGTGTCCTCTGCTGATTTTAAATAGCCATGGAAAGTTAATGCCACCGCAAGGGGCAGCCCCGCCCTGGCACTCTGGAAACCTGGTACTTATCCACGCAATCAGAGGCTTGAACCACAGCTAAGCTGAGTCTCGGCGGGACCTCTTCTGATCCTCCGGGCACACAAGAGGATTGGGGGCTGGGGAGGAGCTGCTTCAAGGCCACCTCCGTTTTACCTCCCGTGATACCGTGATATAGTAAGAAATATGTACTTGGTCTTCAGCTTTGGTTCCAAAGACACCCTTCTCACCCCATCACTCTGGAATTTCCAAAAACCCTTGGTGAGAAGGGTGTCTTTTGTTATTTATAAGGAGCCTCTTTTCTCTCTTTCTCTCTTTCTTGCTTCCTTCCTTCCTTGCCTCCCTCCCTCCCTCCTTCCTTTTCTCTTTTCTTTTTTCTTCTTTCTTTATTTTTCTTTCTTTCTTTCTTTCTTTCTTTCTCTCTTTTCTTCTTTCTTTCTCTCTTCCCTTTCTCTCCCTTTCCTTTCCTTTCTCTCCCTTCCCCTCCCCTCCCCTCTCCTCTCCTCTCTTTTCCTTTCTTTTCCTTCCTTTCCTTCTTTCCTCTAATCCCAGCACTTTGGGAGGCCAAGGCGGGCGGATCTCTTGAGGTCAGGAGTTTCAGACCAGCCTGGCCAACATGGTGAAACCTCGTCTCTACTAAAAATACAAAAATTAATCGGGCATGGTGGCAGGCACCTGTAATTCCAGCTACTCTGGAGGCTGAGGCAGGAGAATCCCTTGAACTAGGATGCAGAGGTTGCGGTGAACCGAGATCTCACCACTGCACTCCAGCCCGGGCTACAGAGCGAGACTCCGTCTCAAGGAAATATAAAAGAAAATAAAATAAATGTCTCCCAAAGAGACAAGTCAGATTAGCCTAAACCCAGGAATAACTACAAGCAGTTTGAGGGCCAAAGGCAAGGTAGGGGCTGGCCAGATCCGATCTCCTTCACTGCCATCGTTTGCTCACTCTCGTAATTTTTGCAAAGGAGGTTTCAATTGCATGGTTGTCAGCGAACATCCTATTCATCCATTTCTTGCTTTCTACCAGTAAAATTGAACTTTATAGGCCTGCTTTGTGCTTTTAAGGCTAACTAGCAAAATTCCAGAGTTTAGCCTTAAAAAATATTTATAATTGGCCGGGCACAGTGGCTTACACCTGTAATCCCAGCACTTTGGGAGGCTGAGGCGGGTGGATCACAAGGTCCGGAGATCGAGACCATCTTGGCTAACATGGTGAAACTCCGTCTCTACTAAACACACACACACACACACACAAAAGTAGCCGGGTGTAGTGGCACACGCCTGTAGTCCCAGCACTTTGGAAGGCTGAGGTGGGCGGATCATGAGGTCAGGAGATCGAGACCATCCTGGCTAACATGGTGAAACCCCGTCTCTACTAAAAATACAAAAAAAAAAAAAAGTAGCCGGGCGTAGTGGCACATGCCTGTAGTCCCAGCTACTTGGGAGGCTGAGGCAGGAGAATCACTTGAACCCGGGAGGCAGAGGTTGCAGTGAGCTGAGATTGTGCCATTGCACTCCATCCTGGGTGACAGAGTGAGACTCCATCTAAAAAAAAAAATTCTTTATAATTGATCAAAAGAAGTTTAAGAAATGGATTAAGAAGATCTCTTCTTTGCAGCTGTAGGGGAGGAGAGGGAGCTAGAGAGAGAGAGGGCATTGAGAGAGGAGAAAAAGATATTCTGTGCCATAAAACTAATTCAAGAATGTAGTTTAGGCGAGGCATGGTGGTTCACACCTGTAATCCCAGAACTTTGGGAGGTCGAGGCAGGCGGATCACTTGGGCCCAGAAGTTCGAGACCAGCCCTGGCCAACATGGCAAAACACTGTCTCTACTAAAAGTACAAAAATTAGCCCGGCGTGGTGGCACAACCCTGTAATTCCTTGTACTTGGGAGGGCTGGGGCAAGAGAATCACTTGAACCCGAGAGGCAGAGGTTGCAGTGAGTCGAGATCACACCACTGCACTCCAACCTGGGTGACACAGTGAGACCCTGTCTTAAAAAAAAAAAAACAAAAAAAAAAAAAACAGAGTGGGGTGGGGGGCTGGGGGAGGGATAGCATTAGGAGAAATACCTAATGTAAATGATAACTTGATGGGTGGAGCAAACCAACATGGCACATGTATCAAACCTGTACATTATGCACATGTACCCTAGAACTTAAAGTAAAAAAACAAAACAAAACAAACAAACAAAAAAATGGAATGTGGATTGATAAGTTAATAAACTGAGAATATTAAAAAGGCTCTAAATGTGTTTTATAGTCTTATGTAGTATGGAGATCTATGGATATTTATTACAGCAGCCAGTGTTCCATTCTGTGGTTCCATAAATCTGTGCTTTGAAGTGTAATTTGCACAAAATAATCTTGTAGGAGTCCAAAGACATTAGAAATTATTGCCAGTATTGCAATCATTATTTTGAAGGAGAAACCTTGGTGCCATTTGGTGGTCTTACTTAATATTTTGTTGCCCTGGTAACAATCTTATGATTGACATCTGAATTTCCAAGCAGAATAAATGCTTGTAAAAACAATTCTGTTAAATCAGAAGCTATGCATTGGTGTCTGTGTCTTAGTCTGTATTCTGTTGCTTAGAACAGAACACTTGAAGCCAGATAACTTATAAAGAAAAGGAATTTATTTCCTGTAGTTAATGGAGGTTGGAAAGTCCAAGGTGGAGGGGCTGCATCTGGTGAGGACCTTCTTGCTGTTGGGGACTCTCTGGAGGGTTCCGAGGTGGCACAGGGCATCACAGGGCAAAAGAGCTGAGCGTGCTACTTAAGTCTCTCTTCCTCTTCTGATAAAGCCACCAGTCTCACTCCCAGGGTAACCCATTAATCCATTAACTCACTAATCCATTAATCCATGAATGGATTAGTTCATTCATGAGAAAAGAGTCCTCATGACCCAATCACCTCTTAAATGCCCGACCTATCAATACGGCCACATTAGGGATTCAGTTTCACCATAAGTTTATTTATTTATTATTTATTTATGTATTTTTTGAGACAATGTCTTGCTATGTCACCCAGGCTGGACAGCAGTGGCATGATCTCAGCTCATTATAACCTCCACCTCCCAGGTTCAAGTGATTCTCCTGCCTCAGCCTCCTGAGTAGCTGGTATTACAGGCACGTGCCACCATGCCCGGGTAATTTTTGTATTTTTAGTAGAGACAGGGTTTCATCATGTTGGCCAGCTAGTCTCAAACTCCTGACCTCATGTGATCTGCCCACCTTGGCTTCCTAAAGTGCTGAGATTACAGGTGTGAGCCACCACACTCAGCTTATTTACCTATTTATTTTTTGAGACAGGGTCTCACTGTGTTGCACAGGCTGGAGTGCAGTGGTGCAATCACGGTTCACTGCATCCTCAGCTTTCTGGGCTCAGGTGATCCTCCCACTTCAGCCTCCTGAGTAGCTGGGATCACAGGCATGTGCCACCTCACCTGGCTAATTTTTAAATTATTTGTAGAGACAGGGTCTCCCTATGTTGCCCAGGCTGGTTCAACATGAGTTTTCAAGGGAACAAATATTCAAACCTTAGCAGCAGGTTAAATGATCTTTCTCCCACATTTATGATCGGAAAAAAAAAATTAAAGCCTGAGACTCTGCTAGACTTCTTACTTTAACAAGAGTCTGAGAGTCTTGTTTCATTTCCATTACAGCATCTATTAATAGTTCTGACTGAGAGAAGAGCTATCCTTTACTTTGACGATTATGAAGAATAGGGGAAAAGACATTAAAAAGACACAATTACACCATTGATGATTTTGTCACAGCTGAGATAAGTGCTGTTAAAGAACTTGCAGGGAAGTCTTTGCTAAAGAAAAGATTCTGAAGCTGGTTTCTGAGGGAAGAGTCAAAGTTAGCCAAGCAAAAATGGGGGAAAAACTCCAGATACAGGAGTTTTCAGGATGTTTCAGGGTCTGAGATGGGAAGGAGGTTATGTGTTCCAACCCAGTGGTTCTCAAACTTGACTGCACATTAGAATTTCCCAGGAACATTTAAAACACAGAATGAGACACCCAGGCCTCATCCTATACCCATTATAAAAATTAAAATCTCGACTGGGCACGGTGGCTCACACCTGTAATCCCAGCACTTTGGGAGGCCAAGGTGGGCAGATCACCTGAGGTCAAGAGTTCAAGACCAGCCTGACCAACATGGAGAAATCCCATCTCTACTAAAAAATACAAAATTAACTGGGTGTGGTGGCACTTGCCTGTAATCCGAGCTACTTGGGAGGCTGAGGCAGGAGAATCGCTTGAACCCGGGAGGCAGAGGTTGCAGTGAGCTGAGATCATGCCATTGCACTTCAGCCTGGGCAACAAGAGCAAAATTCCATCTTAAAAAAACAAAAATAAAAAAATAATTAAAATCTCTCGGTGGGACTCAGGCACTCAGTAAATATATATATATCTATTTCCATTGACCATAACACATGACAGACTAAAGATGGCCTCCAATTCTTTGTCACTGTCCCTATAGAGAGGTAGAGTTTATTTTCCCTCCCCTTGAATCTGGCCTTTCCTTAAGACTGTAGAAGAAGAGAAACTGTGTCAGTTCCAGGCTTAGTCTTTAAAGGGACAAACAACTTTTGCCTTCTTTATTTTATTTATTTATTTATTTATTTGAGACAGAGTCTCATTCTGTTGCCCAGGCTGGAGTGCAGTGGTGTGATCTCGGCTCACTGCAACTTCCGCCTCCCAGGTTCAAGCAATTCTCCTGCCTCGGCCTCCTGAGTAGCTGGGATTACAGGTGTGCACAAACACACCCGGCTAATTTTTTTTAATTTTGTTTTTAGTAGAGACGGGGTTTTACCATGTTGGCCAGGCTGATGTTGAACTCCTGACCTCAGGTGATCCACCCACCTCGGCCTCCCAAAGTGCTGGGATTACAGACGTGAGCCACCATGCCCAGCCGCCTTCTCTATTTTAGAAAGCTCTCTTGTGACATCCCCTCTTGAAACCCAGATGCTATCCTCCAAGAAGTCTGAATCAAATGGAGAGGCCATGTGCAGGTACATCATTCAACAGTCCTAGCCGAGCTTTCAACCAACATCCAGCATCAACAGCCAGCCATTTGCAAGTGCCATCTTGGAGATTCCAGCTCAGTTGAGCCACCCTGATGACTGAAGCCCAGGAAGACATCACATTGAACCGAAGAACCGCTCAACTGAGCCCAGTCATCTCACCAGATCAGGAATGATTAAAAAAAAAAAAAAACAAGATTGTTACTCTAAGTTACTCAGTTTTGGGGTGGTTTGTTAACACAGTAATTGATAACCTAAACCCAAAAGAGAACTAAATAATGATGACTTAAAACTAATACCAATTGATTTCTCCCTTATGTAGAATAAATCTGAAGGGAGCAGTCCAAGGCTGGCACAGTGACTCCAAAAAGCATTATGGACCTAAGTTACTTCTGGCTCACCCTCCACCATCTTGAACCTCATCTCATCTTCATGGTTCAAGATGACGCTAGAATACCAGTCATCACATCCACATTTTAGGCAGTTAAGTGAAGGAAGGAAAGTGTACTTCATTAAAGAACCTTTTGGAAGCTGTCTACAATATTTATGCTTATTTATCATTGTCCTAGATGAAGACTTACGGCTACATCTACCTGTAAGTGACACTGAAGAATGTAGTTTTTTACCTGGGTGCCAATGGGCCCAGCTAAAAATCAGAATTCTCAACAGCAAAAGGATGGCTTTGAGATAATCATGTAGATTATGTGCAGATAACTACAGATAAGTCCCCTCCCCCAAGTCTATTTTAAATTTTCTCCTGGAGTATTTTAAAGTAAACCTCAGATATAATATGATTTCATCTATAAGACTTTTTATTTTGGTAACATATTCTTAAGGTTAGGTGTGATAAACACCTAACAAAGTGAATGATTATTTATTTATTTATTTTATTATTATTTTTTGAGATGGAGTTTCACTCTTGTTGCCCAGGCTGGGGTACAATGGTGCGATCTCAGCTCACTGCCACCTCCCCCTCCCAGGTTCAAGTGATTCTCCCACCTCAGCCTCCTGAGAAGCTGGGATTACAGGTATATACCACCAAGCCTGGCTAATTTTTGTATTTTTTGTAGAGATGGGATTAGGCCATGTTGCCCAGGCTGGTGTTGAACTCCTGGGATCAAGCCTTCCACCTACCTCACCTCCCAAAATCTTAGGATTACAGGTGTGATCCACCTTGCCTGGCCCTAAGCTATTCTTTATTCTTTCTTTTTTCGTTTTTTGAATCAGGGTCTCCTTTCTTCATTTCCAAGTGGAATGGAACTTTACCAGGCCTTTCCTGTTGACTGATAAAATTCCAGAGCCTAGTTTTAAAATATGCATATTCCTTGTTAGCAACAGAGATGTTAAGAAGAAATATAGGAGATGTCCTCTTTTCCCTGATACTGCATAAGGAGAAAGATTTTTTCTGAGTCACAACACTAATTTAAGGAATCTGATTTGATAAAGAGTTGAATTGAGAAGATTCACAAGAATATCAGTCTTGTTTTCTGGTACAATATGGAGAACTAAATGAATATTCACAAACATTACTAAATTGTTCTCTGTTGAAATAAATTCATACACAAAACTGTTATTTGAACAAAAGGGTCTTGTAAGAGTCCCAAGCCTTTAAAAATCATTGCCACATCTTGTGAAAATAACTTTCAAAGAAACACCTGTAATTATAGTTGGTTTTACTCCTTATAATTTGTTGCCTTGTTGACTTTTCTATGTTCCAAAACAGTAAGAAGAGTAGGTGCTATCAAGACAAAAAATCCGAAAACAAAAACGAGACTTCGGGGCATTTTGCTCTTCTTCCAAATGCAAGATGAAAAAAAACATGGTTAAAAACTAACTTGCTTGATTTCTTATTTTAACAAAAAAATAAAAAATTTTGTCTGATTCAAATTAACATTTTTTTTTTTTTTTTTGAGACTGAGTCTCACTCTGTTGCCCAGGCTGGAGTGCAATGGTGCGATCTCAGCTCACTGCAACCTTTGCCTCCCAGGTTCAAGCAGTTCTCCTGCCTCAGCCTCCTGAGTAGCTGGGATTACAGGCGTGCACCACCACGCCCAGCTAATTTTTGTATTTTTAGTAGAGATGAGGTTTCACCATGGTTGGCCAGGCTGGTCTCGAACTCCTGACCTCAGGTTATCTACCTGCCCCGGTCTCCCAAAGTGTTGGGATTACAGGCATGAGCCACTGCGCCAGGCTAAATTAACATAATTATCAAATGCAATCTGTAGACTTTTATTGGATCCTGATTTATTCTTTAAAAACCTGATAGAAATGACATTTTTGAGACAATCAGGGAAATTTGAGTACTGAATGGGTATTAGCTGGTATCAAGGAGGTACTCTTAACTTTCTTGATGTGACAGTGCTGTGGTGCTTATATTATTTTTAAAATGGTTCTTATTTGATAAAGATAGATATGTACTGAAATATTCTGAACTTAAAAAATGAGCTCATGACTGGCTGGGCACAGTGGCTCATGCCTGTAATCCCAGCACTTTGGGAGGCTGAGGTGGGTGGATCACTTGAGATCAGGAGTTTGAGACCAGCCTGGCCAACATGGTGAAACCTCATCTCTACTAAAAAATACAAAAATTAACTGGGCATGTTGAAGGGCTCCTGTAATCCCAGCTACTTGGGAGGCTGAGGCAGGAGAACCGCTTGAACCTGGGGGGTGGAGGTTGCAATGAGATGAGATTTTGCCACTTCACTCCAGCCTGGGCGAAAGAGTGGAACTCTGTCTCAAAAGAAAAAAAAAAAATGGTGATGAAGGCCTGGCACAGTGGCTCATGCCTGTAATCCCAGCAGTTTGGGAGGCCGAGGCAGGTGGATCACTTGAGGCGAGGAGTTCAAGACTAGCCCAGCTAACTTGTGAAACCTCATCTTAACTAAAAATACAAACATTAGCCGGGCATGGTGGCATGCGCCTATAATCCCAGCTACTTGGGAGGCTGAGGCCGGAGAATTGCTTGAACCCAGGAGGCTGAAGTTGCAATGACCTGAGATCGTGCCACTGGACTCCAGCCCAGGTAACAGAACCAGACACCATCTCAAAAAAAAAAAAAAGAGTGAAGTGCTTTCATCTCTTCAATACGAACCCTTCAGGGCCAAGTCTGAAGCATTTTCGGGGTTACCTGTTTGATGCCTGAAATCTGCCTGAGACAGAGGAGCATTTCCTGTGAGTCAAGTGCTCGAACACTGGTGTGTGTAAGGAGCATGTTGCAATCAGCAACATCAACATGTTTCCTGAATGTGGATATGGGAGGGGAAACTGAAAGGCTAGGAAAGGCTGTTACTGCCCACACTCTGGGGTGGGAGAGAGGCAGCGACGACTCCAGCTCTTCTCCCATCTGTGGACTGCAGAACCCAAGACGGACTCTGGGAGGGCTAAGGAGCCATCATGATCCCTAAGCTGCTTTCCCTCCTCTGTTTCAGTAAGTCTCACAGGGCTATCCACTGGGACTGCAGAAAATCATGGAACTGGTGGGATAGTTGGGCTGGGGATGGAAATAATAACATCAACTTTGGCTTACTGAGCACACGGGAGGAGTGAGACGTCCTGCTGAGTGCAGTGCAGACATTCCCTGGAAACGAGTGCTCTGCAAACTTCAACTCCTGTAGTTTCAACTTCGTGAGTTTTGCTGAATGCCTCCACCACCTGGCTTCATTGGCTTACCCCTTTTCTCAGGATCAACTCTGACTTTTTGTGTGTAAGTAAAAGTATTCAGAATAGAAACCTTATTTTATTTTATTTTATTTTATTTTTTTGAGACAGAGTTTTGCTCTTGTTGCCCAGGCTGTAGTGCAATGGCATGATCTCGGCTCACCACAACCTCTGCCTCCCGGGTTCAAGCGATTCTCCTGCTTCAGCCTCCTGAGTAACTGGATTACAGGGGTGCGCCACCATGCCTGGTTAATTTTTGTATTTTTAGTAGAGACAGTGTTTCACCATGTTGGCCAGGCTGGTCTCGAACTCCCGACCTCAGGTGATCTGCCCACCTCAGTCTCTCAAAGTGCTGGGATTACAGATGTGAGCCACTGTGCCTGGCCCAGAAACCTTAATACCATAAATAAAAATTTAGTGTCAAATAGATAACTATAAAGTAAATTGAGGCCGCTGTGTAACCATCACCACTATCTACACTAAAACCTCTTTCTTTCTTCCTTCCTTCCTTCCTTTCTTTCTTTTTCTCCTTCCCTTCCTTCCTTCCTTCCTTCCTTCCTTCCTTCCTCCCTTCCTTCCTCTCTCTCTCTTTCTTTCTTTTTTTTTTTTTTGAGATGGAGTCTCGCTCTGTCGCCCAGGCTGGAGTGCAGTGGTGCGATCTCTGCTCACTGCAAGCTCCGCCTCCCGG
The DNA here is from genome assembly GCF_000001405.40 of Homo sapiens. Taxonomy (NCBI): domain Eukaryota; kingdom Metazoa; phylum Chordata; class Mammalia; order Primates; family Hominidae; genus Homo; species Homo sapiens. The sequence goes on along the minus strand of NT_187693.1, from coordinate 54,770 downwards.
GTTCACGCCATTCTCCTGCCTCAGCCTCCCGAGTAGCTGGGACTACAGGCGCCCGCCACCATGCCCGGCTTTTTTCGTAGGTTTCACTGTGTTAGCCAGGATGGTCTCCATCTCCTGACTTCTTGATCTGCCCGCCTCGGCCTCCCAAAGTGCTGGGATTACAGGCGTGAGCCCCCGCTTGCTTGCCTGCTTGCTTGCTTGCTTGCTTTCTTTCTTTCTTTCTTTCTTTCTTTCTTTCTTTCTTTCTTTCTTTCTTTCTTTCTTTCTTTCTTTCTTCCTTCCTTCCTTTCTTTCTTTCTCTTTCTCCTTCATTCCTTCCTTCCTCTCTCTCTTTCCCTTCCTTCCTTCCTTCCTTACTTCCTTCCTTCCTTCCCTCCTTTTCCTTTTTTTGAGACAAAGTCTCACTCTGTACCCAGGCTGGAGTGCAGTGGTATGACCACAGCTCACTGCAGCCTCCACCTCCTGGGCTCAAGCAATTCTCCTGCCTCAGCCTCCTGGGTAGCTGAGATTACAGGTGCCCACCACACACCCGGCTGATTTTTTGTACTTTTTAGTAGAGACGGGGTTTCATCATGTTGGCCAGGCTGGTCTTGAGCTCCCTCAGGTGATCACCTCAGGTGATCTGCCCGCCTCAGCCTCAGCCTCCCAAAGTGCTGGGATTACAGGCGTGAGCCACAGTGCCCCGTGTAATTTTTAAATTTTTTGTAGAGACGGGATCTCACTATGTTACTCAGGCTGGTCTCAAACTCCTGGCCTCAAGCAGCCCTTCTGCCTTGGCCTCCCAAAGTGCTGGGATTACAGGCGTGAGCCACTGTGGTGGCTCTGCCACCTTTTTCTCCCATCCTGGCCCTCAGCAGAATACCCACCTCCATTAGGAAGGCCAACCTGCCCGACTCAGCATTAGATTCAAATGCTGATCTTTCTAAAAACACCCTCACAGACACGCCCAGAAATAATGTTTAACCAGATATCCCAGCATCCTGTGGCCTGGTCTAGCTGATAAATCAAATTAACAATCACAATTCCCAATATGAACGCTACACCCTCTAACCAATAACTCTGTATTTGCCGCGGTCCTCCCAGCCCCTGGTAACCTCCATTCTAATTTCTTTTTTTTTTTTTTTTTTTCGGAGATGGAGTCTTGCTTCGTCACCCAGGCTGGAGTACAGTGGCCTAATCTCAGCTCACTGCAACCTCCGCCTCCTGGGTTCAAGCGATTCTCCTGCCTCTCCCTCCCGAGTAGCTGGGATCACTGGCGCTCACCACCATGCCTGGCTAAGTTTTTTTTTTTTTTTTTTTTAGTAGAGACAAGGTTTCACCATGTTGACCAGGCTGGTCTCGATCTCCTGACTTTGTGATCTGCCTGTCTCGGCCTCCCAAAGTGCTGGGATTACAGGCGTGAGCCACCGTGTCCAGCCCATTCTAATTTTTATCTCTATGAATTTGCTTATTCTAGGATGTATGAGTGGAATCATAACACTTGTTCTTTTTTGCCTGACTTAGTTTACTCAGCATAATATCCTCGAGCTACATCTATATTGTAGGATATGTCAGATTTCCTTTCCTTTTTATGGCTAAAATCCCACTGTAGGCCGAGCACAGTGTCTCACACCTGTAATCCCAGCACTTTGAGAGTCTGAGGCAGGCAGATCGCTTGAGCCCAGGAGTTCGAGACTAGCCTGGGCAACATGGTGAAACCCTGTCTCTACAAAAAATACAAAAATGAGGCTGGGCATGGTGGCTCACGCCTGTAATCCCAGCACTTTTTTTGCAATGACCTGACGTAAGGAGTTCGAGAACAGCCTGGCCAATAGGGTGAAACCCCATTTCTACTAAAAATATAAAAATTAGCCATGCGTGGTGGCGGGCGCCTGTAATCCCAGCTACTTGGGAGGCTGAGGCAAGAGAATCGCTTGAACCCAGGAGTCAGAGGTTGCAGTGAGCCGAGATCATGCCATTGCACTCCAGTCTGGGCAACAAGAGCGAAACTCCATCTCAAAATAAATAAATAAATATTAAAAACAACAACAACAACAAAAATGAGCTGGGCATGGTGGTGTGCAGCTGTAGTCCCAGCTACTCGGGAGGCAGAGGTGGGAGGATCACCTGAGCCCAGGGAGTTGATGCTGGAATGAACTAGGATCACATCATTGCACTCCAGCCTGGGCAGCAGAGCGAGACCCTGCCTCAAAAAAAAAAAAAAAAAAAAAAGAAAGAAAGAAAAGAAAAAGAAAAAAGCATTTTGGAGGCTAAGATGGGCGGATCACCTGAGGTGGGGAGTTCAAGACCAGCCTGACCAACATGGTGAAACCCTGTCTCTACTAAAAAATACAAAATTAGCTGGGCATGGTGGTGCATGCCTGTAATCCCAGCTACTTGGGAGGCTGAGGCAGGAGAATCACTTGAACCCACAAGGCGGAGGTTGCAGTGAGCTGTAATCCCAGCTACTTGGGAGGCTGAGGCAGGAGAATCACTTGAACCTGCAAGGCGGAGGTTGCAGTGAGCTGTAATCCCAGCTACTTGGGAGGCTGAGGCAGGAGAATCACTTGAACCCGCGAGGCGGAGGTTGCAGTGAGCCGAGATCGCGCCATTGCACTCCAGCCTGGGCAACAAGAATGAAACTATGTCTCAAAAAAAAAAAAAAAAAAAACGAAGAAAAAGAAGAAAAATCCCATTGAATATATAGAGCACACTGTGTTTATCCATTCTTCCATGGATGGACACTTACGTTGTTTGAACATTTTGGGTGTTCACAATTTCCTTTTGCAAAACTTGAAGTGTCAGTTTATGGATTGGCTCATGGATGTAATAGTAGCACAAACGCCTGGTAACTTCTCCTTTTTCCTGCTGAGACCTAAAACTGTTCACACAGGGGAAAAAGAGGAAATCTCTCAGAGACACAGGCCTAACTAACTTTCTTTGAGTTAGATCAATCTCATTATTATGATAATGTTCATAAACAGGCTTGATATTATGTTTTTTCTTTTCTTTCTCTTTTTTTTTTCTTTCCTGAAACTGAGTCTCGCGCTGTGGCCAGGCTGGAGTGCAGTGGTGCGATCTCAGCTCATTGCAAACTCTGCCTCCTGGGTTCAAGCGATTCTCTGCCTCAGCCTCCTGAGTAGCTGGGATCACAGGCGCCCATCACCACACCTGGCTAATTTTTGTATTTTTAGTATAGACGGGGTTTCACCATGTTGGCCAGGCTGGTCTTCAACTCCTGACCTCGTGATCCACCTGCCTCGGCCTCCCAAAGTGCTGGGATTACAGGCGGGAGCCACCGCGCCCGGCATGGTCAAGAGTTCTTAACCAGCCCAGCCCTGTCTCTATCAAAAAAAATTAAAAAGGAGGAAGAGCAAATGCAGCCATGTGTGAAACAGGGAGGAACGTATGCTTTCCCCTTTCTGGAATGACCATTTGGATGTTTTGAGGCTTGTTACAGGACACCAAACAATAAATTTTGTCCTGTTTGGAGTCATGAAGGGATTAAAAGAGATCATGAGCCTGGGCAACATAGGGAGACTCTGTCTCTGGGAAAGACTAAAAAATTAGCCGGGTGTGGTGGTGCACACCTGTGATCCCAGCTACTCGGGAGGCTGAGGTGGGAGGATCACTTGAGCCTGGGAGGCTACAGTGAGCCATGATGGAGCCACTGCACTCCAACCTGGGCAACAGAGAGAGACCCTGTCTCAAAACACAATAATAAAATGAAAAATTAAAAAATAAAAAGAAGCTGGGCACAAAGCTCATGCCTGTAATCCCGGCACTTTGGGAGGCCGAGGTGGGTGGATCACCTGAGGTCAGGAGTTCGAGACCAGCCTGGCCAATATGGTGAAACCCTGTCTCTACTAATAATACAAAACTCAGCCGGGCGTCCTGGCGCATGCCTGTGATCCCAGCTATTTGGGAGGCTGAGGCAGGAGAATCACTTGAACCCGGGAGGCGGAGGTTGCAGTGAGCCGAGATTGCGTCACTCTACTCCAGCCTGGGCGACAGAGCGCAACTCTGTCTCTGGAATGAATGAAAGAAAGAAAGAATGAATGAAAGAAAGAAAGAATGAATGAAAGAAAGAAAGAAAGAAAAAGAAAGAAAGAGCGAGACTCTGTCTCTGGAATGAATGAAAGAAAGAATGAATGAAAGAAAGAAAAAAGAAAGAAAGAAAGGAAAGAAAAAGAAAGAAAGAAAGAAATGGTAAGAATGAGTGCTGTTTTCAAACAGAAGATGAGAATGGAAGGATTTGTGGGAAAGGCCTGGAGCAGGGGGAGGTGACAGCCACACAGGATGGTCAAGGAGAATCGCTGGGAAAGGATGGAGGAGCTGGAAGTCGAGCAGAAGCCACAGTCCAGTGTGGGGAGAATGAGAACTCCTGAGCGTATGACCTCTAAGGGTCTGTTCTCAGCAGGAGACTCTGGGACGATCTCCAGGGGTCAGGGCAGGGGGTGACGTGGCTCCAGGTAGGGGCTTCTGGCTCACGGAGGATTGTCTTGCAGGACTGTGCGTGGGCCAAGGAGACACAAGGGGAGATGGTGAGTGTTTCTTCAACTACACCCTCCTTGGCCTGTCATCCCAAATCCCCTGCTGTTCTCTTCCCCTTCCCCCTCTTTTTCTCTTTTTTTTTTGACGGAGTCTCACTCTTTCGCCAGGCTGGAGTGCGGTGGTGCAATCTCGGCTTACAGCAACCTCCGCCTCCTGGGCTCAAGTGATTCTCCTGTCTCAGCCTCCCAAGTAGCTGGGACTACGGGTGCTTGCCACCACGCCCAGCTAATTTTTGTATTTTTAGTAGAGACGGAGTTTCACCATGTTGGCCAGGATGGTCTCGATCTCATGACCTCGTGATCTGCCTGCCTTGGCCTCCCAAGGTGCTGGGATTACAGGCGTGAGCCACCGCACCCAGCCCGCTTCCCTTCTTAAAATGGGATTCCTGATTGGGCTCAGGGGTTCACGCCTGTAATCCCAGCACTTTGGGAGGCCAAGGTGGGTGGATCACCTGAGGTCAGGAGTTCGAGACCAGCCTGGCCAACATGGTGAAACCTTGTCTCTACTAAAATACAAAATTAGCTGGGTGTGGTGGTGCGTGCCTGTAATCCCACCTACTTGGGAGGCTGAGGCAGGAGAATTGCTTTAACCCAGGAGACGGAGGTTGCAGTGAACTGAGATTGCACCACTGCACTCTAGCCTGGGCAACAGAGGGAGACTCCATCTCAAAATAATAATAATAATAATAAATTTTAAAAAGGGCTTCCTGAGAGCAGGGGAGGGCATCGGGTCCAGCATCAGGCTCTGCTTCCTTCCAGGGTCACTGCCCAAGCCGTCCCTCAGTGCCTGGCCCAGCTCGGTGGTCCCTGCCAACAGCAATGTGACGCTGCGATGTTGGACTCCTGCCAGAGGTGTGAGCTTTGTTCTCAGGAAGGGAGGAATTATTCTGGAGTCCCCGAAGCCCCTTGATTCTACAGAGGGCGCGGCCGAATTTCACCTCAATAATCTAAAAGTCAGAAATGCTGGAGAGTACACCTGTGAATACTACAGAAAAGCATCCCCCCACATCCTTTCACAGCGCAGTGACGTCCTTCTACTGTTGGTGACAGGTACAGACAGGGTGCCTGCCAATGACATACGGGGGACAGGGGATGAGGGAGGAAGTGGAGGAACAGAGGGAGAAAAGGGGTCCCACCTTCAGAGTAGTTGGGGGTGATGGGAGAGGGAGAGAGACAGGAACGAAATTGCATATGTTGGTTTTATACTTTGTCGCCCAGGCCAGAGTGCAGTGGTGCCATCTCGGCTCACTGCAACTTCCGCCTCCTGGGCTCAAGTGATTCTCCTGCTCCAGCCTCCTGAGCAGCTGGGATTACAGGTGCCTGCCACCATGCCCGGCTAATTTTTGTATTTTTAGTAGAGACAGGGTTTCGCCATGTTGGGCAGGCTGGTCTCGAACTCCTGACCTCAGGTGATCCACCCGCCTTGGCCTCCCAAAGTGCTGGGATTACAGGTGTGAGCCACCATGCCAGGCCTTACACAGGTCTTGTAGGAGGGAGAATCTCTGTCCTGGGGTCGGAGTAGGAAGTGGAGGAAGGTAGAAGAGATCAGGAATCTCTCATTTCCCACACTCCACGAGAGCCTCCGGCCAGGAGAACAGGGGTGAGTGGGGGATTCCAGACTTCTCCCCAGGACCTCAGAACCTGACTTCTCTTACAGGACATTTATCTAAACCTTTCCTCCGAACCTACCAAAGGGGTACAGTGACCGCAGGTGGAAGGGTGACTCTGCAGTGCCAGAAGCGAGACCAATTGTTTGTGCCTATCATGTTCGCTCTACTGAAGGCAGGGACGCCATCACCCATCCAGCTGCAGAGTCCAGCGGGGAAGGAGATAGACTTCTCTCTGGTGGACGTGACAGCCGGCGATGCTGGGAACTACAGCTGCATGTACTACCAGACAAAGTCTCCCTTCTGGGCCTCAGAACCCAGTGATCAGCTTGAGATATTGGTGACAGGTAAGGGCGTGTATGGTTTTGAGGAACTGTGTGTGTTGTTTTTAATCAGAGATTGTTTTGTTCTTCTGTGAATCTCATTTCTTCATTACTTACAATATCATCGCTCTTAACAAAATCTTCCCTTTCTGGCCTGGCGTGGTGGCTCATGCCTGTCATCCCAGCACTTTGGGAGGCCGAGGTGGATGGATCATCTGAGGTCAAGGATTTGAGACCAGCCTGGCCAACATAGTGAAACCCCGTCTCTACTAAAAATAAAAAATTAGCCAGGTATGATGGCATGCACCTGTAGACCCAGCTACTTGGGAGGCTGAGGCAGGAGAATTGCTTGAACATGGGAGGCGGAGGTTGCAGTGAGCCAAGATCTTGCCACTGCACTCCAGCCTGGGCAATAGAGTGAGACTCTGTCTCAAAAACAAAAAACAAAAAACAAAAACAAAAACAACAAAACAACAAAAAAACCTCCCTTTCACAATTTCCACTCCTTTGCCTTTTTTTTTTTTTTTTTTTTTTGAAATGGAGTCTCACTCTGTTGCCAGGATGGAGTGCAATGGCGCGATCTTCGCTCACTGCAACCTCCACCTTCCAGGTTCAAGTGATTCTCCTGCCTCAGCCTCCCAAGTAGCTAGGATTACAGGCCTGCACCACCCATCCGGCTAATTTTTCTATTTTTAGTAGCGATGAAGGTTTCACCGTGTTGACCAGGCTGGTCTTGAACTCCTGACCTCAGGTGATCTGCCTGCCTCGGCCTCCCAAAGTGCTGGGATTACAGGTGTGAGCCACCGTGCCCGGCCCTCCTTTGCCTTTTTGTTATACTACATCCTTGGAAAATTTCTAGGCTGTTTTTGAAAATTATGAATCTACCAGCACCAGATTCCTTCTACCAGTCTTTGCATCTCTTAGCGTTTTGGTTTTTTGTTTTGTTTTGTTTCATTTTGTTTTTGAGACAGAGTCTCGCTCTGTTGCCCAGGGTGGAGTGCAGTGGTGCGATCTCAGCTCACTGCAACCTCTGCCTCCCGAGTTTAAGCAATTCTCCTGCCTCAGCCACTTGAGTAGCTGGGATTACATGTGCCCACCACCACGCCTGGCTAATTTTTGTATTTTTAGTAGAGATGGGGTTCTGACCATGTTGACCAGGCTGGTCTTGAACCCCTGGCCTCAGGTGATCCACTCACCTCGGCCTCCCAAAGGGCTGGGATTGCAGGTGTGAACCACTGTGCATGGCGTGTTTTGGTTTTTCTTGGTGTTAGTGATTTCACTCTCAATAATTCTTTCTCAGTCATGTGCGGTGGCTCAGGCCTGTAATCCCAGCACTTTGGGAGGCTGAGGCTGGAGAATTGCTTGAGCCCAGGAGTTTGAGACCAGCCTGGGCAACATAGTGAGACCCAGTTTCAAATTAAAAAAAAAAATTATCTCATCCTCAGAACATGGTGTTTGCACAGCCTCCTGCTTCTATGCCGTGGATGCGAAGTCTACCCATGTCTTTTATTGACTGCTAGAATTCTTCTGAAAGTATCTTGTTTCCTGCCTTACTGGGTGCTAGCACTCTGCTTCCTCAGCTCTGTAAATTATTTTTCATCTATTGTAACTGCTGTAATGAGTTACATTACAGCTCTTGCCGGGTGCCTGGATGAAGCCCATTCATCAAGACAGAGGAATTGCAAAAAAGAGTTTAATACACATTGAGCCAGGTAAGTGGGAGACCAGAGTTTTTTTGTTTGTTTGTTTGTTTGAGACGGAGTCTTGCTCTGTCGCCCAGGCTGGAGTGCAGTGGCGCGATCTCGGCTCAATGAAACCTCTGCCTCCCAGGTTCAAACGATTCTTCTGCCTCAGCCTCCCGAGTAGCTGGGACTATATGTGTGCCACCCTGCCTGGCTAATTTTTGTATTTTTAGTAGAGATGGGGTTTTACCATATTGGCCAGGCTGGTCTCGAACTCCTGACCTCGTGATCTGCCCGCTTGGGCCTCCCAAAGTGCTGGGATTACAGGCATGAGCCACTGCACCTGGCCAATCAGAGTTTTATTATTACTCAAATCAGCCTCCCTGAAAATCTGGAGGCTAGGGTTTTGTTTGTTTGTTTGTTTTCTTTGAGATGGAGTCTCACTCTGTCGCCCAAGCTGGAGTGTAGTGGCACAATCTGAGCTCACTGCAGCCTCCACCCCCCAACCCCAGGCCCAGGTCAAGTAATTCTCCTGCCTCAGCCTCCTGAGTAGCTGGGATTACAGGCACCCGCCACCACACCCGGCTAATTTTTTTGTATTTTTAGTAGACATGGGGTTTCGCCATGTTGCCCAGGCTGCTCTCAAACTCCTGGCCTCAAGCAATCCTCCTACCTTAGCCTCCCACAGTGCTGGGATTACAGGCGTGAGCTACTGTGCCCGGCCTCAACTCAAACTTTCTCAGGTGCACTGCTGCACAGCAGTGTGGGCTGCGAGGATGCTGATCCAGCCACGGAATTCGGGGCTCTGTAGAGCTCCTTCCGTCTCATGTGCTGCCCCAAGACTATTCCTTAACATAAGGATGCGGGAGGAGAAAAGGCAATGTGGGAAGGTGGAAATGGGATAAAGAGCAAATAAACGAAGGAAGAGAGCTAAGGTGGAGTGAATATCAAGGAAGGAAGATAAAGGAACTCCCATTACAACTCATTAGGATTGCATATCTTGGCCGGGCGCGGTGGCTCAGGCCTGTAATCCCAGCACCTTGGGAGGCCGAGGCAGGCGAATCACTTGAGGCCAGGAGTTCGAAACCAGTTTGGCCAACATGGCGAAAACCCATCTCTATTAAAAATACAAAAATTAGCCGGGTGTGGTGGTAGGTGCCTGTAATCCTAGCTATTCGGGAGGCTGAGGCAGGAGAATCGCTTGAACCCAGGAGGTGGAGGTTGCAGTGAACCGAGACTGCGTCGCTGCACTCCAGCCTGAGCAACAGAGTGAGACGTCGTCTCAAAAACAACAACAAAGATTCCATCTTTTGTTTTCAGGGATTAAAACTTTAAAGAGCTCAATTATGGCCAGGCATGGTGGTTTATGCCTATAATCCCAACACTTTGGGAGGCCAAGGCGGGTGGATCACCTGAGGTCAGGAGTTCGAGACCAGCCTGACCAACATGGAGAAACCCCGTCTCTACTAAAAATACAAAATTAGCCGGGTGTGGTGGCACATGCTCATAATCTCAGCTGCTTGGGAGGCTGAGACAGGAGAATCACTTGAACCCGGGAGGCAGAGGTTGTAGTGAGCTGAGATTGTGCCATTACACTCCAGTCTGGGCAACAAGAGCAAAACTTGATCTCAAGAAAAAAAAAAAGTTCAATTAAAACTTTAAAGTACAGTGGACTACTGGCTAGAAAACATTAAGTGGGTGGCCGGGCGCGGTGGCTCACACCTGTAATCCCAGCACTTTGGGAGGCTGAGGTGGGCGGGTCACCTGAGGTCGGGAGTTCAAGACCAGCCTGGCCAACATGGCGAAACCCCGTCTCTACTAAAAATATAAAATTAGCCGGGCATGGTGGCACATGCCTGTAATCCCAGCTACTTGGGAGGCTGAGGCAGGGAGGCTTGAACCTGGGAGGCAGAGGTTGTGGTGAGCTGAGATTACACCACTGCACTCCAGCCTGGTCAACAAGAGTAAAACTCCGTCTCAAAAAAAAAAACCAAAAAACCGAAAACATTAAGTGGGTGATGATAGTCAGATTTGGTGGGGCCATTTGAGAAGGAGGGATACCCTCTGAGGGTCAGTGCTGAGCCCCTTCTCTCTTTCAGTTCCCCCAGGTACCACATCGAGCAACTACTCCCTGGGTAACTTCGTACGACTGGGTCTGGCTGCCGTAATTGTGGTTATCATGGGAGCTTTCCTGGTGGAGGCCTGGTACAGCCGGAATGTGTCTCCAGGTGAATCAGAGGCCTTCAAACCAGAGTGACTCCATCTTGAACCGGGGCTGGGTAAACTGAGGCTGCAACCTGCTGGACTGCATTCCCAGGGGGTTGAGGCTTTCTAAGTCACAGGATGAGACAGGTCACAACATACAGGTCACAAAGACCCAAAGACACAAAGATGCAACAAAGAAGCCAGCCAAAACCTGCCAAATCCAAGATGGCAACAAAAGTGACTTCTGGTCGTCCTCACTGCACATTATTTGCTAATTATAATGCATTTGCATGCTAAAAGACACTCCCACCGCCACCAAGACAGCTTACAGATGCCATGGCAACTTCCAGAAGCTAAACGAGGGAGGGACTCTCAGTTCCAGGGAAATCCCCTCCCCTTTCCTGGAAAACTCATGAACAGTCCACCCCTTGTTTAGCATACGATCAAGAAATAACCACAAAAATAGCCGACTGACAGCCCTCTGGACTGCTCTGCCTATGGAGCAGCCATATTCCTTGACTTTCTTAATAAACTTGCCTTCACTTTACTCTGTGTACTCACCCTGAGTTCTTACTTGTGTGAGATCCGAGAACCCTCTCTTGGGGTCTGGACTGGGACCCCTTTCCAGTAACAGATCCAAGTTAAAACACGGATCCCCTCTCTCTTTCATGGGCTGCTGTAGAGATATGGAATTCTCTTCTGCTCCAGATTTATTGAGATCTAATCGACAAATAAAAATGGAGTTATATTTGTGTACAACGTGATGTTTTGATATATTCCATTTTGATTTATCAATTATACCCCCATAAGCCTACGGGTGGGGAACCCTCCTACTAAGTAATTTATTGTGTACCAAGGAAGAAATTTCACTGATTGTGACATGAGTATCACAATGTAGCTAACGAACCTTTCTGTTTAAGATCCACCTTCTGGGAACCTCCCTACTAAATAATTAATTGTGTACCAAAGAAGAAATTTCACTAATTGTGACATGATTATCACAATGTAGCTAATGGACTTTTCTGTTTAAGATCCACCTTCTGGGAACTTTCCTACTAACTAAGTAATTAATTGTGTGCCGAGGAAGAAATTTCACTCATTGTGACAATGGTTATCTCAATCTAGCTTATGGACCTTTCTGTTTAAGATCCACCTTCTTAGCAAATTGTAATTACCCAGTGCAGCCTTGTGAACTGTAGCCGCCCTGCTGTGCATTCAATCCATATGGGGTTCTTTAAACATCAGACTCTACCATGGGGACTTCACACGTTTCTCCACATGGGCACAAATGGTATTTTTTGTTTTTTTGTTTGTTTGTTTGTTTTGAGACAGAGTCTCGCTTTGTCGCCCAGGCCAGAGTGCAGTGGTGCGATCTCGGCTCATTGCAACCTCCGCCTGCCAGGTTCAAGTGATTCTCCTGCCTCAGCCTCCCAAGTGGCTGCAACTACAGGCACCTGCCACCATCTGGCTAATTTTTTTGTATTTTTAGGAGAGACGGGGTTTCGCCACATTGGTCAGGCTGGTCTCGAACTCCTGGCCTCAAGTGATCCACCTGCCTCAGCCTCCCAAAGTGCTGGGATTACAGGTGTGCACCACCGGGCATGGCCACAAATGGTGTTTAAAGTGCAATAGTCCTTCACCATGTGAGACTGTCTTGTCCATTATAGGAACACGTAACTCGACATTGCTAATACTTCCTTTCCCATTGAACACCTGTTGGAGACCTAATTATTGTGAAACAACAACAACAAAAAAGCCACTACTCTCATACCTTTCAAATATCCCTGGATGGGGCGATGGGAAGTGAGGGTGGTGCTCCCCCTGGTTGAAAAGCTGTGTTTGGATGCCGGGAGAAAACAATCTTCCTCCTCTTCCTTCCCCTCTAAGCTCAGCTCTGTTCTTCTCTAGCCATAGATCCCACAGCTGCCCAGGGAATGATGGGTTGGACCAGCTGAGCCTTAACCGCTTTCTGTGGAACCTGCACTCTCAGCTCTGTTGGGATCTGCTGTAGGGCAGGATGGTGGCTTTCTTCTTCCTGTACTTTTCACTGGGGACAGAGGACAGAATTGGGCACAATGAGCCACGTAATACTTTTTTTTTTTTTCTTTGAGACGGAGTCTCGCTCTGTCACCCAGGCTGCAGTGCAATGGCAAGATCTCGGCTCACTGCAACCTCCACCTCCTGGGTTTAAGCGATTCTCCTGCCTTAGCCTCCCAAGTCGCTGGGATTACAGGCGCCTGCCACCATGCCCAGCTAATTTTTGTACTTTTAGTAGAGATGGGGTTTCACCCATGTTGGCCAGGCTGGTCTTGAACACCTGAGCTCAAGTGATCAGCCCACCTCGGCCTCCCAAAGTGCTGGGATTGCAGGCTTGAGTCACCGTGCCCAGCCCTTAATACATTTTTGATAACTTGAATCAATACTTAAAACTTCAGAGTCAGATTGAGTAGTAGGTGACTCTCACCTGCGGGGAACTCTTCCTCCACACGAAGGGAAAAACATTGCTTCCTGTGTAATATTTATTAATACTTCCTCTCCGTTCTTTCTATTTTGTGCTTCTGGACCAGCATTTAGTCCAATATTGGGATATACATATTTATTTATTTATTATATTTATTTATTTTGAGACAGGGTCTCACTCTGTCGCCCAGGCTGGAGTGTAGTGGCTAGATCACGGCTCACTGCAGCCTCGACCTCCCAGGCTAAAGTAATCCTCCCATCTCAGCCTTCTGAGTAGCTGGGACCACAGGTGTGTGCCATCATGCCGGACTAAATTTTGTATTTTTTGTAGAAGCCGGGTTCCACCATATGGCCCAACTTGGTCTCGAACTCTTGGACTCAAGTGATCCTCTCATCTTGGCCTCCCAAAGTGCCAGGACTACAGGCGTTAGCCACTGTGCTTGGTCATATGTATTTATAATACATTCTTTCTTTCTTTTTTTTTGGAGAGGGAGTCTCACTCTGTCACCCAGGCTGGAGTGCAGTGGCGTAATTTCAGCTCACTGCAACCTCCCTCTCAGGTTCAAGTGACTCTCCTGCCTCAGCCTCTCAAGTAGCTGGGATTACAGGCGCCCACCACCATGCCTGGCTAATTTTTGTGTGTTAGTAGAGACGGGGTTTCACCATGTTGGCGAGGCTGGTCTCGAACTCCTGACCTCAAGTGATCTGCCCACCTTGGCTTCCCAAAGTGCTGGGATTACAGGCATGAGCCACCACGCCCAGCCTGTATTTATAATACATTTCTTTTACATTTTATTTTATATGTTTCCAACATTTTACCCAGTTTGGCAGGAATTCCATTCTATCCATGGCATCCATTTGCTTGTAATTGGTAGCCAGTCTTACTGGTGCAGATGTAAAATGTCAACAGTTGCCAGGTGCTGTGGCTCATGCCTATAATCCCAGCACTCTGGGAGGCCGAGGTGGGCGGATCACAAGGTCAAGAGATCGAGACCATCCTGGCCAATATGGTGAAACCCCATCTCTACTAAAAATACAAAAATTAGCTGGGCGTGGTGGTGCATGCCTGTAATCCCAGCTACTCAGGAGGCTGAGGCAGGAGAATTGCTGGAACCCGGGAGGCAGAGGTTGCAGTGAGCCGAGATCTCACCACTGCACTGCAGCCTGGGCGACAGAGCGAGACTCCGTCTCAAAAAAAAAAAAAAAAAAAAAGTCAACATTTATGTTTTGTTGTTACATTTTGTTTTCAAGATTTGTTGCTGTTTCTTGTTAATAGTCTTATTATTTTTCGTAAATATCATTCTTATTTTATAACTATTGTCTCCTCTGTTATAACTCTGAGGATGTGCTTATCAAAGCAATATTCCTCCTCTTCCTCCACTAACCACAGGTTGGTCCTTCTCTATCCACAGACCACACAGCTGCCAAGGGTAGCATGCGCTAGAGCTGCCGATCCTTAGAGTTTCCTGTGCAGCCAGCATTTCCAGCTGTTTGAGAGCCGCACCAGGACAGGACGATGGCTTTCTTCCCATCCTCCTCACTTAGGACAGGACGGGGTGGGCACAGGGACCCATCCAGCAAGTTATTATTTTTGTAGTTATTAAGATAGAAAGTATAGGCCGGGCATGGTGGCTCACACCTGTAATCCCGCCTCAGCCTCCCAAAGTGCTGGGATTACAGCGGTAAGTCATCATGCCCAGACGATTATTTTTTATTTGTATACGTTTATGGGGTACAAGTGTAACTTTATTGCATGGATAGATTCCAAAATGATGAAGTTAGGGCTTTCAGGTATCCACTAACCCAGTGACACACATTGTATCCATTAGATAATTCTTTTTTTTTGATGGAGTCTTGCTCTGTGACCCAGGCTGGAGTGCAGTGGCGTGATCTCAGCTCACTGCAACCTCCGCCTCCCGGGTTCAAGCGATTCTCCTGCCTCAGCCTCCTGAGTAGCTGGGACTATGGGCGTGTGCCACCACGCCCGGCTAATGTATCCATCATCATAACACACAACCATTTGAATGAATCTCACAGGCATTGTGCTGAGTGAAAAAGGTCACCCTCAGAAGGTGAGGCGATGGACGATTCCATTTATACAAGAGTCTCAAAGTGACAAAGTGATAGAGACGTAGAACAGATTAGCAGGTGCTAGGGTGGGAGAGCGATTATAAAGGGGCAGCATGAGGGAGTTCCTACGTGGTGGTGGGACAGTTCTGTGTCTTGATTGTGGCGGTGGTTCTATAAAGCCATACATACAGGCAATAAAATGTTACAGAACTATACCCATAGGCAAAGAAAAGGGAGGAGGAAAAGAAGGTGGAAGAGGAGGAAGAGCAGGAGAAAAGAAGGAAAAGGAGAAAAGGAAATAGAAATAGAAGGAAGAGGAAGAGAAAAAGAGAAACGAATTATGCACAAACTGGTGAGATCTGAGTGACCTCTGGAACCTGGTTAAACGTGTGATGCCAGTGCAAAGTCTCTGGTTTTGAAAATGTGCCATACGCCGGGCGTGGTGGCTCACGCCTGTAATCCCAGCAGTTTGGGAGGCCGAGGCAGGCGGATCGCCTGAGGTCAGAAGTTCGAGACCAGCCTGGGCAACATGGCAAAACCTCGTTTCTACTAAAAAGAACAAAAAAAATTAGCCAAGAGTGGTGGCGGACACCTGTCATCCCGGCAACTCGGGAGGCTGAGGCAGGAGAATCGCTTGAACCCGGGAGGCAGAGGTTGCAGTGAGCCAAGATTGTGCCACTGCACTCCAGCCTGGCTGACAGAGATTCTGTCTCAAAAAAAAAAAAAAAAAAAAAAAGTACTGTAATTATAAGAGATTACCATTGGCCGGGCACAGTGGCTTATGCCTGTAATCCCAGCACTTTGGGAGGCTGAGGTGGGCGGGTCACTAGAGACCAGGAGTTCAAGACCAGCCTGGCCCACATGGTGAAATCCCATCTCTACAAAAAATTAGCTGGGTGTGGTGGTGCATGCTTGTAATCCCAGCTACTTGGGAGTCTGAGGCAGGAGAATCCTTAAACCCATGAGGCAGAGGTTGCAGTGAGCCGAGATCGCGCCACTGCACTCCAGCCTGGGTGACAGAGCAAGACTCTGTCCCCCCCGCCCCCCAAAAAAAGGTTAACATTGTGGGGAGCTGGCTAGTGGGTACACGGAAGCTATAAAGCTATAGGTATTAATGTTTGTTTGTTTGCTTGTTTGAGACAGTTTCACCGTTGTTGTCCAGGCTGGAGTGCAGTGGCACAATCTTGGCTCACAGCAACCTCCGCCTCCTGGGTTCAAGCCATTCTCCTGTCTCAGCCTCCGGAGTAGCTGGGATTACAGGCATGCGCCACCATGCCTGGCTAATTTTGTATTTTTAGTAGAGACGGGGGTTTCTCCATTTTGGTCAGGCTGGTCTTGAACTCCCGACCTCAGGTGATCCGCCCGCCTCAGCCTCTCAAGGTGCTGGGATTACAGGCGTGAGCCACCGCGTCCGGCCGGTATTAGTGTTTTAAAATAAAAAATTACATTTACAGAAAACTCTTGGCAGAACTTCAGATAAGGTAGGACAGAGCTCGGGCGGGTGGGGCCACACACACCGGATTCATGGGGAAGAAGTTATCATCGACGGCTTCTTGTTTCCTGAGTCGGTTGTGAGAAGGAAACTGCAAGAGTGGGGCAGAGAACCAGAGTGTCAGAGCAAAACCTCCTCTATCTGCACATCCTGGGGACGAACCGGGCAGCCGGAGAGCTGCGGCCGGCCCAGTCCCGCTCCGCCTTTGAAGGGTAAAACCCAAGGCGGGGCCTTGGTTCTGGCAGAAGGGACGCTATGACCGCAGAATTCCTCTCCCTGCTTTGCCTCGGTGAGTCTCCAGGACTGGGACGAATGGGCTTGGGCTGGTGAGAAAAACTCATGTGGGAGTGGCAGTCCAGGTGGAAATGCGGTGTGTGGAAGTAATGACTTCCAGGTGTTGCACACCTGCGGTGGGTGGGTCTGGGCTGTGGGTTCTGTGAGTTCTGCCGCCCACATGCAAGCGAGGAGGAGGCCGCGCTGCAGAGACACGGGGACAGACTCCGCTGGGAAAGGCAGAGCTGCTGTGGGGTCTCCGAGTCTGCAGCCGCTAAATACCGCAGTACTGCCATCATCCTCCGTCGGAATAGAGGAGGGCTGGGCTTAGGGATCTACAGGGTGCAAGGCTGTGGGCAAAAAGACAATTTTCTTCTCTCTCTCTCTTATTTATTTATTTATGTATGTATGCATTTATTTATGAGACAGAGTCTCACTCTGTAGCCCAGGCTGGAGTGCAATGGCGTGATCTGGGCTCACTGCAACCTCCGTCTCCCAGGTTCAAGCGATTCTCCTGCCTCAGCCTCCCGAGTAGGTGGGACTACAGGTGCAGGCCACCACACCCGGCTGACTTTTGTATTTTAAGTAGAGACGGGGTTTCACCATGTTGGTCAGGCTGGTCTCGAGCCCCTGACCTCAGGTGATCCGCCCGCCTCAGCCTCCCAAAGTGCTGGGATTACAGGCGTGAGCCACCACACCTGGCCCCAAGAAGACAATTTTCTGACCAGCTCGATTCTTAGGCTGATTTTAACCATCCTCCAATTGAACCTGATGTATTCAGACAGAGCTCACACTGTGAAACGGATGACCTGGGTTATAATCTCGGCTTTACTACATAGAAACTCTAGGCTTGACCCAGCAGAGCTCCACCTCCCTAAGGCCCCAGTTCCTCCCTGGTGCACGGGGGGTGCGGTGGACATCGACGTGCTTCGTCTGCTTCAGTTCCTTCCTCCTTTTCTGGGTGCAGCCCTTCCTTGTGGGGTAATGCTCGTCTCCTACACACATTTGCACCTTAGATGAGCATTTTTTTTTTTTTTTGACAGAGTCTTGCTTTGTCTCCCAGGCTGGAGTGCAGTGGTGTGATCTCAGCTCACTGCAACCTCCACCTCCTGGGTTCAAGCGATTCTCCTGCCTCCGCCTCCCGAGAAGCTGGGATTATAGGCACACGCCACCACGCCTGGCTAATTTTTTGTGTTTTTAGTAGAGATGGGGTTTCACCATGTTGGCCAGGCTGGTCTCAAACTCCTGAACTCAGGTGATCTACCCACTTCAACCTCCTAAAGTGCTGGGATTACAGGTGTGAGCCACTGCACCCGGCTATTTGTGCCTTAGAGATGACTATCGGGTTCATACCCAAGCCTCCAGCTGCTGAGCACAGTAAGCTGGGCAACCAGGAGACTGACCTCATCCCCCAATGGCTGCCATACCAAAGTACTACAAGCCTGGTGGCTTAAAGGAATTAGAATTGCTTTAAGTTGGGGAGATGAGAAGTCTGAAACCAAGGTGTTTGCAATGTTGATTCCTTCTGAGAACTATGAAGGAGCGTCTGTTTTATGCCCCTCTTCTAGTGATGGCTGACAATTCTTGGCATTTTTTTTTTTTCTTGAGGCGGAGTCTTGCTCTGTCACCCAGGCTAGAGTGCAGTGGCATGATCTTTCTCACTGCAACCTCCACCTCCTGGGTTCAATCAATTCTCCTGCCTTAGCCTCCCAAGTAGCTGGGATTACAAGCATGGACCACCATGCCTGGCTAATTTTTGTATTTTTAGTAGAGACAGGGTTTCACCACGTTGGCCAGGCTGGCCTCGAACTCCTGACCTCAGGTGATCTGCCCGCCTCAGCCTCCCAAACTGTTGAGATTACAGGCGTGAGCCAGCGCTCCCGGCATTCTTTAACTTGTAGATGCATCACTCCAATCGTTGGCTCTGTTTTTTTTTTTCTTTTCTTTAGACAGGGTCTCACTCAGTTGCCCAGGCCGGAGTGCAGTGGTACCACCATAGCTCACTGCAGCCTCAACCTCCTGAGCTCAAGCAGTCCTCCCCGCAGCCTTCTGAGCAGCTAGGACTACAGGTGCACACCACCATGTTGGACTAATTAAAATAATTTCTGTTTTAGAGATGGGATCTTGCTATATTGCCCAGGCTAGTCTCCAACTCCTGGGCTCAAGCAATTCTCCTATCTTGGCATCCCAAAGCACTATGATTGCAGCCTGGCCTCTCTGCCTCTGTCTTCGCATGGCCGTCTTCCTTCTGTGTGTCTCTGTCTCTCTTTTTCTCTTCTTGTAAGTTATATTGGATTAGATACCCAGCCTACTCTAGTATGACCTCATCTTAGTTTAATTAATTACATCTGCAAAGATCAGACAATGCTATTTTCAAATAAGGTCACATTCGCAGGTCCTGGGAGTTACAACTTGAACTTCTCTTTTCAAGAAACACAAATCAGCCAGGTGTGGTGGCTCACGCCTGTAATCTCAGGACTTTGGGAGGCCCAGGCGGGCAGATCTCTTGAGGTCAGGAGTTTGAGACCAGACTGGCCAACATGGTGAAACCCCGTCTCTACTAAAAATACAAAAATTAGCTGGGCATGGTGGCAAGGACCTGTAATCCCAGCTACTCGGGAGGCTGAGGCAGGAAAATCGCTTGAACCTGGGAGGCAGAGGTTGCAGTGAGCTAAGATAGCACCGCTGCCCTCCAGCCTGGGTGACAGAGGGAGACTCCATGTCAAAAAAAAAAAAAAAAAAAGAAAAGAAAAAGAATATGGGAATTGGGCTGGGTGCAGGTAGCTCACACCTGTAATCCCAGCATGTTGGGAGGCCAAGGTGGGAGAATCACTTGAACTCAGGTGTTCGAGACCAGCCTGGGCAACATCGTGAGTCCTCATCTCTACAAAAAAATTTTAAAATCAGCCAGCGTGGTGGTGCATGCCTGTAGTCCCAGTTATTTGGGAGGCTGAGATGGATGGATCACTTGAGCCCAGGAGGTTGAGGCTGCAGTGAGCTGTGACTGCACCCTGGCACTCCAGCCTGGGCCACAGAGTGAGACCCTGTCTCAAAAAGAAAAAAGAATATAGGAATCACTGTTTGAACAGACGATGGGTGGATAGCAGAGATGAGATGACATGAATCTAAAAGCGGGATTTGGGGAGGGTCTCAAAACAGAGCCTGAGTCCTGGGATGCCCTGCCCACCCAGAGGCTGTTTCCTACCTGCCAATCCCAGCTAATCTCGCTGCCAACGCAGCTTCGGTCCATCGTGAGGCCTCCACCTCATTCCTCTGTGGTGAAGCTTGGTGGGGGGTCACGTTCTGTATCGGCACCTGTGTCAACAAGGAACCAATGTCCTGAGACACTGTCGTGGCTCTAGAGAATTTCTACCTAAATTCTACGTAACTTCACCCTGAAACAAGCCCCATGACTGACATCCCATTTTCCACCCAAGTTTAAGACGCTACCTTCCCAGCGGGGAATGTAGAGAACAGAACACAGAAGAGGGAGGGGATAATGTAAGTGGAAACCAAAGCTAAAGTGAGGAGAGTATTTGGGACCAGAAGACACGGGGAAGGGGGAGCAGATTCTCTCTATTGGAATTGAGCAAGAAAACCCTCCTCTCGGCCGGGCGCGGTGGCTGATGCCTGTAATCCCAGCACTTTGGGAGTCCGAGGCGGGTGGATCACGAGGTCAGGAGATCAAGACCATCCTGGCTAACACAGTGAAACCCCGTCTCTACTAAAAATACAAAAAAATTAATTAGCTGGGCTTGGTGGCGGGTGCCTGTAGTCCCAGCTACTCGGGAGGCCGAGGCAGGAGAATGGCGTGAACCCGGGAGGCAGAGCTTGCGGTGAGCCGAGATCGCGCCACTGCACTCCAGCCTGGGTGACAGAGCGAGACTCCATCTCGAAAAATAAAAAAAAAAAAAAAACCCACCACTCTCACTCCACGATAAAATAACCTTTGCATTATTTAAGTGGCAAGGGTAAAACTGCAATCAGGCCGGGCACGGTGGCTCATGCCTGTAATCCCAGCGCTTTGGGAGGCTGAGGCGGGTGGATCACTTGAGCTCAGGAGTTTGAGACCAGCCTGGGCAACATGGTGAAACCCCATCTCTACAACAACAACAACAAAAATTAGCTGGGCACGATGGCACACACCTGTAGTCCCAGCTACTCTGGAGCCTGAGGTACGAGTATCACTTGAACCCAGGGGGTGGAGGAGGTTGCAGTGAGCTGAGACTGCACCACTGCACTCCAGCCTGGGTGACACAGCGAGACTCTGTCTCAAAACAAAACAAAACACTGCAATCACAGAAAATACCAGAAAAAAGCATAGGTGAATGTTGAACAATTTCTAGATGGTGAAAGGATTACTCATGAAAGCAATTCAATACATCAGAAAAGGTTGCTGGGCCGGGGGCAGTGGCTCACGCCTGTAATCCCAGCACTTTGGGAGGCCGAGGCGTGTGGATCACCTGAGGTCAGGAGTTCAAGACCAGCCTGGCCAACATGGTGAGACCCTGTCTCTACTAAAAATGCAAAAATTAGCCAGGTGTGGTGGCGGGTGCCTGTAGTCCCAGCTACTCGGGAGGCTGAGGCAGGAAAATTGCTTGAACCTGGGAGGCGGAGGTTGCAGTGAACTGAGATCATGTCATTGCACTCCAGCCTGTGCAACAGAGCAAGACTACATTTCAAAAAAAAAAAAAAAAAAAGAAAGAAGAAGTTGCTGGAATTTTCTCCATACACGTAGCTTCTGAATGACAAACAATGGAACAAAAGTAAGAGGTAAGTCTGGGGAGATATCTGCCAAAAATATATACATATATGTAATACATATATTTAATATATATATTATATTTATATATGTATTATATGTAATATGTGTACATATACTTAATACATTTATTATATATAATACATATATACATTATATATATATATATATCTCAGACCTATAAAGAGCTAGTCATACGTTCTCTGCTGGATTTGTACTCAAGGACAAGCACATAATTTTTCTCTCATTGAGATTTCTCTTCCAGGGCTGTGTCTGGGCTACGAAGATGAGAAAAAGAATGGTGAGTTTTCTCCTACTTAAACTTTTATTCCTGCATCCCACGCTTCATGACCTTTTCCTTTAATCGTCTGAATTCTAGACTCAAATTAACTCTGAATTGTTTCCAGAGAAACCGCCCAAGCCCTCCCTCCACGCCTGGCCCAGCTCGGTGGTTGAAGCCGAGAGCAATGTGACCCTGAAGTGTCAGGCTCATTCCCAGAATGTGACATTTGTGCTGCGCAAGGTGAACGACTCTGGGTACAAGCAGGAACAGAGCTCGGCAGAAAACGAAGCTGAATTCCCCTTCACGGACCTGAAGCCTAAGGATGCTGGGAGGTACTTTTGTGCCTACAAGACAACAGCCTCCCATGAGTGGTCAGAAAGCAGTGAACACTTGCAGCTGGTGGTCACAGGTGAGAAGGGCAGATGTACTCTTTGATGCACACATTTCTTTGGTTTGGCTTTGCTTTTTTTTTTTTAAGACAGAGTCTTGCTGTGTCTCCCAGGCTGGAGTGCAGTGGCACGATCTCGGCTCACTGCAACTTCTGCCTCCTGGGTTCAAGCAATTCTCCCTCCTCAGCCTCCCGAGTAGCTGGGACTACAGGCGCCCGCCACCACGCCCAGCTAATTGTTTGTGTTTTTAGTAGAGATGGGGTTTCGCCATGTTAGCCAGGATGGTCTCCATCTCCTGACCTTGTGATCCACCTGCCTCCGCCTCCCAAAGTGCTGGGATTACAGGCATGAGCCACCGCGCCCGGCCTAATTTTTGTATTTTTAATAAAGATGAGGTTGTACCATATTGGTGAGGTTGATCTCAAACTCCTGACCTCAAGTGATCCATCTGCCTCGGCCTCCCAAAGGGCTGGGATTATAAACGTGAACCTCCACACCCAGCCTTTTTTTTTTTTTTGAGAGGGAGTCTTGCTCTGTTGCCCAGGCTGGAGTACAGTGGCATGATCTCAGCTCACTGCAACCCCCGCCTCCTGGGTTCATGCAATTCACCTGCCTCAGCCTCCCGAGTAGCTGGAACTACAGGGGTGCGCCACCACACCTGGCTAATTTTTGTATTTTAGTAGAGACAGGGTTTTACCATGTTGGCCAGGCTGATCTCGAACTGCTGACCTCAAGTGATCTGCCCACCTCAGCCTCCCAAAGTGCTGAGATTACAGGAGTGAGCCACTGCGCTCGGCTGCTTTTTTTTTTTTTGACAGAATCTCGCTCTGTCACCCAGGCAGGAGTGCAGTGGCATGAACACAATTCACTGCAGCCTCGACCTCCCAGGCTCAAGCGATTTTCCCACATCAGCCTCCCAAGTAGCTGGGAGTACAGGCAAGCACCACCATGCCTGGCTAATTTTTAAATTACTTGTTGAGACAGGATCTATGTTGCCCAGGCTGGTCTTGAACTCCTGAGCTCAGGTGATCCTCCTGCCTTGGCCTCCCAAAGTGCTGGGATTACAGGCGTGAGTCACCAAAGCCTGCCTGATGCACGTATTTCTTTTCCTGTCGTGGGACATGGCTGGGGAAGAAGGAATCTAGGAGACAAAAAGATAGATGCAGGCCAGGCACGGCGCGGTGGCTCATGCCTGTAATCCCAGCACTTTGGGAGGCAGAGGTGGGCAGATCACTTGAGGTCGGGAGTTCGAGACCAGCCTGGCCAACATGGTGAAACCTCACCTCTACTTAAAATACAAAAATTAGCTGGGCGTGGTGGCAGGCGCCTGTAATCCCAGCTACTAGGGAGGCTGAGGCAGGAAGAGAATCTCTTGAGCCCAGAAGGCAGAGGTTGTAATGAGCTGAGATTGTGCCACTGCACTGCAGCCTGGATGAAAGAGCAAGACTCCGTCTAAAAAAAAAAAAGAAGAAGAAGGATAGATGCAACACCTTCAATGTGGAAATGGGAACCGAATGTGGAGCAAGATTCTCATCAGAGATTCTGAGAGGGTCCCAATGATGTGGATGTGGGAGGGTGGTGTAGAATATGGTCAGTTAATAGAAAATTGGGGTATGGTAAGACTGACAGACCAAGTGATGATTGCCATGGAAAAGATGGTCTGTTACAGTTCCCAAGAGGAGGAGGAAGGCTATACTGGGGGGAGTATGTGGGGAAGCACCAGGGTCAATGAGGGGCAGAGGGAGGAGGAAGAACTGTGGACCAGAGCTTTGATTGTATTTTGTGGGGAGAACAAGATTAGAGTTGGCCAGGTGTGGTGGTTCATGCCTGTAATCCTAGCACTTTGGGAGGCCTAGGAGGGTGGATCACCTGAGGTCAGGAGTTTGACATCAGCCTGGGTAACATGGCGAAACTCCATCTCTACAAAAATACAATAATTACCTGGGTGTGGTGGTGTGCACCTGTGCTTTCAGCTACTCGGGAGGCTGAGGCACGAGAATTGCTTGAACCCCAGAGGCAGAGGCTGCGGTGAGCCAAGATCGTGCCACTGCACTCAAGCCTGGGTGATAGAATGAGAACCTGTCTCAAAAAAAAAAAAAAAAAAAAAAAAAGAAAAGAAAAGAAAAGAAAGAAAGAAAAGAAAAACAAAAAAAGAATTGGCTTTGGGGTGTAGAGGCTGTCCCTGGTTGTCTAGTTCTTGGACCTGGGGTGATTAGGAGAGGACAACATTGACCTTGAGTGTGAGAGCCCCATAATTAAGGTGGTTGAGAGTATGGGCTCTGGATCTATTGGCTTGCATTTGAGGGACATCCTTGAGGACAAGTTGTTTACTGGCTCTAGAAATTAACTAACCCTGCGAGGGGAGGTCCCACCAAGGGCAGCAAGGCCCCAAGATGTTAAAGCATCAAATGCAGAAGATGAAAGACATGGTTAATACGGAGAGATGGATGAGATAGTCCCCAAGTGCAGTAGAAAATGGAAAAGCCCTGGCCCTTCTCTTTACCTCCATTGCCTTGTCCTCTTCAGGATCACTCCCAGAACCTTTGCTCTCAGTCAATGTAGACCCTGGGATGACTCCAGGTCTCAGGACACTTCGATGTCTCACTCCATACAATGGAACCGAATGTATTGTAATTGCTCTGTTGAAAATGGGGATCCCAGAACCATTACAAGTCAGGCAAGTAAGAAAAAACCAGACTGATTTCATGCTCTGGAACGTGACAAGTAATGACAGTGGAAACTACAGCTGTGTGTATTACCTGAGCAACTCATCACACTTGGCCTCCTTCCCCAGCAACAAGCTGGAGATCTGGGTGACAGGTGAGGATAGAGTGATAACACTGGCATTTGACATGTATCCAGCATTTTCTATGTTCCTGTCTCCACGACAGGTAACTTGCCTCCACTAACTCATTCAGTCTTCACTTCCTATGAGGGTGGTTGTGTTACTAACTTCTTTTTGCTCATAGAGATTAGGTGACCTCCCCGGTGTCACAAAAACAATGAGCTTCACAGTTGCTATTCAGACATAAATGAAAATTTATATTTCATTATGCCAGAGAAGGAAAGCCAGAAAGAGTGTCCAGTGCTCTATGAGGGATGTAGGAATGGCAAATAATGGATTGTGGGGCTAAGAGATCCCATTGTGTGGAAAAGTATGGGAGGCACGGTGCAGGTAACTGAAAAAAAAATGATGAGGACCACAGTGAGAAGATGCACGTGGGAGGATTGTAACATACATGACTTGAGATCCCAAGGAAGAGGGATAAAGAATAATTTTGCATCACTTTCATCTACCCATTTATCTACTCACCCATCCATCTATCAATCTACCCACCCATCTATCAACCCACCCACCCATCTACCCACCTACCAACCCATCCACCCTCCTACCCACTCATTCACCCATCCATCCACTCACTTATCCATCTATCCATCAACTCATCCATCCATCCATCCATCCATCCATCCATCCATTCATCTATCCATTAATCCATCCAACCACCAACCCTTCCATTCATCTGTCCACCCACCCCTTCATCCATCTATCTACCTACCTACCCATCTATTTACCCAGCCACTCATTTGTCCATCCTTCCACCCATTCATCCACTCATCCACCCTTTCACCCATTCACTCACCCCCACCCACCTATCCATCTATCCATCCATCCATCCATCCATCCATCCATTCATCCATTCATTTATTAGTCACTAAACAATACCTCTCAACTGACCACAGTTGCTTCCAGTAGGTCAGTCCTGCCATATCATGGGAAATCCCTGGAGAGACTTTACAGTCATCAGTGTAGTGTAGAAGTAGCCGTGGGTCCACACCAATGACTTAGCCTGGGCTTGGGGCATGATGAGTAACTGAATACTTAATGTTTCACCTCTGATTTACCCTCTTTCTGAGGCTCTTGATCAATGATACTCCAACAAGGTGCTCATCACTTTGATATTGATTTCAAATTGTATTCCCCATAACTCGTTCTTGTAGTCTTAAGAATTTCTGCACCCACACTTTAGCCCTAAAAGCCTCGCGATTATTTGCCATTTCCCAATTATGTTCTCTGGCATATCATCTACTGTTTCCTGATTTCTTCACCTCTATCGCAGCTGTACCATTACATCACAAGACAGGCTATAGTATCAATTTCCAGTGGTTGATTTTCCAGGTCAGCCTTCCATATACAATCTGTTTGCTGCTTTGCAAATCACTTTATTATACTACTTTTTACTTTTTTATTATACTACTTTTTACTTATTACAAAATGGGCATATAAATGCTTCCATTACAAAAAAAAATTAATGCAAAATACCTGGCACAAAAATAGCTGCCCATTCACCCTACAAATTCAGATACTTTGGTAGATCCTGAGCATATTGTAGGAACTGAGACAGACCAGGTCTCTGGCCAACAGGAGCTCACATTCTTCTTTGGAAGAAAGAAAGAAATAAGAGCAAGCTATCAGAGTAATTAAAAAACACATTATAGATGGAGAATAACTGTGAGAGGCATTGTATTAGTGATCTACAGCTGCATAACAAATTACCACTAATTTAGCAGCCTGAAACACCTATTTATTATCTCACAGTTGATGTGGGTCAGGAGTCCAGGCACAGCTTAGCTGAGTCCTCTGCTTTGGGTCTCATAAGGATGCAATCAAGGTGTCAACAAGGGCTGTGTTCTCATCTGGCTCATCTGGAGGCTTGACTGGGGAAGGGTCCATTTCTCCACTCCTGTGGTTGATAGCAATATCTGGTTCTTTATAGCTGTAGGATTCATGCTAGAATGATTCTGCAGCACTTGCAAGAAGAGAGATTGAGAGAGAGAGAAGAAAGAGAGAGCAAATGCCCTAGCAAACAGAGTTTTATGTAATGTAACATAATCAAGAGCATAACATCCCATCACCTTTGCCATAGCTATTGGTGAGAAGAAAGTCACAGATCTCCACACTCAAGGTGAGGGGATTAGACAAAGGCATGAACACCAGGAAGCAGGGCTCCTGAGTCTCCTGAGTGCCCCCTTAGGGTCTATCTGCCACAAGCATGAAGGATGAGAATGACCCAACCACACCGATATCTGGAGAACAGCCCTCCAGGGAGAGAGAGCAGCAAAAGCAAAGTCTCAGAAGTGTGAGTGTTCCTGGAATGATTGAGACACAGAAAGGAGGACATAAGGCAGGGCCTAGAGCATCTAGGATCTTGTGGGTGTTTGAACTGGTCCTAGAGTCTGCTTTGAAAGAACAGGAACCCACTGATGAAGTTGAGCTGGAGGATGGCATGATTTTATTTATATGCTGGAAGGGTCACTGGCTGCTTTTTTTTTTTTTTTTTTTTTTGAGACAGGGTCCCACTCGGTTGCCCAGGCTGGAGTGCAGTGGTGCAATCACAGCTCACTGCAGCCTTGACCTCCCAGGCCCAGGTAATCCTCCCACCTCAGCCTCCCAAGCATCTGAGATTACAGGCACAGGCCATCATGCCCGGCCTCTGGCTGCTTTTGGAAAATAAGGGACTAGATGTAGTAAGAGTTGGTGCGTTTCAGGCAATACGACTTTTTAAATTTAAAAATATCAAATTGACAAATGAAGATTGTATATATTCAAGGTATACAATCTGATGATTTGATCCACCTGTACATTGTGTAATGATTATCACAGTCAAATTAATTAGCACATCCATTGCCACCATGCTGAGCACCTGAACTTCTTCATCTTAGAACTGGAAACTTATACCCTTTCATCAACATCTCCGCATATATCATGCTAAACAAAATAAGCCAGACTCAGAAAGACAAATTCTGCAGGATCTCACTCATATGTGTAGTCTAAAAAAGCCAAACTCACAGAAGCAACTGGTGGTTGCCAGGGACTGGTGAGTAGGTGATATTTCATTTCATTTTTATTTTTATTTTTATTTTTTTTTTGAGACGGAGTCTGGCTCTGTCCCTCAGGCTGGAGTGCAGTGGCGCGATCTCGGCTCACTGCAAGCTCCGCCTCCCGGGTTCACGCCATTCTCCTGCCTCAGCCTCCCGAGTAGCTGGGACTACAGGGGCCCGCCACCACGCTCGGCTAACTTTTTGTATTTTTAGTAGAGACGGGGTTTCACCATGTTAGCCAGGATGGTCTCGATCTCCTGACCTTGTGATCTGCCCGCCTCGGCCTCCCAAAGTGCTGGGATTACAGGCGTGAGCCACTGCGCCCGGCCAAGTAGGTGATATTTTAACTTAGACTAAATGGTGCCACTGTGGAGATAGAAATATAGGCCAGGTGCAGTGGCTCATGCCTGGAATCCCAGTATTCTGAGTGGCCAAGGCAGGTTGATCACTTGAGGCCAGGAGTTTGAGACCAGCCTGGCCAACATGGTGAAACCCTGTCTCTACTAAAAATACAAAAATTAGCAGGGTGTGGTGGCGGGCGCCTGTAGTCCCAGCTACTTGGAAGGCTGAGGCAGGAGAATCTCTTGAACCCGGGAGGCGGAGGTTGCAGTGAGCTGAGATCATGCCACTGCACTCCAGCTTGGGTAACAGTGCAAGACTCAAAAAAAATAAAAGAAAGAAAGAATTTGGGTGAATGGTGTTCTTTGTCAAGATAGAGAAGACTGGCAAGGAATCAAACTGGAGGGGGCGTTAGCAGGGTCATTCATAAATATTTTTGTTATTAAAAATACTATCAAACTCCAGGACTATTAAGAAGAGTAATCTGAGGCTCTGTCCATGCTCTGAGGACCCAGGGAGCATCTAGGGAATGGAGAAGCCATTCTCTTTTCTGCTTCCCAAAGAAGAACAGGATGTCTATAAGTAGGACGTGAGGACTCCTGTCCCCAAGGTTCCTGTATGATTAGTGTAATTCCTTTTCTTCCCTCCTATTTTCTAGATAAACACGATGAACTTGAAGCTCCCTCAATGAAAACAGGTAAGATAATTAGAAAGGAGATGTTTTTCCCAATGAGATCTGCTTCATGATCACCTTTGCTTAAAGTGCACAAGGAGAACTTTATTTATTTGTTTGTTTGTTTGTTTGTTTGTTTTTTGAGATAGAGTCTCGCTTTGTCACCAAGGCTGGAGTACAGTGGCGCAATCTCAGCTCACTGCAACCTTCGCCTCCCGGATTCAAGCAATTTTCCTGCCTCAGCCTCCCGAATAGCTGGGACTACAGGCACGCACCACCACACCCAGCTAATTTTTGTATTTTTAGTAGAGACGGGGTTTCACCATGTTGGCCAGGCTGGTCTCGAACTCCTGACCTTGTGATCTGCCCGCCTCAGCCTCCCAAAGTGCTGGGATTACAGGCGTGAGCCACCGCACACGGCCTATTTATTTTTTTGAGAAAGAGTCTTGTTCTGTCCCCCAGGGTGGCGTGAAGTGGCACAATCTCAGCTCACTGCAACCTCCACTTCCTGGGTTCTGGGTTCAAGCAATTCTCCTGCCTCGGCCTCCCGAATAGCTGGGATTACAGGCACCCACCACCATATCCAGCTCAGTTTTGTTTTTTGTTTTTTGTTTTTAGTAGAGATGGGGTTTCACCATGTTGGCCAGGCTGGTATCAAACTCCTGACCTCAAGCAATTCCCCCGCCTCGGCCTCTCAAAGTGTTGGGATTACAGGCATGAGCCACCGCACCCGGCCTAGAAGAACTTTAAAGCCCATTTTCTCAATGTTATTGGGGAAACTGCTGTGTTTTGGGGGGTGGAGGATGAGGGGAGATAACCTCTAAAGTGCTTCCGGGTTCTGAAGAAGCTGGTGTGTAAAACAGCACAGAGTGCGTTGTTTGCCATATGACATGATGAAAAACTAGGGTGGGATTTGGGGAATAATGGGGGTGAATTTTTCAGTGACCCATTTGGGGAGTAGGACCAGGACCTACGCAGAGTAGGTACTTCAGGAATATATATAATCAAGAGTTTGTTATAACTCTAAAATTCTCAAAAATAGGTGAATATTGAATTTTTTTTCTAATGTTGCTTATTCATTAACAATTGACTAAGATTCTGTCCTCAGAGTTTCTCATAAAAATTAGAGCTTTTGGGCCAGGCGAGGTGGCTCACATCTGTAATCCCAGCACTTTGGGAGGCCGAGGTGGGCGGATCACCTGAGGTCAGGAGTTCGAAACCAGCCTGGGCAACATGGTGAAACCCTGTCTCTACTAAAAATACAAAAATTTGCTGGGCATTGTGGTGGGCGCCTGTATTCCCAGCTACTCAAGTGACTGAGGCAGGAGAATTGCTTGAACCTGGGAGGCAGAGGTTGCAGTGAGCCGAGATTACACCACTGCCCTCCAGCCTGGGCAACAGAGTGAGACTCTGTCTCCAAAAAAAAAAAAAAAAAAAAAAAATTAAAAAGTTAGAGCTTTTGGCAGCATTCGGCTGAAACAGGAACTCATCCAGACTTTAAGGGCCAAATGCAGAATATAAATTGGCATCTAGATGCTTAATCATCCTTCCTTTCAGCAAGTCATAATCTTCCTGCAACCTACTCCAAAGAGCCAAAGTTGCTGAAGGTTGTTGCTAGCAGTCTGTGCTGGTATAATCGGTTTTCAAAAAGGTATCCTCCAAAGTGTTCTTGCAAGATAACTATTTGAAACGTTTTTATTCCATGATAGTAGGCTTGGGAAATGTCTGCTACCCTAGCACTACGAACACAATTCACGTCAGGAACGTTTTCTGAGAAAGATATGAAATCTAATGGGAGAGAGGAACACAGAAGTATCAGAAACGAGGTGGGAGATCTAGTGAGGTGTGAGGGGGAGGAGGAAGAGAAGCTTTTCTATTTTGAGCTCTTGTATCATTTATTTTCTTTCTTTTTTTATTGATATATAATTCACAGTCCAAAAATTCACCCTTGTAAAGTGTCCAATTCACTGGCATTTTGTATCTTCATGAGGTAGTATAACCATCACCACTACATAATTCCAGAACATTCTCATCACCCTAAAAGAAAATCTTGTACCCATTAAGCAGTCACTCCTCATTTCCCACTTTCCCACCAGGCCCTTCCAACCATTCATATGCTTCTCTGTGTCTATGATTTTGTCTATTCTGGACATTTTGTGTAAGTGGATTCATACACTATGTGATCCTTTGTGACTAGCTCCTTTCTCTTTAGCATAATGTTTTCAAAGTTTGTCTGTACTGTAGCATGCATCAATGTTTCATTTCTTGTCATGGTGAAAAGCATCGTATTGTATGGATAGACCACATTTTGCTTATCCATTCTTTTTTTTGTTTTTGTTTTTGTTTTTTTGAGACGGAGTCTTGCTCTGTCGCCCAGGCTGGAGTGCAGTGGCACAATCTCAGCTCACTGCAACCTCCGCCTCCCAGGTTTAAGTGATTCTTTTGCCTTAACCTCCTGAGTAGCTGGACCTACAGGCGCCCGTCACCATGCCTAGCTAATTTGTGTATTTTTAGTAGAGAGGGGGTTTCACCATGTTGGCTAGGCTGGTCTCGAACTCCTGACCTCAGGTGATCCACACGCCTCAGCTTCCCAAAGTGCTGGGATTACAGACTTGAGCTACTGTGCCTGGCCCCGTTCTTCTTTTGATGGACATTTGTGTTGTCTGCACCTCTTGGCTAAAGCGAGTAATGGTGCTGGAACACTGTGGTAGGAGTATCTGTTTGTCTCCGCGCTGTAAATTATCTTGAGTATGTACCTAGAAGTGGATTTGCTAGGACATATGGTGACTATTATGTTCAACTTTTTGAGGAACTGCCAAATCATTTTCCATTGTGGCTGTATCATGTTATATTCCTTCCAGTAATATATGTGGGTTCCAATATCTCCACATCCTTGTCAACACTTACTTTTCTTTTTTTAAATTATAGCCATCCCAGTGGGTATTATATAATTTCTTAAAATGTACTTTTTGAGTTCAAATTTGTATCATCACAATTCTAAACAGAATAAAATATCTTTGCCGGGCGCAGTGGCTCACGTCTGTAATACCAGGACTTTGGGAAGATGAGGCAGGAGGATCACTTGAGCCCAGGGGTTCAAGACCAGCCTGGACAACTTGGTAAGATCCCATCTCTACAAAAAATACAAAAATTAGCCAGGCGTGGTGGTGTGCACCTGTAGTCCCAGCTACTTGGGAGGCTCAGGCAGAAAGATCGTTTGCGCCCAGGAGGTTGAGGCTTCAGTGAACTGTGATTGCGCCACAGCACTCCAGCCTGGGTGACAGAGCGAGACCCTGTTTCAGTAAATAAATAAAATAAAAGTAAAATATCTGTAAGCACAGGTATGATGTCCCCAGCCTGTATTTATATGCCTAAAACACACTAGAAAACGACTCTATGTTCAATCGCAATGTAGAGAATGAAGATGAATTTTATCACACAAGACTTGACTTTCTTTCTGGTGCCTGTGCCTCCATTTATGCCCCGTGTCAGGCTGTATCTTGTTGCTCACGCTGACTTTAGTAGCGTAGCAAGTTATGATTTATTCTGGCAATTTGCAAATACTGATGCAACATTTGGCCAGGATCTGTGGACATCTCAGGGTGAACCCAGTTCAGCTGATTATGGGGTCATATGAAGATGAGAATTTTGCAATAATGTACTTCTCATTTCTAGTGAATTGCTGTGTGAAAGATACCGTAGGCTGGAAAAGGGGAGAACAGAAAGGACAAGGCAAGGCTGCTGTTTCTCTGCTTCCATCTGGGGAAACTGAGAGTCCAGGAGCAGCTGTTCCTGCCCTGTTTTCATAAGTCCTTGGAGATGCACTGATAGAATTGTTGCTTATGGCCAGGCATGGTGGCTTATGTAATCCCAGCACTTTGGGAGGCCAAAGTGGGCAGAACACTTGAGCTCTGGAGTTTGAGACCAGCCTAACCAACATGGTGAAACCTCATCTCTACTAGAAATATAAAAAATTAGCGGGGTGAGGTGGCGGGTGCTTGTAATCCCAGCTCCTTGGGAGGCTGAGGCAGGAGAATTGCTTGAACCCCAGAGGGGGAGGTTCCAAAGCCGAGATTGTACCACTGCACTCCAGCCTGGGAGACAGAGTGAGACTGTCTCAAAAAAAAAAAAATTGTTGCTTTTGAGGGGTTCTCTGATTCAGCTCCACCAGAAGCAGGCTCTTAGACAGCATTAGTGTGAAAGTGACGTTTTATTTTATTTATTATTTATTTAGTTTTGAGACAGAGTTTCGCTCTTGTTGCCCAGGCTGGAGTGCAATGGCGTGATCTTGGCTCACTGCAACCTCCGCCTACCAGGTTCAAGAGATTCTCCTGCCTCAGCCTCCCAAATAGCTGGGATTACAGGCATGCACCACCACACCCAGCTAATATTCTATTTTTAGTAGAGACGGGGTTTCTCCATGTTGGTCAGGCTGGTCTCGAACTCCTGACCTCAGGTGCTCTGCCTGCCTCGACCTCCCAAAGTGCTGGGATTACAGGTGTGAGCCACCACGCCTGGCTTGAAAATTACATTTTAGGGAGTGGGGAAGA
This sequence comes from Homo sapiens, assembly GCF_000001405.40. Taxonomy (NCBI): domain Eukaryota; kingdom Metazoa; phylum Chordata; class Mammalia; order Primates; family Hominidae; genus Homo; species Homo sapiens. The sequence continues at coordinate 21,250 of NT_187693.1, read as the reverse complement.
AGGGCTGGGAGGAAAATAGATTAAACAAGTGTGGGATATCTGTGTCCCTCAGATGGTATCTTTGGCTCCATCCTGCAGAAAGCAGTGGAGACAGAGAAGGTCGAAGACCAGAGGCTAGGGAGCTGGGGTCCCCACAGCCGTCAGTGGCAGTTTGTCCCGGGCATGTAAATTCCAAGGCATTTGGAGTTCTCCCAGGCAGTCCCCCAAAGAAGAGATACAAATGTTCACTTTGGAAAGGGAAAGAAGCCACGATCTAGAATGCATAAAAATGGGAAAGGGATCTGGGGAACATGGGTTGAGGAACATTGACAGAATCTATTACAGAGAGAGATGGGTGTAGGTGGAATATTGGGTGAAAAAAAATCATCATTATACCTACAATCCCATTATCCGACACAATGAGTCAGTTTCTAGACTGAGCGCTTTAAAGCCAGGATTTTTCATCATTACCTAACTCTTCAAGTTAGATATTATTAGCTCTCTGCCCCCTCCTTATATTTAACCAAAAAATAACGTATTCCAGAAAGGGAAGGGAACATTTACAAAGTCAGGAGGTAGGAGACCCAGTACTAGAACTCAAATATGTCTTGTTTCAAACTCCCCACTCCTTTTGCTGCTCCCTGATGATCAGCTCAGAAAGAACCTTATTTCAGGGAGGGGGATAGATAGATAATTAGATGTGATAGATAATAGGCAAGTAGGCAGATAAATAGATAACTAGATATGATAGATTAGATAGATACATAGATGATAGGTAGATAAGTAGCTAGATACGATGGACAGATTAGATAGATAGACAGATGATAGGTAAGTAGGTAGATAGATAACTAGATACAACAGGTTAGATAAGTAAGTAGATAGATAACTAGATATGATAGATTAGATAGATAAATAGACGATAGGTAAGTAGGTAGATAGATACAGATAGATTAGCTAGCTAGCTAGATGATAGATAACTAGATATAATAGATAAGATAGATGATTAGATAGACAGATAATTAGATATGATTGATAGATACATTAGATAGATGATAGATTAGATAGATAGATGATAGGTAACTAGGTAGCTAGATAAAGCTAGCTAGATAGATAGATAGATATACAGATACACAGATAGATACATAGATACCTAGATAGGTGATAGAGTTGCAAGATAGAAAAATTAGATAAGTAGGTGGATAGATAGATAGATAACTAGATAGAATAGATTAAATAGATAATAGTAGGTGAATAGACAGATACATACAGATGATAGATGATAGATGATAGATAACTGGTTATGATTGATAGATACATTAGATAGATGATAGATTTGGTAACTAGATGATAGGTAAGTCGGTAGATAGATAAGTGATAATTAGATATGATAGGATGGATAGATTAGACAGACAGCAGGTAAGCAGGTGGATAGACAGATAAAGATAGATACATAGATGCCTAGATAAGTGATAGATTAACAAGATAGAAAAATTAGACAGACAGATAGTTAATTACATATGATAGGATAGATAGATTGGATAGGTGATAGGCAAGTAGGTAGATAGATAAATCATAATTAGATAGGACGGATAGATTGGATAGATGATAGGTAAGTAGGTACAGAGACAGATAAAGATAGATAGGTAGATAGATAATAGATACCTAGACAGATGGTAGATAGATTAGCGAGATAGATAAATTAGATAGGTAATTCTCTATATATAGATATGTAGAAATGCCAATGCAAACATAGCGAACCAAGTAGGGGAAGCGTCTGGATGGGAGACCCTCTGTTGGTGCAGAGGACCAGGCGTGTGAAGCATCTCAGACTTGGCTCTGTAATGTGACCACAGATCATTGCACACCTAGGAAAAATTCTCAGACTCAAAGCACACTAACAAAGATAGCGGGGGTCTTGGTGAAGCCCCTTTCTGGGGCCTCACTTCTATAGTTGCTCAACTTTTTTCCTTAATCACGTTTCTGCTACTTACTCCTTAAAGTCTCACGACTTGTGTTTCTTGAATCTAAAGTGCCAAGAAAAACAAAAAACGGGGGGGAACTGCATGGACTCTGTCGCCTAGCTTTAGTAACAGGTTGCTCTCTCTTCCTCAACGCTGTGAGCTTTGGACACAACCCTTGCTGTAATCCCAGGAGTCACACGGGAATGCATGCCCTTCACCAGTGGGAGGGAAATAATTGTACTACCTTGCAGGGTTGTTGTTAAGACTTTAAAACGCTATGATGTAGACTTGCATGGCAATATTGCTCAAGAACTAGTTTTTTTTGTTTTGTTTTGTTTTTGTTTTTTAATTGGTAGAAATTTTATCTCCTGAGAGGGATGCTTTTTTGAGTTGGAGTCTTGGTCAGTTGAGTGTATGATGCAGTGATGCGATCTCGGCTCACTGCAACCTCCGCCTCCCAGGTTCAAGCAATTCTCTTCTCTCAGCCTCCTGAGTAGCTGGGACTACAGGCGTGCGCCACCATGCCCAGCTTATTTTTTATATTTTCAGTAGAGACAGGGTTTCACCATGTTGGCCAGGCTGGTCTCGAACTCCAGACCTCAAGTGATCCACCTACTTCACTCTCCCAAAGTGCCAGGATTACAGGCGTGAGCCACCGTGCCCGGCCACTGGTCATTCTTTTCTACCCTGCTCTAACCCTGTTCTTATTAGGAATCCTCCCTGAATTCTCCCAGCTGATCCCTTGTTCTGTGTCTTGGGGAATCATGTCTCCTTCAGAGAGCCCCACCCCTCCCCACTCTAAACGCCTTCCATGCCCGTGTCACTGCTGTTCATTACCTGGCATCAACGAGCTCATTGAAGTGTGTTTGAAGTTGGCTGGGCGTGGTGGTCTGTACTCCCAGCTACCCTGGAGGCCGAGTGAGGAGGACCACTTGAGCCCAGGAATTCGAGTATGATCACACCACTGCACTCTAGCCTGGGCAACAATGGGAACCCATTGGCACATCTGGGATTGGCATCCTGAGCTCCCATCTGTGACCTCCCTCCTCTCCCCTCCTCTCCCCTCCATTGCCCTCACCCTCTCCCCATAATCTTCACATCCCGTCCTTTCACATCTCTCTCTCTCCTTTAAAAAAAGAAAAAGGAAATATGTTTGAAGTTAAGAGCTGAGATCATGTCTGTGTTAGCCAGGGTTTTCCAGAAAAACAGAACCAATAGAACATATAGATATAAGCTGGGTGTGGTGGCTCACGCCTGTAATCCCAGCACTTTGGGAGGCCGAGGCAGGCAGATTGCCTGAGGTCAGTAGTTCAAGACCAGCGTGGCCAACATGGCGAAACCCCGTCTCTACTAAAAATACAAAAATTAGCCGGGCGTGATGGTGGGCACCTGTAATCCCAGCTACTCAGGAGGCTAAGGCAGGAGAATTGCTTGAACCCGGGAGGCGGAGCTTGCAGTGAGCCAAGATTGCACTATTGCACTCCAGCCTGGACGATAAGAGTGAGACTTTGTCTCAAAAAAAAAAAAGAGAACATATACATGTATATACATATATGGAGAGAGAGATTGATTTTAATGGATTGGTTCACGTGATTGTGGGGAGCTGGCAAGTCTGAAATCTGCAGGGCAGGCAGGCAGGGGATCCAGGGGAGACTTGATATTGCAGCTTGAGTCTGGAGGCAGAATTCCTTCCACCTTGGGGGACCTCAGTCTTTTCTCTTAAAGTCTTAAAGTCTTCAACTGATTGGATGAGGCCCACCCCTATGACAGTGGGTCATCTGCTTTACTCAAAGTCTATTGGTCGAAATGTCCAGCTCCAAGGAAGTTCCAGCTCCAAGGTGGGAGATCCAGGCTTGGAAGCCAGGCCATCTGTCTGGCTTCTCTTAGCTTTTCTACTCACCCCATCAGTGGATTTCAGACAGTGATTACACAGACAGATGTGGTGGCTCACGCCTGTAATCCCAACTACTCAGGAGGCTGAGTCAGGAGAATTGTTTGAACCAGGGAGGTGGAGGTTGCAGTGAGCCAGGATCACACTCCAGCCTGGGTGACAGAACACGACTCCATCTCAAAAAAAAAAAAGTGTGTATATATATATATATATGTATATATATATATATATATATATATATATATACACATTTATATATACACACACATATATATACATTTATATATATATATACACACACACACACGTATATATATATATGGAGCACCTGGAACAGAGCTGGCTCACAATAAATGATCAATATCATTGCTATGCACCAAACATTCCCTGGGAATTTTTGGAATTTCCTATGCGCCAAGCACTGTTCCAGCCCTTTCTATAGGTACTGACCCACCATCCAATAAAGTAGCTACTGCTGCTATCCTCACTTTACAGATGGGGAAACAGAAGCTTGGAGAAGATTAAGGAAATTCCCCAAAGCAATAGGAAGTTCCAGCTCCGAGGTGGGAGATCCAGGCTTGGAAGCCAGGCCATCTGTCTGGCTTCTCTTAGCTTTTCGGCTCGCCCCTATCAGTGGATTTCAGGAGCCAGGCTGATTCCCTGACCTGCTCTTCCCCCTCCAGACACCAGAACCATCTTTGTCGCCATCTTCAGCTGCATCTCCATCCTTCTCCTCTTCCTCTCAGTCTTCATCATCTACAGATGCAGCCAGCACAGTGAGCTCAGAGAACGCAAAGGGAGAGAGGGGGAGTGAAGGATTTTCTCGGTAGGTAAATTCCTCCTGCATTTTTTGTAGGTTCATCATCTGAGGAATCCACCAAGAGGTAGATGCTTGGCATAGCTCATGCTCCACTTATTCCCATGTCATTCTCAAGGGAACCCATTGGCACATCCGGGATTGGCACCCTGAGCCCCCACCCCAGCCCATTCTGTGACCTTCCTCCTCTCCCTTCTTCTCCCTTCCTCTCCCCTCCATTGCCCTCACCCTCTCCCCGAAATCTTCACATCCCATCCTTTCACGTGTGTCTCTCTCTTTCAGAACCAGCCATTCCAAACTTCCGGAGCAGGAGGCTGCCGGTAAGGGACAGGGGAAGTTTAAGGGAATCACCGGATAGAAAGACTAAGTTCTGACTTCTGCAGCTGAGAACTGATTTTTTTTTTTCCTTTCTCACTCAGAGGCAGATTTATCCAATATGGAAAGGGTATCTCTCTCGGTGAGTCCTCCCGCTTAGGAGTCCCACAAGAGCTCCCTCACCACAATGGGCTGGTCGTGTGTGCCTCCTGGTTAAGCCCATACAGAAATGTATACTGTTTATCACGCATGTGGTCTTAGACAAGTCACGAAACTCCCCTAATGGGAACCAAAATCTCCATTTAAAAGGCTTATGCATGGGCCGGGCGCGGTGGCTCACGCCTGTAATCCCAGCACTTTGGGAGGCCGAGGCGGGCGGATCATGAGGTCAGGAGATCGAGACCATCCTGGTTAACATGGTGAAACCCCATCTCTACTAAAGATACAAAAAATTAGCTGGGCGTGGTAGTGGGCGCCTGTAATCCCAGCTACTCAGGAGGCTGAGCCAGGAGAATGGCTTGAACCCGGGAGGCGGAGGTTGCAGTGAGCCGAGATCACGCCACCGCACTCCAGCCTGGGCGACAGAGCCAGACTCTGTCCCAAAATAAATAAATAAATAAAAATTTAAAAAAAATGAAAAAAGGCTTACGCAGATCCATTGATGTCACAGGCATAAAGGGTTATAAAAACAGAAAAGAAAAAGAAATGCATCTGGTGTGACCGAGGACCTGGGTTTTAAATTAAATTTAATTGTAATTAACTTAAATGTCAATAGCCATGTGTGGCTAGTGGCTGCCATATTGAACACTCAGTTCTAATATTCATCTATTTTCTCCAAAGACGGCAGACCCCCAAGGAGTGACCTATGCTGAGCTAAGCACCAGCGCCCTGTCTGAGGCAGCTTCAGACACCACCCAGGAGCCCCCAGGATCTCATGAATATGCGGCACTGAAAGTGTAGCAAGAAGACAGCCCTGGCCACTAAAGGAGGGGGGATCGTGCTGGCCAAGGTTATCGGAAATCTGGAGATGCAGATACTGTGTTTCCTTGCTCTTCGTCCATATCAATAAAATTAAGTTTCTCGTCTTAAAAAGAAATCTGACTTATTTATGGATTATTCATGCCCAAGAACCCCACCATACTCTTTCTACCCCACATTTCCTCCTAGAACAATTCAAGGAAATAATAAATAATGATTGACCAGCTATCCAGGAAAGAATGTAAGAATTACTGAGCATCTCCAGGAAGCACAACAAGCAAAAAAGAAAACGGCCGGGCTCACGCCTGTCATCCCAGCACTTTGGGAGGCCGAGGTGGGTGGATCATCTGAGGTCAGAGTTCAAGACCAGCCTGACCAACATGGTGAAATCCCATCTCTACTAAAAATAAAAAATTAGTTGGACGTGGTGGCAGGCGCCTGTAATCCCCGCTACTTGGGAGACTGAGGCAGAAGAATCGCTTGAACCCAGGAGGCAGAGATTGCAGTGAGCTGAGATGGCGCCATTGAATTCCAGCCTGGGCAATGGAGTGAGACTCCATCTCAAAAAAAAAAAAAAAAAAAAACAAAAAACGCCCAGAGCTGCAAACTCCTAGACCAGAGGGCAGAAAACAAAAGGACCAGAGAGTAACACGTCCAGCTTTGTGGGCTGTAGGATCTCTGCTGAGACTACCCCACTCTGCTGTTGTACCATGAAAGCAGCCATCGCTGATATGTAAACAAGTAGGTGTGGCGGTGTTAGAATAAAACTTTATTTACAACTTCATGTTCTCACTCATGTAGGAGCTAAAAAAGTAGATCTCATGAAGGTAAAGAGAGAGTCAGTTATCAAAGGCTAGAAGGGGTGGGATAGTTAATGGGCACAAACACAGTTGGATAGAAGGAATAAGTTCAAGTGTTCAATAGCACAGAAGGGTGACTATAGTTAACAGCAATATATTGTATATTTCAAAATAGCTAGAAGAGAAGATTTGAAACATTCCCAACACAAACGATAAATGAGCCAGGTGCAGTGGCTCACTCCTGTAATCCCAACACTTTGAGAGGCCAAGATGGGTGGATCACCTGAGGTCAGGAGTTCAAGACCAGCCTGGCCAACAAGGTGAAACCCCATCTCCACTAAAAATACAAAAATTAGCTGGGTGTGGTGGCGCACACCTGTAATCCCAGCCACTTGGGAGGCTGAGGCAGAAGAATTGCTTGAACTCGGGAGGCAGAGGTTGCAGTGAGCCAAGATCACACCACTGTACTCCAGCCTGGGCGACAGAGAGAGACTCTGTCTCGAAAAGATAAAAAAAAAGATAAATGTTTGAGGTGGTGAATATCCTAAATACCCTAATTTGAGTATTATACATTCTGTGCATGTATCAAACTATCACATGTATGTCATAAATATGCATAAATATTATGTATCTATAGAAAGTTTTTTTTTTTTTGATGGAGTCTTGCTCTGTCGCCCAGGCGCCAGAGTGCAGTGGCGTGATCTCAGCTCGCTGCAACCTCTCCCCGCAGGTTCAAATGATTCTCCTGTCTCAGCCTCCTGAGTAGCTGGGATTACAAGCTTCTGCCATCACACCAGGCTAATTTTTTTGTATTTTTAGTAGAGATGGGGTTTCACCATGTTGGCCAGGCTGGTCTTGAGCTCCTGACCTCAAGTCATCCGCCTGCCTCGGCTTCCCATAGTGCTGGGATTACAGGCGTGAGCCACCGTGCCCAGCCCAGAAAGTTGTTTTAAAAACAAAAAATTTTATTTGCAAAAACAAGCTGTGGGCTCTAGCGTGCCAACCCTTGTGCTAGGCCAGTGCTTTTTAAAGTCTGCTTGGGCCATCACCCCAACCACTTCTGGCCCTGATGAGGGTCCAGGGCATGAGAGGGAAGGAGAGAGTGTCTTAGTCCATCCAGGCTGCTATCAACATACCAAAGACCTGGCAGCTTACAGACAACACATAGTTATTTCTCATGGTTCTGGAGGCTGGAAGTCCAAGACCAAAGCACTGGTAGATTCAGTGTCTGCTGAGGGCTTTTTTCCTGGTTCATAGCTGGCACCTTCTTGCTGTGTCCTTACATAGTGAAAGAGACTGGGCCGGGCGCAGTGGCTCACGCCTGTAATCTCAGGACTTTGGGAGACCGAGTGGGGGGCGGATCACCTGAGATCAGGAGTTCGAAACCAGCCTGACCAACACGGTGAAACCCCATCTCTACTAAAAATATAAAAATTAGCTGGGCGCAGTGGTGGGTGCCTGTCATCCCAGCTACTTGGGAGGCTGAGGCAGGAGAATTGCTTGCACCTGGGAGGCGGAGGTTGAAGTGAGCCGAAATCGTGCCACTGCACTCCAGCCTGAATGACAGAGCCAGACTCCATCTCAAAAAAAAAAAAAAAAAAAAGAGTGAAGGCTTAATAAGCAAAAGAAAGAGAAAAGAGAATAGTTCTCTCTTTTGCACAGAGAAGAGAGGGGTTCCCGAGTGGGACCCCTGGTTTTGTGGTGAAATGCATGGGGCTTTTATAGACAAGCTTGAGGAGGTGCTGTCTGATTTACATAGGGCCTGAGAGATTAGTCGGACCAGGTATGACGTTTGCATAGCCCCCAAAGAAGCTGGCCATCCCACCCTAATCTTTTATTACGTAGGTAGGGTCTCTGCCTGGCCGGGGCCATGTTGTCTGCTTTTTTACTGCACATGTGGGGACAAAGAAAAGGGAAGAGGGAACCTCCATGTTGAATATACCCGGCTCCCAGGCATCCGTTTTCTATTGGCACAGCTGATGCAAGATTTTAGCTTGTTTATCTATGCTTGCAGCTTGATGTTTCAGGCTGCTTTCTGTTAGAAAAGAAATTATTTGGGGGCTGCTCTTTATTAATAGGAAACCTTACTGAGGACTCTCTTACCCTCACTGTCTGCCTCAATAATTTCTTTTTAGCTCCCGTATTACAAATACCATCACCTTGGGGTTAGGTTCCAACAGCTGAATTTTGTCGGGACACAAACATTGAGTTTACAATACCCATGAAGCTGTCTCTGCTTGTATCTTGTCCTAACCAGAAGCTCCCAGGATTGCTGCATCTGAAGGAACAACCTTGATATATGGCTTGTGTCTGTGTCCCCACCCAAATCTCATCTTCAGTTGTAGCTCCCATAATTCCCATGTGTTGTGGGATGGACCCAGTGGGAGATAATTCAATCATGGGGGTGGATTCCTGCAGGGTCCTATGGGGCTTTGCAGGTGTTCTCCCCGTGTGCAGAGATAAGAGATTGTAAGAAATAAAGACACAAGACAAAGAGATAAAGAGAAAACAGCTGGGCCCGGAGGACCACAACCATCAAGACGCGGAGACCGGTAGTGGCCCATAACGGCTGGGCGCGCTGATACTTATTGCATACAAGATAAGGGGGCAGGGTAAGCAGGGTGAATCTTCGAAGTGATTGACAAGGTGAAGCAAGTCGTGTGATCACAGGAGAGGGGGCCCTTCCCTCTTAGGTAGCCGAAGCAGAGAGAGAGGGAGAAGGCAGCATACGTCAGCGTTTTCTTCCATGCACTTATAAGAAAGATCAAAGACTTTAAGACTTTCACTATTTCTTCTACCGCTATCTACTATGAACTTCAAAGAGGAGCCAGGAGTACGGGAGGAGCATGAAAGTGGACAAGGAGTGTGAGCACTGAAGCACAGCACCACAGGGAGGGGTTTAGGCCTCCGGATGACTGCGGGCAGGCCTGGATAATATCCAGCCTTCCACAAGAAGCTGGTGGAGCAGAGTGTTCCCTGACTCCTCCAAGGAAAGGAGACTCCCTTTCACCGTCTGCTAAGTAACGGGTGCCTTCCCAGACACTGGCGTTACCGCTTGACCAAGGACCCCTCAAGCGGCCCTGATGCACGCGTGACAGAGGGCTCACCTCTTGCCTTCTAGGTCACTTCTCACCATGTCCCTTCAGCACCTGACCCTATACCCGCCGGTTATTCCTAGGTTATATTAGTAATGCAGCAAAGAGTAATATTAAAAGCTAATGATTAATAATGTTTATAATAATGATTGATAATTGTCCATGATCATCTCTACATCTAATTTGTATTATGACTATTCTTATTCTATTTTCTTTATTATACTGCAACAGTTTGTGCCTTCAGTCTCTTGCCTCAGCACCTGGCTAATCCTCCACCCACACATTCCCCCATGCCGTTCTCATGGTAGTGAACAAGTCTCAGGAGAGCTGAGGTTTTTATAACGGGTTTCCCCTTTTGCTTGGCTCTCTCATTTCTCTGTCGTCTGCCACCATGTAAGATGTGCCTTTCACCTTCTGCCATGATTGTGAGGCCTCCCCAGCCATGTGGAACTGTAAGTCCGTTATACCTCTTTTTTAAAAAGTAAACTGACTGGGCGCAGTGGCTCACGCCTGTAATCCCAGCACTCTGGGAGGCCGAGGCGGGTGGATCATGAGGTCAGGAGATCGAGACCATCCTGGATAACACAGTGAAACCCCGTCTCTACTAAAAATACAAAAAATTAGCCGGGCGCGGTGGCGGGCGCCTGTAGTCCCAGCTACTCAGGAGGCTGAGGCAGGAGAATGGTGTGACCCCGGGAGGCGGAGCTTGCAGTGAGCGGAGATCGTGCCACTGCACTCCAGCCTGGGTGACAGAGTGCGTCTCAAAAAAATAAATAAATAAAAATAAAAATAAAAATAAATTACTCAGTCTCAGGTATGTCTTTATCAGCAGTGTGAAAACAGACTAACGCAAACTTCTTCGCTCCCCCTCCCCTCACTACACAGTCCCAGGTTGCAGTGTGGAGGCCACATAGGGAGTAGCAAGGTGGGGAGGAGTGTCTCTTTGTTTTCTTGCCACAGAGAGTCATTCTTTTTTAAGCTTGGGAGTTCTTGGTGGCCATCTGTCTCGCCATGTGGAGGAAGCCAGTCTTTATGGAGAAACACAAAGATGACTCAGGGAGCATCCGGGAAGCGGGAGTGAGTAACAGTGCTTTCAGCTTTTGTTTTCTTGGTTCTAATTGCTTCCAAAGCTCAGCATTCCTTCACTCCCTGCAGTTTTCTTGCCCAATCCTTCTTGAACCAAAAAAACCCAAAAAGTCCTCCTTTGATTCTAAGCTATTCTGAGAATGGATTTTGTTTTGATTGAAGGGTCCTGGCAAACATTATTAAAATGGGTGGCCCTAATGGATATCCTTTATGGACATCTATGCTGGTAGTCACACTCACTGAATTACCATAGTGAGGACTCAGCTCTGATTTTTTTTTTTTATCTTGCCCAGATTCTTATCTAAGGGGTCTGGGGTCTCATGCCCTACAAACCATAAATTCTCATCAGATGGGTTTTATTTAGCCCTATATATCGTGACTTACTTTCCAATCTGACTCTGGCATAACATTACCTAACAAAGAAGAAAATAAAAATATTTTACCCCAAAACATGTTTCTTTGCCATATTTTTAAATGGCCCTGCAAAGCTGTCCTTGGTGGGGGGGAATATTTGCATATGTAAAGGATCTCTGTTAACATTGCTAGATCTTTTTCCTCCAGGACCTCCCAATCCTGAGGAGGTTAACTGAGAATCTAGCAACTTTTGAAGGTCTGAGTAGGAAACATTTGTCATCTATTGTCTCTAAGGGCAGCCACTATAAGACTTCAAAAGAACCTTGGTCTCCACAATCTTTTATCTTAACCTGAATATTTCCTCTCTATTAATCCCAGGTCTTTAGACAAACTCAACCAATTGTCAACCAGAAAATGTTTTAATTTACCTAAAGCCTGGAAGGCCCTGCCTCCTTCAAATTGTCCAGCCTTTCTGGACCAAACCAATGTATTTCTCAAATGTGTTTGATTGATGCCTCACGCCTCCCTAAAATGTATAAAACCAAGCTGCCCCCCGACCACCTTGGGTACATGGTCTCAGGACCTCCTTAGGGCTGTGTCAGGGGCCATGGTCATTATCATATTTGGCTCAGAATAAATCTCTTCAAATATTTTATAGAGTTTGACTCTTTTTGTCAACAAGAGTAAGTCTTGATATGTGATACGATCTGAGGGAGGCTCGGATCCACAGCTGGGGTTTGGACAGCTGTAGCATCACCCTGGGAGCTCCCGCCCCAACTCGGAAGGGGCAGGGCTCCCTGCGGCTCCATAGCGTGTATAGCCCGGGCTGGGCCTCCCTGGGGCAGGTGGCGTCATGGCAGCAGCAAGCCGTCTGGAGTGGCTGCTGCCATCACCAAAGGCCCAACCTCTCAGATCACATTGGGTGTCAAGATTTAACATGAGGCCGGGCGCGGTGGCTCACGCCTGTAATCCCAGCACTTTGGGAGGCCGAGGTGGGTGGATCATGAGGTCAGGAGATCGAGACCATCCTGGCTAACATATCTCTACTATAAATACAAAAAATTAGCCAGGTGTGGTGGCGGGTGCCTGTAGTCTCAGCTACTCGGGAGGCTGAGGCAGGAAAATGGCATGAACCTGGGAGGCGGAGCTTGCAGTGAGCCGAGATCCATCATTGCACTCCAGCCTGGGTGACAGAGCAAGACTCTGTCTCAAAAAAAAAAAAAAAAAAAAAGATTTAATATGTGGCCAGGCGCGGTAGCTCACACCTGTAATCCCAACACTTTGGGAGGTCAAAGTGGGAGGATCATGGGGTCAAGAGATCGAGACCATCCTGGCCAATATGGTGAAACCCTGCCTCTACTAAAAATACAAAAATTAGCTGGGAATAGTGGCACACGCCTGTAGTCCCTGCTACTCAGGAGGCTGAGGCAGGAGAATTGCTTGAACCCAGGAGGCAGAGGTTGCAGTGAGCCGAGATCACACCATTGCACTCCAGCCTGGGCGACAGAGGGAAACTCTGTCTCAGAAAAAAAAATAGAAAAGATCTAACATATGAATCTGTGGAAAGCACCGCCATGCAGCACAGGCCCAGGATTTGAAGTAAACTGAAGAGGCTCAACACATGTGGAGGTGGCTTTGTAAATAACTTCAGGAAACTAACTGAGGGTCATGTACCAGCAGGAGCAACTTCATAAAGGGGCCATGGAGAACCTGAGTTCCTTGCTGTTAAAAAGGAATATATAAATCCTGTTAGTTCAGAGAAAGCACAGATCATCAGTCTGATGAGGATAGGGCTTAATTATGGGCTGAATTACATCTCCTCAAAATTCGTGTGCTGAATCCTAACTCCCAGTAACTCAGAATGTGACTGTATTTAGAGACAAGAGGCCGTTGTGAAAAAAGGAAATTTGGACATAAAAAAGACACTAGGGGCTACGTGTGGTGGCTCACGCCTGTAATTTCAGCACTTTGGGAAGCCCAGGTGGGCGGATCGCCTGAGGTCAGGAGTTCAAGACCAGCCTGGCCAACATGGCCAAACCCCATGTCTACTAAAAATACAAAAATTAGCTGGGCGCGGTGGTGCACGCCTGTAATCCCAGCTACTCGATAGGCTGAGGCAGGGGAATCGCTTGAATCCAGGAGGCAGAGGCTGCAGTGAGCTGAGATCGTGTCATTGCACTCCAGCTGGGCAACAGAGTAAGACTCCAACTCAAAAAAAAAAAAAAGAAAAGGACACCAGGATATGTACATCCAGAGGAAAGACCACGTGGAGACACAGCAAGAAGGCGGCCATCTGCATACAAAGCAGAGAGACCCCGGGAGAAACTGACCCTACTGGCACCTCCATCTTGGATTTCCAGCCTGCAGAACGGTGAGAAAATCCATTTCTGTCCCATAAGCCCCCCAGTGGGGGGCATTTTGTTATGGCTTCCCTAGCACACAACTGTAGGTGGTAAACATATTTTAAACATTATAGTGATCATTTGTAAAAAAAAAAAAAAAAAAAAATTCAAAGAAATATATTTTCTACAGCTTCTCTTTATGATACCCTATGTTCCAAAGGCTACCTATTGTATTTTCTAGAAGACTATAAGAATTTTTCACACATGCTGGGGCCTGTCAGAGGGTGGAGGGTGGTAGCAGAGAGAGGATCAGGAAAAATAACTAGTGGGTACTAGGCTTAATAACTGGGTGATAAAATAATCTGATAATCAGGAAGTAGTAAATACACTAGAAAAAAAATAATCTGTACAACAAACCCCCATGACACACGTTTACCCGTGTAACAAACCTGCACATCCTGCCCATGTACCCCTGAACTTAAATGTCAAAAAAAAAAAAAGAATTTTTCTAGTATCATGCCAGGCTCTGTGGTTCATGCCTGTAATCCCAGCACTTTGGGAGGCTGAGGCAAGTTGATTGCTTGAGCATAGGAGTTCGAGACCAGCCTGGGGAAAATGGTAAAACCCTGTCTATACTAAAAATACAAAAATTAGCTGAGCATGGTGGTGCATGCTTGTAGTCCGGGCTACTCTAGAGGCTGAGGCAGGAGGATCGCTGGAGCCCAGGAGGTGGAGGCTGCAGTGAGCCATCATTGCACCACTGCACTCCAGCCTGGGTGACAGAGTGAGACCCTGTCTCAAAAAAAAAAAAATCAATTTTTCTAGTGCTATACATTTAATTTTTTTTTCTGTTATGAACATTAGGTTTCTTTGCCTTATTGTTTCAAATTCTTTGGAAGCATTGTTCAATCAATCACATGAGCACAATAGTTGGTACAAAACAGTCATTATTTTGAAAGACCATCACCTGATATGAACAGTTCATTCATAAACTTGAGCCTTTTTTTGTTTTTGTTTTTGTTTTTGAGACAGAATCTTGCTCTGTTGCCCAGGCTGGCGTTCAGTGGCACGATCTCTGGTCACTGCAACCTCCACCTCCCAGGCTCAAGTGATTCTCCTGCCTCAGCCTCCCAAGTAGCTGGGATTACAGGTGCCTGCCACCACGTCCAGCTAATTATTTATTTATTTAATTTATTTTTTGAGACGGAGTTTCACTCTTGTCACCCAGGCTGGAGTGCAGTGGCACGATCTTGGCTCACTGAAACCTCCACCTCCTGGGTTCAAGCAATTCTCCTGCCTTAGCCTCCTGAGTAGCTGGGATTACAGGCGCCCACCACCATGCCGGGCTAATTTTTGTATTTTTCGTAGAGACGGGGTTTCACCATGTTAGCCAGGCTGGTCTCAATCTCCCAGCCTCAGGTGATCTGCCTGCCTCAGCTTCCCAAAGCACTGGGATTACAGGTGTGAGCCACCGTGCCTGGCTGAGTTTGTTTTGTTTTAAAGACCTCAGGGATGTACCTCTAATTGACACTACATCACATTAATCAATAGCTGCACTTTTTGCAAACTGTGGCTATGACAGTCCTGAACAAGAAGGGTTTCCTGCTTAAGCTGCAGTAACTTTTCTGACTATGGATCATTGTTCCTTCTGTGGCAGATTTTTACACCTCCTCTAATGCATTTGGGATGACTGTCTCCAAGTAACCTGCAGCTTTCCTCACTGTCTCTCCTGCTAAGAACTGTTGCCCTTTTCTGCTGTTTTTAGAACCTTCTGTTTTCATATCCACCAGTTCCACGGCCAGATCTATAACGACCACCAGAGGGACTGCCTGAGCTTCTTCCACCAAAACTGCCCCGCATAAACTTGAGCTTTTAAGCGGCATTATATATAAGCCCTATACGAGTTTAACTTGATCTTGTTAAGGTAAACAATCTGTTCAGTCTCACTTTCTTTTTGCATTGATAATTTTAATAATGTCTGATCATTTACTTTCTAAAATCACAAATGCAGTAGCAAGTTTTGGCCAGTTTCATTTTCTTAACTTTTCTCCTCCACATGGGACATGCTACGGGAAGAGGCTTAGAATCGTGGAAAGAGGAGAGTCATCTGCTTTCAGTGCTGGATACAAGGGCAGGTTGTGTGACCTTGGGAACACGTGTTAAAATCTCCAGAACTGCATGTGCCTTTCCTCATCGTGAAGACACAGATCTCGAATAGGGTTGTTGTAGATAGTATGACCAACTGTTACCGTTTTACCAGGATTGGTGTGTGCAGGGGCGTGTGTGTGTGTCTTAGGATGTGGGACTTTCGGTTTTAAAATAGAAATGAGGAATTTCCCAGGACACAGAAATTTCAGGGCTAAACCAGAGAAAATCCTGGGCGAACCGGAACAATTTGGTTGCCCTAGTTGTAAGCACGTGAGTTGCAAAGATGTAGGTGTGATTATTCCCTTGATTCAGTAAACAATTTTTTTCTTTTTTCCCATTGCCCTATCAACCCAACTCCTAGGTCTAATTCTTTACCTGTGCCCTTGGGTGACATGTAAAGCAAGTCTCATAACTTTTTTTTTTTTTGAGACAGTCTTGCTCTGTTGCCCAGCCTGGAGTGCTATGGTGCAGTCATGGTTCACTGCAACCTCTGCCTCCCAGGTTCAAGTGATTCTCCTGCCTCAGCCTCCCGAGCAGCTGGGATTACAAGCATGTGCTACCACGCCCAGCTAATTTTTGTATTTTTAGTAGAGACAGGGTTTCGCCATGTTGGCCAGGCTGGTCTCGAACTCCTGACCTTAAGTGATCCGCCCACCTTGGCCTCCCAAAGTGCTAGGATTACAGGTGTGAGCCACTGCGCCCGGCCTTCTCATAATTTTTATAGTCATCTTAGGTCATAAAGACTTCCAGCTGCTTCTTAAAAAAGTCACATACAAGAAAAAAATACAGTGTCAGCTCAGTGATTAAAATCCTTTCGGCAGGTTGCCTGCAACGTGGAGGAAGCGTGGTCAGCTTTTCCTTTATCTCCCCACGTGGAGCTTCTCCTGCTTCCCCCACTCTCTTGCAAGGCTGCAGACCTCTCACCTGCAGTTCCCTTGATGCCTGTAAATGCAGCTCCTCCACTTGGTCACATTACTGAATCCTTGGGGATCCGTCAGTACATTTCCAGCTTCTCTCTGCAGACTTCACCTCCTACCTCCAGGTGGCGCTCCTGCAAAGGATAAAAGCTCCTGGTACATTCATTCTCATATTCATTCTCTCTCCCCCCTCTCCCCCCCTCCCCCATTTCTCCCCTCTCCCCTCTCTCCCCTCCCACCCTCTCTCTCTCCTCCCACCCTCTCTCTCCAGTGAGGAAAGACCCTGTGTTAGCCCGTTCTCACACTGCTATAAATAGCCGAGGCCGTGTGTGGTGGCTCACACCTGTAATCTTAGCACTTTGGGAGGCTGAGGTGGGCGGATCACTTGAGGTTAGGAGTTCGAGACTAGCCTGGTCAACATGGTGAACGCCACCTCTACTAAAAATACAAAATTAGCCGGCTATTGGCGCATGCCTGTTGTCCCAGTTACTCGGTAGGCTGAGGCAGGAGAATCGCTTGAACCCAGGAGGCGGAGGTTGCAGTGAGCTGAGATTGCACCACTGCACACCAGCCTGGATGACAGGGGGGCTCAGTCTCAAAAAAAAAAGAAAGAGATTTAATTGACTTACAATTCCACATGGCTAGGGTGGCCTCAGGAAACTACAGTCATGGCAGAAGGGGAAGGAGAAGCAAATATCTTCTTCACAAGGCAACAAGAGAGAGAGAAGAGCAAGCAAAGGAGGAACTTGCCAAACGCTTATAAAACCATCAGATCTCCTGAGAACTCACTTTATCATGAGAACAACAAGGTAGAAGCCACCTCCATGATTCAATCACCTCCCACCAGGTTCCTCCCCCAACACCTGGGGATTACAATTCAAGATGAGATTTGGGTGGGGACATAAAGCCAAACCATATCAGACCCCATTCCTCTCTGGACCCGCCCCTCACCCCATATAACTACTCTGAATTGTCCAGTTGAAGAGACTGTCATCCTCCATCACACATCTACGGTGGACAGAGGATGGGACTCACAGCACACCAACAGCTTACGTAAACAAACACACAGAAACAAAACAAAACAAAAACTCTTCTAATCTCTGGAGACTATTATTCTAAGTGAAGTAACTCAGGAATGGAAAACCAAACATCATATGTTCTCACTGATATGTGGGAGCTAAACTATGAGGATGCAAAGGCATAAGAATGATACAATGGACTTTGGGGACTTGGGGGGAAAGGTGAGAGGGGGGCGAGGGATAAAAGACTATAAATGGGGTGCAGTGTATACTGCTTGGGTGATGGCTACACCACAATCTCACAAAGCACCACTAAAGAACTTACTCATGCAACCAAACACCACCTGTATCCCAATAGGAAAAAAAATACCTTCTAATCTCAACACTCCTTTCTTTTTTTTTTCTTTTTTTAATTTTTATTTATTTATTTATTTTTATTTTATTTTATTATTATTATACTTTAAGTTTTAGGGTACATGTGCACAATGTGCAGGTTAGTTACATATGTATACATGTGCCATGCTGGTGTGCTGCACCCACTAACTCGTCATTTAGCATTAGGTATATCTCCTAATGCTATCCCTCCCCCTTCCCCCCAACACTCCTTTCTTACCTTCAGGTGGACAAGAGGCCAAGGGTGTGGGGAAATTAGGTTTTCAGCATTTTCTCCTGAAGTCATGCAGAAATGGCCTTACTGTGAGATCTGACCTCGCTGGCATCTATAATCTTTGGGCCTGAGCAGAAACTGAGATTGCAATGAATCTACTTTGACATTCTGTTATATACATGTGCAAAAACCTTGGGAATACTGGGTATGAGCAGTTTGGAAGGAGAATGGATGGTAGGAATTCATTTTCATAAAAAAAAAAAAAGCTCATGAATAAGTGCACAAGAAAATGTAAGATCAGCCGGGCACAGTGGCTCACACCCGTAATCCCAGCACTTTGGGAGGCCGAGGCAGGCAGATCACCGGAGGTCAGGAATTGGAGACCAACCTGACCAACACAGAGAAACCCTGTCTCTACTAAAAATACAAAATTAGCCGGGCGTGGTGGTGCATGCCTGTAATCTCAGCTAATGGGGAGGCTGAGGCAGGAGAATCACTTGAATCCGGGAGGTGGAGGTTGTGTTGAGCTGAGATCGCACCACTGTACTCCAGCCTGGGCATCTCTAAAATATAAAAATTAGCCAGGCTTGGTGGCGGGCGCCTGTAATCCCAGCTGCTCAGGAGGCTGAGGCAGGAGAATCGCTTGAATCTGCGGGGTGGAGGTTGCTGTGAGCCAAGATGGTGCCACTTCATTGCAGCCTGGGCGAAAGAGTGAGACTCTGTCTCAAAAAAAAAAAAAAAAAAAAAGAGAACCCAGACCTGGAGTGGTGTCTCACGCCTGTAATCCCAGTATGGTGTCTCACTGCAGCCTTGACCTCCTAAGCTCAAGTGATCCTCCCGCCTCAGCTTCCTGAGAAGCTGGACGCACAGGCAAATGCTAATTTTTAAAAACTTTTTTGTAGAGATGGGATTTTGCCATGTTGCCCAGGCTGGTCTTGAACACCTGGGCTCAAGAGATCCTTCTGCCTCAGACTCCCAAAGTGCTGGGATTATAGGCGTGAGCTGCCACACCTGGCCTCCAGAACTATTTTAAAATAAAAAGTTAAGCCAGGTGAGGTGGCTCGCTCCTGTAATGCCAGCACTTTGGGAGGCTGAGGTGGGCAGATCACTTGAGGTCAGGAGTTTGAGACCAGCCTGGCCAACATGGTGAAGCCCTGTCTCTACGGAAAATACAAAAATTAGCTGGGCATAGTAGCAGGTGCCTGTAGCCCCAGCTACTCGGGAGGCTGAGGCAGGAGAATTGCTTGAACCCAGGAGGTGGAGGTTGCAGTGAGCCGAGATCGCGCCACTGCACTCCAGCCTGGGCGACAAGAGCAAGACTCTGTCTCAAATAAATAAATAAAAAGTTAATTTTTTGGAAAGGATGAGATAAAAAGCAGACGAAGGGCATAGAAAGGCCCTTCCAACGCGGCCCTCTCCAACATGAGGAAGCCTCCCACGAGATTTCCACTCACATCTCAAGAAACACAATTGCATCCAGCCCCTTCCTTAAATAACCACTAGCAGTGGGCGTGAGTTTACCTAACTGGGCTAAAGGTGTTTAAACTTCAGTGTGCATCAGAATCACCTGGAGGACTTGTCAAACCATAGGTTGGAGAGGAGGAGAAAGGAAAAGCTCACCTTCAGAGTTTCTGACTGATTCAGTAGGTCTGGGGTGGGGCTCAAGAATTTGCCTTTCTGACGAGCTCCCAGGTGATGCTGACGCTGCTGGTTCAGGGACCACACTTTCACAACCAGCACGTCACTAAGCCTTAGACTAATCAAGATTCATGCCTGAAACTAGAAAAGGGCCAAGTCTCCAAGGAACAAGGGTGGCCAACTGACACCTGAACAAAATCAGGGTTCTCGGCTGGGTGCGGTGGCTCAGGCCTGTAATCCCAGCACTTTGGGAGGCTGAGGTGGGCGAATCACGAGGTCAGGAGTTTGAGACCAGCCTGACCAACATGGTGAAACCCCGTCTCTACTAAAAATTCAAAAATTAGCTGGGTGTGGTGGCGAGCACCTGTAATCCAGCTACTGGGGAGGCTGAGGCAGGAGAATCACTTGAATCTGGGAGGTGGAGTTTGCAGTGAGCTGAGATTGCACCACTGCACTCTAGCCTGGGCGACAGAGCAAGACTGCATCTCAAGAAACAAAAACAAAAACAAAATCAGGATTCTCTTAGCAGAGAAGATTTTGGATTTTGAGAAACACCTGTCCCTTATATCGTACGATGACTTTTCTCTTATTTTTTCTGATCTTAATATAATTATATCAGCTTCCTGGAGAAGTTCCTCCACCACATTTTCTTACTTGTTCATTTTTCTTCAGCTGTATCAATTCTGCCTTTTTTTTTTTTTTTTTTAAAGAGACACGGTCTCACCATGTTGCCCAGACTGGTCTCGAACTCCTGGTCTCAAGTGATCATCCCACCTCAGCCTCTCAAAGTGCTGGGATTACAGGCGTGAGCCACGGCACCCACCCTACTGCCTATTCTGTTAGAGGATAATGTTATATATTTTTTACCATCATGTATTTTTATACTTTTTATTTCCATAAGCCTCTTGCTTTATGGAAAATTGTTCTTGTTTCATATTGCTAATATGTGTCCTTTTTTAGTATGTTTCTTTTTTTTTCTTTTTATTTTTTGAGACAGGGTCTTGCACTGTCACACAGACTGGAGTGCAGTGGCACAATCATAGCTCACTGCAGCCTTGACCTCCCAGGCTCAAGCAATCCTCCTGCCTCAGCCTCCCAAGTAGCTGGGGCCACAGGTGTGCACCACCACACTGGGCTAATTTTTTTTTTTTTTTTTTTGTAGAGATGGGAATCTCACTATGTTGCCCAGGCTGGCTTTGTTAAGAAGTACATTTCTTATGCTAATTATAAATTCTTGATCTATCTGACACCTCCTCCCCCGAAAAAAACACTCTCATTGCTTCACCACACCAAGCAACTGACA